>NC_000015.10:83607938-83939002 GCF_000001405.40 Homo sapiens | reverse complement strand
ACAGATATTCATGATAAAAAACATTTTTAATTTGAATTAGCGCATCCAAAAAAGCAAGGGCTTGGGGGCGGGAAGGTGAGAGAGGGCTGGAGAATAGAGCAAAATATCTAATTGAGCACCCCTTTGTTACAAAAAATAGCAATACCAGTTAAAGAAAGACATAAGGGTAAGACATTCCCCCATACAAATGAAACATCTCAGTTGACCAGAAATCAATGTAAACACACAGTGCTAAAGCACTAAGAAAGTTATGAAACAGAATATGTAAAAAACAAAATATATATTTGAATGTACTGAGAGAATAAACTCTGATAGAGATTTTGAGAATAAGTTAATGATGGGATCATTGAAATTAGGCAAACAAAAAAAAAGTAAGGAGATTGCCAACTCCAGAGAAAAAACTTGCACCCAAAAGAAAATGTAACCATAACAAAAAATTAAATGTCTTCGCTGTGAAATGCTTTTTTTAAAATGACAGCTTTATTGAGATGCAGTTTACATAACATAAAATCTGCCCTTTTAAAGGGTAGCAATGCTCCTCCTATAAAATAGCTCTAGCCTAGTTCTAGGCGTTTTTAGATACTAAACACCTGACCATGGTGGAACACCTGACCATGACCCATCAGATGACCATGTGACAAGCTGCTTATCATAAAGGGGACATTATCTATCTGCAAAGTCATATAGTTAGATGTGACCAGCAGTGGCCCACCACCGAGTGGAAGTGGTATATGGGACCAGGCATTGGTGGTGAGTGCATCACCTATTTAACAACTCTAGACTTAACCAAAATCATTTCCATCTTAACAAATAGTATAAGGGCCTAAAGCACTTTAATTAATCAATCTCTCTGAGTTTTACAAGGTTTTGTTGGACAATATTTCTTTTTTCAAATTGATAAATCAGAAACTATTATTGATTTCCATAGTCAATAAACTTTTTTAGATTAAATATCTTTACAATGTGACAGTAATGGCCACAAGTGTCCAGAAATACCTAACCAGACATGACTTTGGTATGACTTTGTGTTTTCTTTCAATTTAATCTCCCTTAGCTCCTGAAAAATTTATAAACTTAGTTATCCAGCCTATTATTTTTGTGGACCACTTAGCATCTTTCTAGTAAGTTTATTATTAGCTCAAGTTAAGCACAATTAGTTTATACTGCTTATACCTAGGAACCCTGATTAATATAAGGTGATACAAGTTTTAGATTATTTTTGAATTCTAGAAATTTTACATTCAATTAACATGCAAAAAGACAAAATCAATACATAAATTAGTATTTCTGTTCATTTAGCACTGATCCTTGACTTTTAACATACGTAATGATAATTTTTAAACATTTTATTTTAGGTACATGTGCAGATTTGTTATATAGGTAAATTGCATGTCATGGGCATTTGGTGTACAGATTATTTCATCACCCATATAAATAAGCATAGTACCTGGTAGGTACTTTTTCAATCCTCTCCCTTCTCCAACCTTCCACCCTCAAGTAGACCCTGATGTCTGTTGTTCCCTTCTTTGTGTTGATGTATTCTCAATATTTAGCTTCTACTTATAAATGAGGACACGTGGTATTTGGTTTTCTGTTCCTGCATTAGTTCACTTAAGGTAATGATCTCTAGTTCCATTCATGTTGCTGCAAAGGACACGATCTCATTCTTTTTCTATGGCTGCATAATATTCCATGGTGTATATGTACATTTTTTTAAATCCAGTCTACTGTTGATGCGTATTTACATTGATTTCATGTCTTTGCTATTGTGAATAGTGCTGCGGTGAACATACGTGTGCATGTGTCTTTATGGTAGAATGATTTATAATTCTTGGGATATATACCCAATAATGAAATTGCTGGGTCAAACGGTAATTTTTTTAAGTTCTTTGAGAAATTGCCACACTGCTTTCCACAATAGCTGAATTAATTTACATTCCCACCAGCAGCGTATAAATGTTCTCTTTTCTCTGCAACCTCACCAGCATCTGTAATTTTTTGACTTTTTAATAATAGCCATCTGACTGGTGAGAGATGGTATCTCGCTATGGTTTTGATTTGCATTTCTCTAGTGATTAGTGATGTTGAGCATGTTTTCATATGCTTGTTGGCCACATGGAGGTCTTCTTTTGGAAAGTGTCTGTTCACATCATTTGCCCACTTTTTAAAGGGATTTTTGGTTTTTTGCTGAATTTGTTTAAGTTTCTTACAGATTCTAGATATTGAGCTTTCACTGGATGCATAGTTTGCTAATATTTTCTCTGATTCTGTAGGTTGGCTATTTACTCTGTTGATAGTTTCTTTTGCTGTGCAGAAGCTCTTTAGTTTAATTACGTCTCATTTGTCAATTTTTGTTTTTGTCACAATTGCTTTTGGCATCTTTGTCATGAAATCTTTGCCAGGTCCTATGTATAGAATGTTATTTCCTAGGTTATCTTCCAGGGTTTTTATAGCATAACTATAAATGTTTATAACAAAAGTCTACAGTTGTTCAGTATGTCTATCCTTTTATTGATCAAGATGAAAGGATTTCTCAGCTATCTTGAACTACTTTCATCTGTTACTATTGTTAAGAATTCTGTTTTTCCTGACTTTTCCATTCTTCTCATTCTAATTATTTCCTGTGTTTTTGTGAGCATTTATTTTGCTTGTTATAGTTTTTATTCTGTTTTCCCCTCTGTTATATTTTATTTTTAGGTTTACCCTTAGAATTTTAAAGGCCCTATTTAACAACTCTAGACTTAACCAAAATCATTTCCATCTTAACAAATGGTATAAGGGCCTAAAGCACTTTAATTAATCAATCTCTCTGAGTTTTACAAGGTTTTGTTGGACAATATTTCTTTTTTCAAATTGATAAATCAGAAACTATTATTGATTTCCATAGTCAATAAACTTTTTTAGATTAAATATCTTTACAATATACTTCGGTCATCATTCATTCTTATATCTCAGACCTTCCTTCTGGGATCATTTTCCTTCTTAATGAATACATTCTTTAAAATTGTCTTTAGTGAAAATTTGCTGATAGTGCAATTTCCTGGTTTTGTTCACCTAGAATACTTAACATAATATTAGTAAATATTTATTGATTACCTATGATGTGCCAAGCTCTTTTTAAAGTATATGTATTAACTCATTTAATTGTCATATAACCTTACTATAAGACTACTTTGTTGACACCTGCTGCATAAGGAGATACTATTACAATCTGAAAATATCCCTATTTCATCTCTAAAATGTTGTTTTAATAAGTATACAATTCTAGGCTGACAGTGAATTTTTTTTCTGAGCCATTTGAAGATAATGCTTCATTATTTCTCATGAGGAAAAATGGCAGTTTTTGTTATTGTTCCTTTCCTGGATCTTTTCTATATCTCTGACTTTGAGATTTTCTTTGTCTTTAGAGTTCTAAAGTTTAACAACAATGTATCTGAGTGTGTATTTTTTTTCCCGTTTGGGATTTGCTGTGACTCCCAATTCTTAGGTTTCATATTTTTTCATTAATTCTGAAATATTCCCTCTTATTATCTCTTTGATAAGTCTCTTTCTTCTTTTTAGAATCATGAAGTCCTTTTTATCATTTTTCACAGTATAAGGCACTTATTTTTTCTTTTAATATCATTATTTTTTAAAGGCAAAGGAATCACAAGTGAATGCACTAGTCATGATCCATCAGAATGACAGACGCTTATCTACAAGAACATTTCCTAACTTTTTTCTGAATCTGTCACCACTGGGTATTACCGCTATTTTTTTACTTAAAAAGTGGGAGAATTTAATATGATTCTCTCTTCTTTTTCAAAATTGAATTTGTAGAAATGTAAGGGGTACAAGTGCAATTTCATTACATGGATATATTGCAAAGTGATAAAGTCTGGACTTTCCCTGCAACCAACACCAGAATAATGTACATTGTACCTATTAGGTAATTTCTCATTCTTTACCCTCTTCCCACCTGTCTGAGTCTCCAAATTCTATTCCACACTCTATGTTCATGGGTTCACATTATTTAGCTCCCACCTGTAAGTGAGAACATGTGAAATTTGACTTTCGACTTCTGAGTTATTTCACTTAAGATAATGGCCTCCAGTTGCATCCATGTTGCTGCAAAAGACAAGATTTCATTCTTTTTTATGGCTGAATAGTATTCCATTGTGTACATATACCATATTTTCTTTATCCAATCATTTGTTGATGTGATTCTCTTTTCTTAGCATATTTTTGGGGGTATTTTTGGATGAATTATTTTACTTATTAAGTTCTGGAGAAAGGAGTTTAATTTTCATTACTGCATTCAATTATCTCCACCTGGTCTCTCCCTTGACACATGGGGATTATGGGGATTACAATTTAAGATGATATTTCGGTGGGGACACAAAGCCTAACCATATCATTTCATCCCCTCTCGCAAATCTCATGTGCATTTCACATTTCAAAACCAATCATGCCTTCCCACAGTCCCCAAAGCTTTAATTCATTCCAGCATTGGCCTAAAAGTCCAAGTCCAAAGTCTCATCTGAGACAAGGCAAGTCCCCTCTGCCTATAAGCCTGTAAAATGAAAATCAAGTTAGTTACTTCCTAGATATAATGGGGGTACAGGCATTGTGTAAATACATCCATTCCAAATGGGAGAAATTGGCCCAAATGAAGGGGCTACAGGGCCCATGCAAGTCGAAAATTTAGCTGGGCAGTAAAATCTGAAAGCTCTGAAATGATATCCTTTTAACTTCGTGTGTCGCATACAGGTCACACTGATGCAAGAGATGGGCTCCCATGGTCTTGGAAAGCTCCGCCCTTGTGGCTTTGCAGGGTACAGCCCCCCCTCCCAGCTGCTTTCATGGGCTGACGTTGTCTGCAGCTTTTTCAGGAACACAGTGCAAGCTGTCAGTGGATCTACCATTCTGGTGTCTGGAGGATAGTGGCCCTCTTCTCACAGCTCCACTAGGCAGTGTCCCAGTGGGGACTCTGTGTAGGGATTCTGACCCCACATTTCCCTTCTGTATTGCCCCAGCAGAGGTTCTCCATGAAGGCTCCACCCTTACAGCAAACTTCTGCCTGGACATCCTCTGAAATCTAGGCAAAGGCTCCCAAACCTCGATTTTTGCTTCTGTGCACCTGCAGGCCCAACACCACGTGGAAGCCACCAAGGCTTGGGGCTTGCACCCTCTGAAGCAATGGACTGAGCTGTATGTTGGCTCATTTTAGCCATGCCTGGGATGCAGGGCACCAAGTCCTGAGACTGCACAAAGCAGCAAAGGCCCTGGGACTAGAGCATGAAACCATCCTTTCCTCCTAGGCCTCTGGGCCTGTGATGGGAGGGGCTGCCATGAAAACCACTGACGTGCCCTGGAGACATTTCCCCCATTGTCTTGGCAATTAACATTTGGCTCCTTGTTACTTATACAAATTTTTGCAGCAGGCTTGAATTTCTCCTCAGAAAATGGGTTTTTCTTTTCTATTGCATTGTCAGGCTGCAAATTTTCTAAACTTTTATGCTTTGCTTCCCTTTTAAACATAAGTTCCAATTCCAAATCATCTCTTTGTGAATGCATAAAACTAAATGCTTTTTAAGGCACCCAAGTTACCTCTTGAATGCTTTGCTTCTTAGAAATTTCTTCTGCAAGATATCCTATATCACCCCCTCTGGTTTAAAGTTCCACAGACCTGTAGAGCAGGGGAAAAATGCCACCTCTTGTTTTCTTTTTGAAACTCCATTTTTATATATGATAAACCTTCTCAATATTTCCTCTGTATCTACCTTTTGTGGATATTTTACATATTTTATGTATTCTCCATGCTTTATTCTGGGTAATTTTTTCAGCTCTCTCTTCCATTTTACCTGTTTACTCCAGCACATAACTTTTGAATTTCAATCACTGTATTTTTAACTTCTAGATATTCTATTAGTGGAACCATATAAACTGCCAATATTTGACCATTTTTGACCAAATAGAAAGTTTCAGATGGTTCAATGTGATAATTGGTTCTTCTAAACAATCTTCCAAGTATTTTTGATAGTTTATTGTTCATAGCGTAGATTTTTAATTTCCTGTTTTATATATGTAAACATTTTAAATAAATACGTTTATATTCTGTACCTGATAATTCCAATTTACGATGCTCTGTGTATCTGATTCTGTTTTTTCCCCCACTGACTCTCACACATTGTTTCTTCATGTGTTTTTAAAAAATTTTGATTATGAGCTAATGCTCATTATGTCTTTGTGGGAATTTTAAGGTCTGGGTAGAAGATACATTCCTCCTTGCAGGATTTACATCACCTCTATCAAGACCAGTATGAATTAATTTTTTGGATCACATAGAGTGAATATAAACCCTACTCCTACATAAAGGGCTACTTGTAGCTCTTAGATTCTCAGGGGAGCCTTTCTGATTCCTTCCATTCAGAGGCAGACCTGAGACAGATAGTTCTCCTTGCAATCTCTCTTTACAGGATGGATTTCATTTTTTGAATTTGCCTTTCCATTGAGGTAGACCCTGGCTTTGTATGGGGAATCTCCATTCTATTCCTTACTTTCTGAAGGTCTAAGGACTTGTCTATCAGGCAAAAGATCTTAAAGCCAAAAAGTGTAGGTTACTGAGACTGACAACTGTCCCCACTAAGGCAATGCTTCAGCTTGTTTTTGTCTTCTGAGGATTTCTCTTACTTTCTTACAAGCTTAGTTCTGCATTTCAAGATATGTTTTACATATTTTACCCAGTATTTTAGAGGTATTTAGCAAAAAGCCTTTAAGGATATCAAGTCCATCATGTGGTTAGAAACTGATGTATACAGTCACATACTTGAAATAATAGTTCAGCAAGTTTAGCTCTATGGTGATCATGATATTCCCTCAGTATTCTGAAGATATTATTCCTTTGTCTTCCAGAAACTCCAGTTGTTGATAAGTTGTTTGTAGTTAATCTGTTTTTCATGAGTGGTAGCTTTTAAGATTTTCTTATCGTCCCTGATTTTCTGTAGTTTCACTATTTCATATCTATGTAGGGATTTATTTTCATTTGTTTCTCTTGATACTAGGAGTGGATATTTTTTCCTAAGTTTTAGTAAACAGTTTACTTCATATCTTCATTCTCTGACGTTACTTCCATATTTCTTAATTTTCTTCCCTTTCCCCAAATCATCAACTATTTTTCTTTTATCTTAGAAACTGAACTGTCATTTGCTACAATTGCTTTGGGACCTCAAGCTCCAAATAACCACAAGTGCAGCTCCATTCACCACCTCATGTTTCCATTCCTTTCCTAGCCCAGGTAGTTGTTTTCTTACTTGTGTCTTTGATAGGCCCCCTTTTATACTGCATCTACCATTGATCTGTATTTGGAACAGAATATGATGTTACAACACCATCTTAATTGGAAGTCTATCAATTACTTAGACTATAATTGATAATATCTAAATTCCAGAAGTTTTGAATGTGAGTGAAGTCACCGAAAGTAGATACATGGGTCATATTTGGATGACAATTGGACTACATAGCTAAATAATCAGAAGGTTTCTGTTTCATGATTAAAACAATTCAGCTTAAATTTGTAAGTTTATTGATGTGACTTCAGGATGATCATCTTTTGAGCAAGTGTATAGCTAGATAAATCAATTATAGTCACAAGGAACTGGAGATGGAGCTGTTTTTATTTAAGAAATGGGCAACAATTTCTTATTCACAGACAATGAACTCAATAAAGAATTGTTTTTTATATCAAGAAATAGGTAACAAGCTGGTACAGAAACACATCACTATTGCCTCTTGCTTTCCTCCTTTCTTCCCTAGCAGTGTTGAATCCTGTTAGAGAAGAAGGCTCTCCTCAGACTAGCAGGACCATTATGTAACCCAGCATGCTTCTACAAGCTGCTGGCTCTCTCCTGGAAAAAGCAAACTCCATAAATAGCAGGCACTCAGCAGTTATAGGATAGATCAGGGGGAGTAACCCCATAAAAGCAAATAAACATCCAACACCCCACCTTGGAGAGCCCAGGCTAATACATCAAATACATTTGCCTTTGGGTAAATAAAGATCCACTGGCTGTTCAACCCAATCTCAGTGGTAAGTTTCACCCTGGGGTAATATTTTACTGCTATTGCCCTTGGAGTCAGTAAATATTTGTATGGAAAATATTATGCAACACACTGTTCCTGTTATTCCTACACCACTAGTTTCTAGAACCTAAAACATTTTTGTAAACTTACCTTTATTTTGGCATCAAATCTTTGTCTCTGCTGGTTTTTTTCCAATATAACTCTCAACCTTTGAAAAGTTTATTAAATTTGCAACTTTGAAATGAGGAATAGTATTTCCTTTCACATAAAAACAGACTCTTAATTTTGCAAAGTGGCCAAGACATGTTGTCTGCTCTATTATTCCTAGCTTGGAAGCTCTGTGGGCAAGAGATTGCTGAGGAAGAGAATGTGTAAGAACTCTTGCTGAGGCACAGTGATGAGAGAAAGGGGATACAGTACACAGGCTGATGCATGAATAAACCAGTAAGCTTTCTTCAGTAAATTTAAGAAACAATTTCTAGATTTGTTGCTAAATCTTGTTCTGGTTTGGTGGGCAATGGAAGAGCACTGACTAAACTCAACCCTGCCTTGACCTCCTGGGCAGGTCAAACCAAGGCTGTCATCCTTAGAACTAAAACCCCAAGCACGTCACACTACTCAGGTATGGACATAAGGATTGTTACAAAAGGACTAGACATAATTTGAAGACATGAGTGAAAAATGCAACCTGAAAGCACTACTCAAAAATGAAAGACTGGAGCTTAGGGGACCTCGGTGATCATAAAGTCCAACACCTTTCTTCATTATTCATATTAAGAAACAGGGTCCAGAGAGCTAAGGAACTCACCTGAAATTCCTTGAGAGACGTGGAACTGAGGCTTTATCCCATGTCCCTGATCCATTTCCAATTTTCTTTTGACTTTTGAGAGTTCCTTGCTATCAAGTGTCTCAGGTAAGGATCCTATCTCACATTCTGTTGAACTTCATTTTACCAGTGAGAAGTGAGCCAATGATTACTTTTATGGGAGAGAATTAACTAATGTCATAGTAGCGAAGGTCTCTAAGAGGCAGAGGGCATAGTGTGTGCAAAGGTCCAAATGGCATGAATGAGCAGGAGTGTGGGTCATGGTGCATAATTTACTGTGGCTGCTGAGCAAGTTCCTTAGGGTGAGTCTGAGTGTGTGTGTGTGTGTGTGTCTGTCTCTGTCTCTCTGTCTCTCTCTGTCTCTCTGTGTGTGTGTGTGTCTGTCTCTGTCTCTCTGTCTCTCTCTGTCTCTCTCTGTGTGTGTGTGTGTGTGTGGTAGAGGTGACAGGAGATGTGGTTTAAGAGTTGGATCCAGGGTCACAAAGGCATTTATATGCTGTTATAGGTTGAATTGCCTTCCCACAAAAGATGTGGAAGTTATAACCCCCAGTACTTGTGACTGTGACCTTATTCGGAAATAAGTTCTTTGCAGATGATCAAGAGGAGGTCATTAGAGTAGGCCCTACTCCAATATAAGTGATGTCCTTATGAAAAGGAGAAGTGTGGACACAAAGACACAGAGAAGGAAAACAATATGAAATCACAGGGACAATGCCATTCACAAGCCAAAGAATGCCAGAGGTTACCTGCCAGGAGAAAGCCATGGAACCAAGGCTCTCTCACAGCTCTAAGAAAGAATCAACGCCGCGGACACCTTAATTTTGGACTTCTGGTCTCCAGATCTGGGAGATGATAAATTTCTGTTCTTTAAGCCACTCTGTTTCTGGTGCTTTGTTATGGCAGCCCCGGCAAAAGAAACACATGCCAAAGTAGAGAATGTGGGTTTTAATCCATAGATAAAGGAGTGTTGTTGAAGGTTTCATGCAGAGGCACACACAGTCATTTTGCAACTTAGAAAGATAAAGATCTTTCATAGTCGTGTGTGCACATGGATCAGAGCAGGAAACAGGAGAGTCAAGAGTTCATTTAGAAACTTGTGAAACAGTTCAGGTAAAACATATCTGAATTAAGGCAGTGGCAGTTACACATGATTAGGACAAATTCATCAAGTACTGAAAAGTAAATGGTCAAGAATCTCAAGTTCATATTATCAGAGAACAAAAACCATAAAAGGCCACTTTATGTGATTCCACTCAAAAAAGAAACTCAGGTTTCATGATAAAGTGGGGGAAAATGTTTGATTTAGTCTTGAAAATTTAAATTAAAAATTATAAAATCAAGTTATCTTATCTTGAACATAATTGTGGTTGTAATGCCAACTTTATGCACTAATTCTTAGAATGGCAGAGAATGAATTGTAAATTGTTTCATATTTTGGCTTTCTTTTCTGAAAAAATTATATGATGACACATTATGGCTACCTTCACTTCCAGAGCAAGAGTGGAACAGTTATTTTCACAAAAATAAAACTGAGAGTTTCATCAGTGTTCTTAGGGCCTCTCTTTTCATCCTGTGATATGCAAATCATTCTCATTTGAAGTGCCTTTCATGTTGTTATCATTTTCGTTTTCTCTGTTTTAGTTGTTACTTGGCTAGAAACAGGACAGAACTCTGGTGAAGACTAGCTTCATGTCAATCTGCAGTAAGATTTAAATCTAGAAATAAAATATACCCCAACATATTGGGTTGTATTTTCTTCTTTTTACTCTTCTTTGTTAATGGCTAGCAATATATCATAGCTAGCTGGGTGTGGTCACTCATGCCTATAATCCTAGGGGCTTGGAAGGTTGAGATGAGAGGATGTCTTGAGCCCAGGAGGTCAAGGCTGTAGTGAGCCATGACTGCACCACTGCACTCCAGCTTAGATGACAGAGAAAAACCTAATCTCTAAAAACATTTAAAAATTTTTAAAAATTAGTGATGCACATGGCTCATTCCTGTAATCCCAGCAACTTGGGAGGCTGAGGCAGGAGGATCACTTGACCCCAGAAGTTCAAGGCTGCAGTGAACTGTGATCATACCGTTGCACTCCAGCCTGAGCAACAGAGAGAGACCCTATCTCAAAAAAAAGAAAAAAAAAAAATCACACAGCCAAATTGTAGTCACAATTTTAAGTCTGTGTAAATTCGAAACCATTTTTTTTTAGTCATCTTTCTAGAAAGAGAGTACTGGCTAGAGTAGACAAAGGGGATGGCTAGTGGAGGGACTGGAAATCAGGAGACCAGCTCTACTAGTAGCATAATATGTGGGCTCCCACAGCCTCCATTTGGCCATCCAGAAAAGGCAGAATTTGGACTAGATGACATCTCATGAGAAATACTCCATGTTTGGGCTTTATGTTGTAGTATGCAATTTATTTAGTGTATGCTCATGGAGAAGTCATCAATTACCTAAAAATCCTAAATTTCAGTTTTCATATACAGAAAACAAGAGCCTTTATTCATTATATATTTATTAGCACATTTCTGAAAGAATGTGAAGCCATTAATAAGAATAGTACTAGCTACTTTTCACCAAAAAGAGACTTAGGGCAGTGATTTTCAAATTGTTGCACAGCAAAACACCTGATACAGTGCAGGTGTAAGTTGTGAACAGGTTCATCCATTGTTTTAAATAAAACAGTACATAGAAAAGGATTCATGGGCCAGGTGCGGTGGCTCACGTCTGTAATCCCAGCACTTTGGGAGGCTGAGGTGGGCGGATCACTCGAGGTCAGTTTGAGATCGGCCTGGCCAACATGGCAAAATCCCATCTCTACGAAAAATACAAAAATTAGCTGGGTGTGGTGGCATATGCCTGTAGTCTCAGCTACTCAGGAAGCTCAGGCAGGAGAATCACTTGAACCCAGGAGGCAGAGGCTGCAGTGGGCCGAGACTGTGCCATTGCACTCCAGCCTGGGCAACAGAGTGAGACTCCGTCTCAAAAAAAAAAAAAGAAAGAAAGAAAGAAAAGGATTTATGGATTGTAGAACTCTTAAAACTGCTCTGCAAAATACTGGAGCATGGGGGCCATGGTTGGGAAAGCAGTATTTCTGAAGGAGACACTGAGCATTTTTGGAAAAGACAGTAGAGGTGAACTGATATTCATGGCTACAAATATAGAAAGGGATTCAACTATTTTGATAAAGAATGTTGTTGGTGGCCAGGTGCGGTGGCTTATGCCTGTAATCCCAACATTTTGGGAGGCCGAGGCAGGTGGATCACCTGAGGTCAGGAGTTTGAGACCAGCCTAGCCAACATGGTGAAACCCCATCTCTACTAAAAATACAAAAAATTATCTGGGCATGGTGGCAGGCACCTGTGACCCCAGCTACTCAGGAGGCTGAGGCAGGAGAATCGCTTGAACCCAGGAGGTGGAAGTTGCAGCGAGCCATAAGATTGTGCCATTGCACTCCAGCCTGGGCAACAAGAGCGAAACTCCGTCTCAAAAAAAAAAAAAAAAAGTTGTTAGTGTCATATAAACAATAAAAAGGAAACGATGATATTTGCAGATTCACATGGAGGCAGGCTTTAAATCGAGGATGCTCAAATGAAATTGTGGTGGGCTGGATCCCTAGTTTTAAATAATTTTCTTAAAAGATTTATACTTGATCTAATTGTCTCCATTTTGTTCTCCCCATTTCTGTGTTTGAGTAATCTTTTTAAAATGTAAATCTGATGTACCACTTCATTGCTCAAACCCTCCAATGACTTCCCACTGACTCTCTGGATGAAGTCCAAGTGCTTACCGTGGCCCTTGCCCATTCCTATCTCATCTGATGACACACTGATTTCCTTTCTCTCCAGTTCCTTGAGCATACTGAGCTCTTTCTTTCCTTGGGGCCTTTGCACATACTGTTCCCTCTGCCCAGAGCACTCATTCCTCTACACCTCTCCTGGCAGATTCCTGCCTGTGTTTATGTCTTAAATAACTTCCTCAGGAATGACCTGCACCAACCTCCCCGGCTTCCCTGCCCCACCAATTTATTTTAGGTCCTCATAGTATTCGTGCTCTTGAGACGCTGTTTATTTAACATCTACCTCGTGCCCCATCCCCAGATTAAATTTAAGAAAACAGTTTACAAAATGATATAGTACATGATTCCAATGTCATGGGGAAATATGTTGAGAAATATAACTATGTTTTGCCCCCTCCCTGTATTTTCCCCTGTGCCTTGCTCCTGTACAGGAAGGTGGTCATCTGTTTCCATCTTCACTGCCTCAGGGAAGGGATGTAGCAGGGGAGGAAAACAGAAACCCCAGCTTTTCCAAAAGTATCTAATTCAGTGGTTCCAATAATAGAACAGAAAAAACTGAGAAACATAGATAAATAATTCGGATTACTACGTGCCATTACACAAGTGCTATTTCTCTAAAGATAGAAGGGTCATTCCAAGTGAATATATATTCAACACTGCTCCAATATATTTGCTATTCTTGGAAAAGTCTGGACATACTTGACAAAGTAGATGTCTTGACTCCTAGTTACATCAAACCTTCCTAAAACCCCTCCTTTATTGTCTCTTCTGCAATCTGCATTCTAGCGTGGATTACTCTGGAATGCTGTAAACCTGGGGGTGGGAGTGGGAGGTGGCAGGGAAACAGATTTCCCAGTGCTGTTTCTGGGCCTTGCTTTGCTCACCAAGGTAAGTCTACAGGCCTCTACTGCATCACCTCAACCACGCACAGCCAGATGGCTCTAACATAAGCCAACAAGCTCCCAGTACTTCTGTAGGTCTCAATGGAAGCGAGAAATATGGTAATGGATACAAAACACTGTATCCTACATTACATGGCGGGTGTGATTTCACCAAGGATGAGGCACACACTGGCCTCCTCCTGAGACTGTGCGGGCTGGAGAACAAGACTCTCAAGGAAGGGGTGCCCATCTCCAGGATGTGGAGGGCCTGATTTCTAGGGGGACCTAACGTATCAATCCCCACCTTCACCACCCTTATGCAATCAAGGCAGGAGAAACATCATAGCCAACAGATTGCATGGAATTAAAATCAGAAGGGTCAAGAGAATTCCAGAAGCACAACTTATTTTCTGAATAAACATAAAAGACACTTATCCTTAGACTAATACGGCAGGAGGACACAATAACCTCCCTCAATCACTGAGAGTCCTAAACATAGCAGAACTTGCTTTAGCAAATGAAAGGATTTCATTAGCGGGGCAAACGACTAAGAGGTAGGAGAGGCAGGAGGTTACTGGGAATGGGCTTAACATTTTCGGCAACTAATTCTTCTCGCAGAAGAGGGGTCACAAGATAATAAGGGTAAAGGAGAGAGAAAGGAAAAGACTGGGGGCTATATTCAGAAAGGTCTTGTGTGAGAAACCAATGATGTTCAGTTATCACCCTCTGTAGCCAGCAGCACCAGGGACACAGGAACATGAGAACAAGCTACTTCTCTTCTGATAAAATTCCTCAGGATCTTACCAGGACTTAAGCAAGGAAGCAGATTAACTTTTAAGGTAAACCTATCAGCCAAAGAGATCAAGAAGATCACCCTCACCTACTCATTGGGGTTTATAATATTATACCCCACAATCTGAGATCCAAGGCAAGTCAATGGGAAGGTAATAACACATCAGTATGAGTGCTAGATATCAAACAGGAGATTACACAGTCACTCAACAAATATGGATTAAGCACCTACTGTGTACCAATGTTAACTCTAATGCAAATCCTGTGCTTTCTGATGGGATATTAAGGGAAGAAGTGCCCTGGAGGAAACAGGGAGGAGAAAGAGAACAAATCCACTGATCTCATGGTTTTATGGGTAGCAGGCCAGTTTATGTTCATTCGTGTTCGATGCAAACAAAAGTCAGCCTGAAGAGCATTCCTGTGCAACATGGCTGCATCTGAGCACCTAGGCAAGAATCTGGCTGGAGCATAACTTGAGCAAAGAGAGCTCTGAAGCAGGCTTAGCACATCTACCTTGGGTGAAGCCACAAGTCTGCACTTAGGTGGGTTTCTCTGCAGGGAGGGTGTTACCACCCGGACACGGTATATACCAGGAACACAAGACAGCACATACCTGGGGGGACAGGGCTCTGTGTTACAGGCCTGGCTCATGGCTGGAGGACGGTGGACCATATCACACAAGCTGTCATTGACTGTCTGCTGGGTCTGGATATGTAAGCACACTGCTATGGCTTCTTGATGGCCTGCAGGTTAGAAAGAGGAAAAAATGCAAATGACATGGAATAATTTATTGTGGAAAAAAGAAAATAGAGTCTTAGGTCTTCTCATTCTTAGCATACTGCCCTTTTGACTATCATAGGGCTGCAGGCTGCATTTCAGGGTACACCTGGGAACAAACAACTTTGCATTATCCAAAGTCTCCTAGTTTATGATATTCCCTTATTCACCTTTTAAATTCAGTCCCTTTACTCCCTCTCTCCCAAATCTACTTACCTTGAAACATTCAAGAGCATCCCAACTCCCCATCCACCCTTGGACTTATCTGCATTCCAAATGTACTCAAAGCTAGGAGTTCCCCCAAATAAGCCATCAAGGTGTTCCTTCCAAACAGTCACAATAGTTTCCTTAAGAGGAATTTTTGAATCAGCTTCATAAGAATAACACTTTCTCTATATCACTGCATATGTGCTAAATCTGGCAGACACACAACTCCTCAAAATTTTAATTATGATTTGAGTTCCTGTTCACTATGACTGTAATTTGTAACGTTTCTATTGCTAGGAAAAACAATAACAATACCTCCTATTTGGAAAGTGTACAAAGTGCTTTCACAATAATCAGTGAGGTCAAAAGAATAGTATTATTACCTCCATTTTATTAATTTAATACTAAGGAAACTGAGGTCTAGAGAGAAACTAAGACAGCAAAAATGTGGTAGATTCAAGCCTAAAAATTAAATTCCCTGCCTCCTAATTCAGTGATCTTTCTTTTGTACATACTCTAGGGATTCTAAAATGCAATACAGCCAAAAAGTACAAGACTGCTCCTTGTGAAAATATGAAATTTCACAAGCATATTTTCCCTTTGGGGCCAGACAGGTCTGTCTGACCCCAAAGCCTATGTTCTCAACCAGTATTCTTTGTCCGCTGGGACAAAAAAAATTATTGGAAAATCAGACGGAACAAGATGTAAATCAAACTTTTGATTAAAAAGTCACAAACAAACTGTAATAGCAACTGACTATGTTATTTGAAATATGCAAATGCATTCATTTTCATGCAAGAATGTGTGTTCCATTATGTTACTAGGTTGTGGTTCTTTTTTCAAATGCCATGTTTCAATTCAACCATTTTACAGTATTTTACAGGATGTAGTATTGGCCAAAAATACTTCTAAAATATATATTTGTGATGTTCAGTTCTTTCTAATAAATTTTCTCCTGCTGTCTTCAGTTGTAATTTTATGTTCCCTGCCATGGCAGGATGCAGTATTAAATCTGCATGTATCTTCTATGAACTTTTAAAATAAACATTGGCTAACGTGAGATATAAGAAGGCATTGCTACAACTTAATAACTCTAGGTTTTATTTGCAAATATCAAAACGTAGTTACCTTGTAGAGGTTTAAGTGTTCATTTTCTAGTATGTTTCATTTTTTTTAAATCTGAGAAAAATCCAGTTAACTTTCAAATATATTTTAATTTATAACAGAAATTCTCTAGAAATTTTTATTACAGAGACTATTTTGGAACATTTTCTGAATAAGTGGGCCTTAAAGCCCCATTATAACCCATTCTGGGTGGAATTGTACAACACTCATGACACACTTTTCTGTCTTAAAGCAAGTTTACTGAAAATAATTTATAAGTTTAATAGGTGTTTAGGATACTTATTGAGGTAGAGTATATTTTGAAAAATGGCCACAAAATATCTCCCATCCCATACATTGGTCCTACAATGTTACTTAGACACTTCTCACCTTAAAAGATCTGATTAAGCATTTACTTTCAAAAATTAAAGTTAAAAAAGGAAAAATTATAAAAATAAGTTTACCTCATCTTATAACAAAATTTAGGTAATAATTACAACTATGAATTTAGGACATAATACATCAAGTGTTGAAACGTCAGCATCATTTTTTGAATAAATTCCTTTTGTAGCATGAGGCAACATCCCTTACTTCACATATGACTTTTGCAGTGTTATCATGAAAGTGCCTTTTTTTTTAGAAAAAGAAAAACCTATATAGCTTGTGGCAACATAGTGAGACCCCATCTCTAAAAAAAAAATACAAAAATTAGCTGGGTGTGGTGGGTGTGCCTATAGTCCCAGCTACTCGGGGGGCTGGGGTGAGAGGATCACTTCAGCCCAGGAGGCTGGGGCTGCAGCAAGCTATGATTGTACCAGTGCAGTCCAGCCTGGGCACAGAGAAAGACTCTGTCTCAAAATACATACATATTTTTTATCCTTCATCAAGAAATAAATTAATATTTAAAGGGTAAAAACACAGACTCCAAGAGAAGCAGCAGAGCCAATATATAAGCTGACATGTTCTTTTTGCTTGGTTGGGTTTCTGCCATTTGCAAACAACAGTCTTGACTACTTCAATATGTCAAATAACATAACACACACATACACACATAGTGTAAGAATACCAGGAGAGATTTTTTAAAATCCATAGTCAGAGCCTTTTATGTGCCAATCAGTATTTAATATGCCAAGTTGTAAAATAAATAAGGAAAAATAATTTGTGTAAGAAAATTATGTTGCTTTAAAAATCAAGTAGTCTTGGGCCCTAGAAATAGATACACTATGCTTTCTTGAAGCATCCGTGGAACATTAACAAAAACGGATCCTCTATTAGTCTAGGAAACTGCAGTAAGTTTCAAAAGTCATAAATTATGCAGGTAACATTCTCGGACTATAATATAGTCCAACATAAGTGAATAATAAACAATTGAACTCCCCAACTCCACACACTAGAATTTGTATAAAGTCCTAGGCCAAAGAGTAAATAGATTACACATTATTTGTGGCAGGAAAAGGGAGAACAGGGAGGCTTACAGCCACTTCAGACTCGATGAACAACTCTAGAAAATAAATTTCAGTATCCTCATGAAATGGATAGTTTTTGTCCCAAGTGAATCTAAATTATGTAATTTATTTAAAAATTATTATAAGAACTTGGATTGAATATAACAATAAGTGGGGGGAAACTTGAAAATAATGTTAAAGATGGAGCCATGATGCTCCCCCTCAATCCCAAAAACAGGACAAGATTTAGAGAGTTGTAGGAACTAGCACTTTCAAACATTTTAAACAGATGATTTCTATGATATAAACTATTTAAAATTATTTAAAGGTATAGAAAATGCCAGTTCATCTCACAAAACTACCAAAACCTGATGATACCTAAACCTATACGAGGAAAAAAGAGGTCTGCTTCATACAGTGTGGGCACGTATAATGCTATATTATATATAACGATGTTCTTTGTTTCCAAAATACACACATACACACAGGCCTAGGATCATATTTGGAAAGAACAGTTAATTTTTTTCTCTTTCTGCTGTTAGCTAGTTTGACTGAAGGGGTACTACTGTAAAGTCCCGAGTAATGAAAAAGAGTGAAGCATAATATTTTATGGATCCAAAGGTATCCTGTTTGGTGTTAAAATGCAAGTTTTGTAGCACTTCAAATAGGTGAGTTCTTTTTAGGAACCAATTGAGGAGACAGCTGCTAAAGATTAAGGATTGTTGAAAGCCATTTGGCCTTAGGAAGGGCATCATAAACCACTGGAGCCTGAGCGGAAGTGACCAATTATGTCAAGAGGAGCTGGAAGAAACTACAGCTCGAGGCCTGTCATGATTTGAAGGGATTTGGAGAAAACAAAACGGCAGTTGCTAATGTACCATGTCGGGAACACATCTCTATTGGGAGTATGCTCAAATGAGCCCATAGTGGGCCAATGCAATCTTTGTTCCCACGTTACCATTTGTAGAAAGGAATTCTTGTACTCCACTATGCAAAATAGAGTGCATTTACATGCATCAGTATCATTCATACATACATATATATATCTTAAATTAAATAATAGCATATTATAATCAGCAGTATATAATAAAATTACCTCATTACCTCAAACATCTGTCATTCACCTACCAATCACTTTCAGCAAATATTCATATGCACAAAAGCACAGAAACAACCAGATGGGAACTTCCTTTTATAAGCATACAAACCTACCTACTCTCATATCCTCACTAGCCTTTTCCCTGCTTATTACAATTAGAAGCTGCCCTTCCAATGATTTAAGACCAATCTCCACGACTGTGCTTGGAGTTTCACCCCCTTCAATCTTCTTAGAAAACTTATTGCTTTGCCTTTCACTTTCATTCTAGAGCTTTCTTGTTGCCTTTTAAATGTACCCAAGGGTCTCTGACATTAACACCACCCTTCACCCACACCCACACAGATCTGCCTCAACCCGCAAGGCCATCTTAGTCATCTCCTCCTCTGTTTTCTTTAACATGGCCAATTTATGCTGCAAAAAAAATCCCCTCTATTCATCTCCACTCTGTCACTTATCATTCTTTCCTCAACCCTTTCAAATCTGGTTTCCATCTCTGCTCCTCCACTGAAATGACCTTTCCTTAAGTCCCCAGTGGCTTCACATTCCTGAACCCAGTACCAGTGCTGAACCCTCACCTCTCCGCCTCTGCATGGCAAGCAACACAGCTGACCTTGGTTTCCACCACACCACAGACTTCTGTTTTTATCATATCTCGCTGATCTCTTCTCATAGACTTTTGCGGCTTAGTGTCCTCCACCCAGACACTGAATGTTGAATTTCCTCAAGACTTAAGTCCTAGACCCTCTGCACTCCTCATAGGTATTCTCCTGAAAATTCTTGTCCATGCCCCTGGCTTCAATCCTTGGATGCACAGATGATGCATAAATGTACCATTCCAGTTCAGACCGCTCCTCTTCACTTCAGACTCACACATCCAACTGACTACTTAGCATCTCCACTTGGAAGTCGAGAGGCATCTTAAAAGCATTATGTTCACAAATGAACTCATGGGTTCCCTCACCAACATTTAGCATTCACCAGCTCAGAAAATAGTCTTAGGACTCAGACTTGCCATCACACTCCTGCTTACCCACTCCACTGACAGATCCTTTTATCTCCTACATGTCTCTCAAAGTCATCCACCATACTCCATCTCTACCATGGTCACCATTCCGGTCTAAGCTCTTGTCTGGAATAGGCAATAGCTTCCTATGTGATCGCTCTCACAACATCCTTATCCTTTCCAATCCATTCTCTACAATACAGCTGGACTAACCTTTTTGAAATAAATAAAAATTTGGTCACATAACTCCCACTTTAATTACTTGAATGACTTCCCATTGATCTTGGGATAGACTCAAATCAACATAGCCTGTAAGGCCATAATTGTCTGGCCTCTGCCTTCCTGTCTAGCAGCATGCCACACTAAACCCTGTCTCATTCTCAGTACTCCAACTGTGCCTGGCTTCTTCCATTCCTGGAATGTACCATGCACCCTTCTGCTGGCCTTTGCATATGCTCTTTCTGCTGGAAATTATCCGTGTGCCACCCCCTCCAAACCCCCTTTTGTTTAGCTAATGCCTCACCTTTTAGATTTAAATTCAAGTGTAATTAGGTCAAATGCCCCTTTTCATAGCACCATATACTTCTTTTGCAATTGCTGTAACCAGTGGTAATTCTATATATGTGTGAGTATGATTATGTGATGAATGCATTTTTCCTATTAGAGTTCAGTTCCAAAGCTAGGAACTACTGAGTCACTATCACCTAG
Organism: Homo sapiens; assembly: GCF_000001405.40. NCBI lineage: Eukaryota > Metazoa > Chordata > Mammalia > Primates > Hominidae > Homo > Homo sapiens. Next base: position 83,918,303 of record NC_000015.10, on the reverse strand, counting down.
GCCAGTGCCTGGCACATAGAAACATACAATAAATATTTGTAGAACATTGTTTTAAAATGAAACAATAAAGAGATTTCTACTACTGCCAGGACCAAAACAAGGTTGGCATTATCCACATTATTTACAATTGTTCCTGGAATTCTAGACAAGCCAATAAAATGTGAAACTTAAATAACTATTGGAAAGGGAAAGATAAAATCACCATTAATAGCAGATGATCATTTACTTAGAAAACTCATAAAAATAAGCTGAAAAATGATTAGAAGTATTAAGGTGTTCAACAATTTAGTCAGATTTTTAAAAAGAGAAATAATCAATAGCATTCCAATATAAGAGGAATGCTCTATTATTATATTATAAAATAGTCATCCCACTAACATTTATTAATACAGTGTACCACACACTGTGATTAAACACTCTTTGAACATCACCTTATTTAATAATCACATTTAATTATTTCATTAAGCCTAATGAGGTAGGTATGACTCCTATCATTTTAGCAAAATAAACCACAACTCTACAAATTTAAACAAATGAAACAAAGAGAGTTGCAGAGCTGGGGTTCATAAAGGGGTCAGGTCTCAAATGTCCATATATATACTCCTAGCCTGTGTTGTTGGAAAACATAAAGGTAAAAAAATGAGGTCATAAAAACAACAAACAATATAAAATATAAAAGAAGAACTTCGGTAAGGAATGTTTATGATGTAATAAATTATAAAACCTTACCAGAGGGTACTAAAAAGGTAGGCATATCTTCCAGGATGTACATGAGTATGTGTGTGCACACACATGATGTATCTACACACACAGATACTGCTGCATGAGTACATGCATACATACATATACATACATACATACATACATACATACATACATACATACACACACTTTGGAAGCTGGAGATTGGTGTCTGGATTCTTCATGCTTTTAGGAATTAAAAAAGAATTCTCTGTTGCTACTCCAATGTGAAAAGAGACCTATGCAAGGATCTTAAGCATCAGTAATTACAACAAATGGATTTATTCTTATTTCCTGTATGATGTGAAGATAGGTTAGAAAATATAAGTATACAGAATATCAGAATGTGACCAAAATTTATCTTTTCAGAAACTTGTAATTTGTATATTACTTTTCCAGCAGAAATAAGAATGTTGAAGAAATAAATATATGCCTGTGTAAATTTCATTTTATTGTGGTTGTCAGTCATTGCAGACTTATCCTCTCTGCTATCCAGGGTGAAGGCTAAAAGCCCACATTCATAACTCACACATTAGTGGACTTATGGAAGCTGAACTTACTGAACCACGTTGAAATAGATCACAGAGGCAAGTACCACTGACTATAAGCAGTGTGGTTGGGACAGTCAAACCAAAACAACCAAAAGCTGTGCTCCATCAAGGCAAAGAATATGTTCTATTTATTTTATATCCCTGAAGATTTAGTGCAGAACTTGGTGAAGAACCATGGAGTCTAACACAGAGCAGGTACCCAATTTCCAGCCTTTATTTTATTTTTTTTCTAAAGACTGGGTCTTGCTATGTTGCCCAGATTGATCTCCAACTCCTGGCCTCAAGAGATCCTCCTGCCTCAGCCTCCCAAAGGTCTGGAATTACAGGCATGAGTCACCTCACCCACAATTTCCATCCCAGCCTTTATAAAGGATTTTGGTTTTTGCCTTAGCTCTTCAGTTTCATAGGCTTTGGTTATTTATTATAAGGAACTTTAATCTCAAGTTAATTAAAAATAACTTTTTTAACCCAAGAAATTAAAAATTTACTTTTTAACCCAAGAAATTAAAAATATTACTTTTTGTAAAGCTAAGAAGCTTATTACATGTACTTATAGTTCAGCTAAGTAATGAGAATCAAGTTATTCATTTTCTATTTTTGGCTTTATGATGGACTCTGAGTCTCAGCTTCCTCAACTATAAAATTTGGGTTAGTAGGTGTCCAAGGCTCATTTCAATAATATTATTACAGGATTAAATGATAAAATATACCCTTATAAGGCTAAATTGCTGCTTACCTGAGTAGTAAAAGGCTACCAACTTGAGCTTTTCTAAAATTTGTAAAATGTGTTCCTGATACACAAGAGTATATCATAAAGCAAATGGGCACCTTAACATCACCCACCTGAATACTGCATTGCATTTCTGACAGATGCAAGGCAGTTTCTCTTCTCATAGCAGGGCAAAAGGTGCGCAGTGCCACTAAGGATAATCAACCTCAATTAGTCAAGTGTCAAAAAACTTGTATGTTTTAAATGGATTCAAAGGTAATTCTATCTACTCCAAGGTATATAACCAAGATAAATAAAAACATATGTCCATATAAAATCATATACATGAACGTTCACAGCAGCACTATTCTCAATACCCTAAACATGCAAACAACTCAAATTTCTATCAGCCGATGAATGGGTAAAATGTTGTATATCCATATAATGGAATACCACTTGGCCATAAAAAGGAATGAAGTACTGAAACATGCTAAAACACAGATGAACCTTGAAAACACTACGCTAAGTGAAAGATCGCAGTCACAGAGGACCACATATTACATAATCCCATTACATGCAACGTCCATAATAGACAGTAGTGGTTTCCAGGGGTTAGAATTTGAGGGAAAATGGGGTATGATTGCTTAAGGACACAGTGTTTCTTTGGGCAAGTGTTCTGAAATTGATTATGTTAACGGCTGCACAACTTTGTAACTAGAAACCACTACATTGTATACTTTAAATGCATAAATTGTACAGTGTGCGCATTCTATCTCGATAAAGCTGTTACTGAAAAAAAACAAAAGAGGAATTTATCACATGAGTTCAGCCATCCTAGAGGTGGAATCTAGGGCCATCTCAGTGGGTACTGAGAACACAAGGTAGATTCTAGTATTTTAGTAAAAGGCTCCAAAAATGAGCTCTGACAGCAGTCTCTCTCAGCTGAATTAGAATTCACCTGGTCATCTCTCTTTGAGCAACTCTGATTGGTCTGCTGAGTTCCAAGTACCCAGCATGCTATGCTTTCCCAACTTGAGGGGATCTTGCCAGTCAGGAGAAGAAGATGAAACAGGGATTCTACCAACAGCACCTAAAAGCTTGAGATTACAAGGTAGATGTTGGGGTGTGCAAGCAACAGCTGGGCTTGCTTCTGCTCTCCTAATGAAAGACACAGCTCCAAGTCTCTAGTGAGACTGCAGCAATGTGGTGACTCAGAAGCAATGGAGACAGCTGGCATTTTGTAGACATACAGTAGGAAGTTCCAGGCATGTATTATTGTGACTGAATAGGGGACCATCTTTGCATCTCCGTGGCTATCTCTAGAGGGTTTCCCCAAACTCATCAAGAGAAAGCACCAGTTCCCAAATTGCCAAGGGCATGTTAGAGTTAAGGTTTCCAAGACATAAAAAAACCCACAAAAAACAAAAAACAAACAAACAAACAAACAAACAAAACCAAACAAACAAAAAACAACAAACAAACAAAAACGTGTCCAGGGTTCTGAACTCAAGAGCAGGCAGGAGTTTGGCTTGGGCAAGAACAGACACAAGGCAGTGTGGGGGGCAACCCAGACAATGTGCTGTGGAGGGAAGAGATGCAGCAGATGTTTAAGGTTCAACTAAACCAGAGAGGCTAAATTCCTAGCTAGATGGCATGGACTTTTAGCAACCAGACAGAAGCAAGTAAGGGGAGAAAGAGTCCAGAGGCAGCTAAGGCACCTAAAGTCCACATGTGCAACTCTGTCCGCAAGGCAGTAGTTTAGGGGCAGCCTGGGGGTAAGGCACATGCCACTTTAGCCGGGTTTACTGCCAGGCTAGCAATGTTATACAAAAAGTGGCAAGGATACGCAGGTATAGAAGTTGAATTAGACAGGAAAGAGAAAAACAGATACAATCAAGCCATAGAGACTGAATGATAAGGATTGAGAATTCAGGCTCAAGAGTGAGGGGTTCAGGCACAATGAATGGGCCATGAGCTCCACAACTTGATAGGGAGTTTCAAGTAATGGGCTCAAGACTGTTGGGAGGAGTAAAGCATGATCTTGAGCCAAGAGCTCTAAGACAGCATCTCCTTGTGTTTTTCCCACCATTGGCTGGATCAAGAGCAGAGCACATTCAGGCACCAAGCTCTTTACATAGCAGCTGGCTGGAAGGCACAGTCAGGGGTCAAAGGATGAGGGGACGGGGTGACAGGGGCTCTGGATTCCTGGTCAGACCCAGTCTCCTTCATGTAAGTAAAAGATATAGTTTTCTTATTTGTTATTTCTATCTTTTTACTTTCAACAGAGCCCTCAAGAGTGGCTCTCTGGACTCCTGTTAACCACTCCTTCACTCCCTTTTGGATCCTAGATTGTATAAATCATCAGGGGGCCAACTTCTCACCCCAAAGGGGTCACCTGGCTATACAACCACTTTCTAATCCTAACAGGGTTTCCTGGCTGTGTATGTCACCCTCTATGTACACAAACATAAATCATGGTGATTAGTTTGTTCCCCTAGGTGCTGGCCCAATGTGCGGATATGAACCCAAATATTTTCTGAGGACAAACTCTGATCTAGAGTTGCATCAGATATTGCAATTCCAGGCTACCTCAATCTATAAGACTGCTTTATGAACAAGATTGCCTTAACTTATCCATTCTGCATTTTCCTATTTATTTCATATGAACCATCTCAGTCATGCAGATTCTCAGGCAAACAAATATACTTTTTTTGGTTAGTATATAGTCCCACTCTCCTTTCTAAAATAATCACTACAAAAAAAAAAGAAAGAAAAAGAAGAAAAAGTATCATTTTCAGTTATTTGAATGACTTCACCTCCTTTAGACTTTTGCTAATTTGCATATTTGGCTTACCTGATTGAGTAATTTCTCAAACCACTAGCAACACACAACATAACTGTCCCTTAAGCAAAGGTTCAAATACCTCCCACGCATGTTGCTGTGCAAGGGGTGAACCCAGCGTACTCCCAGTCGTAAGTCGTCTCACTGTCCTCAGGGAGAGGGATGTCTAGCTCTCGGGAGGCCGGGCTCTCATCACATGCTTCCAGGAGGCAGGGCCGTTCGGTGGGCAGCTTGGGGCCTTCACACTCTTCCTCGGGCAGCTCAGTCTCAGTCTGCGTGAATGTGAGGAGCACACGGCACTTCACCTCACGGACCTGCACACCCGGCCCACACGTGGTACTGCAGGCTGACCAGGGTTCTGGAATGAACCTAGGGAAAACCAGGAAGCCACCAGAAAAGGACACTGAGGGTCATTAAATATAGGCCAGAAAAGGAGGAGTGACACATTCAACGAAGGCAAAAATAACCAGCTTCACTCGGTGGAATTCCACACATTTGGAATTTTATACTTTTGTTGATGGTCAGTAATGCAGTTAACAAACATTCAAATCTTACTAGCAACAGAAAGAGTAATTCACTAAACTATATTCTACTTTTACATCCATTTCATAATTCGAATCTGTGCTATGGCCTTTGCAAAATTATAAAGGTTTTCTTTAAGATTTAGTAATAAATAAACCATCATATGGAGATCATTTCTAATCTAATTTATTTTATAATATGGAGATTTTCACCAATATTTATTCAGTAAATTAGTATTGAGCTTATCCTCTGTAATGGGCAGAGTAGTATTAAACTGTCTCAAGTTTAGGAGCTAAATTTTAGGGTATCTTAAATACTTTCTACAGAGTGGATGAAGCCTTAATATTCTTTTATGTTTAATACACAAGTGCACGAAGCTTCTGGATCTTCTTCAAAACAAAAGAAATATTGCACAATCTTGCTGAACAAAGCATTTAATTCTTATTCCGGATTATTATCTACTAAATCAAAGGTCATCAAACTATGACTAGCAGGTCAAATCTGGCCCACCTATCTTTGGTACAACCTACCAGCTGAGAATCATTTTTATGTTTTTAAATGGTTGGCAGAAAAAAAGATATTTTGTGACATGTGAAAATTACATAAAATTAAATTTTACCGTGCATAACTAAAGTTTTACTGGAATATAACCACACTCATTTTTCCACCTATTGTCTATGGCTTTTGTGCTACAACAGAACTGAATATTTGCAATAGAAACCATTTGGCCTACAATGCCTAAAACATTTACTATCTGGTCCTTTACTGGACCCCTGCACAGAATTTTGAAAACCAGATTCCGTAGGGACAGATATATTTAAGATACTCTGAAAAAACACTTTGTATCTTGAGATATTAATAAGTGATAGAGGAGAAAGAGTTCAGTAATAGAATAAGTTTTGAAAACTCAGGGCTCGATAATGTTCAACAGATTTATTCACTGCAAAACTTTTCCAAAGACTATGAAATATAAATGCAAACTACAAATGCTTAAGAGAGAAATATTACGTGCATCATTTCATAAACTTAAGTGAATATAGACCCTTGTCCGTGGGATTATGTTCTACTAAATGACTTCAGAAAACACTGCTAAGATGTTTGTTTAAGATGCAGTTCCAAAGCTTAATATTTCTAACCTCAGAAAGACAGGGTTGTAAGGTTCTCACAGAGTCATCCAACCTTCTTTCCCCAGGCAAGACTTAAATATAGTTGTCCAAAAAAGCACACCCCCAATCAGCAGAATGAAATGCCATTACTATATACGTGTCCTGCAAAGAAACATCAATCAACACAAAACATGTTGTTCATTGTGTTGAAAATTGTTAGTGGGGAACCCTTCTCTCTAATTCTCAGATTCCATGTGAGGGCTTGCTCAACTCCCCAGGATGGGGCAATGCTGGAGTTAATATTTGATGTGTCTTTTCTTTCTCTGCTACTCTCATGGTAGAATTGGGAAGGAGACTGGTTAAAGACGAGAAATCCCGACAGTGTAATAATATGTAGTCATTTAAAAGGACATAGGTTTAGGTATGAACTGATAACAGTCTTCTCTTGAAGACTGTTAAATGAAATAAATACATTATACATATATGCTACATACACACAGTCTATAACATACACTATCTATATATACCTATATACTATTTTTTGATTTTAGAAAAAAGAGATCGTAGTACATGAACTGCCCCATATGTAGCATGTTTGTATGTATGCTGGTTTATGTATAATTTCTCTCTTCTGGAAGCAATTGAAAGTGTCAGGAACTAGAGTGTGTAAAGAGGGAGGTTTTTACTTTATATTTTTAAAAGGTTTAAAGTTTCTAAGCATGTGCATATTTTACCTTATGGTCATTAATTTTTTCTCTCTTTTCTCCTTGGTAATAAAAAATTAAAAATTGGGATTTTGTTTTAATGGGAAGTAGATATTTTCATTCAAATTGGACTTCTGTATCTTGGTGATTGAGAATCTCGAGAGGAGATGAGGTAAGAAAGTTCACCTTGGCCAGGCGTGGTGGCTCACGCCGGTAATCCCAGCACTTTGGGAGGCTGAGGCGGGCGAATCACCTGAGGTCAGGAGTTCGAGACTAGCCTGGCCAACATGGCGAAACTCCGTCTCTACTTAAAAAAAAAAAAAAAAATTAGCCAGTCATGGTGGTGCATGCCTGTAATCCCAGCTACTTGGGAGGCTGAGGCAGGAGAATCGCCTGAACCAAGGAGGTGGAGGTTGCAGTGAGCCAAGATTGTGCCACTGCACTCCAGCCTGGGTAACAGAGTGAGACTCCATCTCAAAAAAAAAAAAAAAAAGGTTCACCTAAACTCCCAGCAGGGCAAATAATGGTTATACTCAATGTCCTCCTAGTTTTTCTGTATATTTCAAGTTGGTTTTCAACGATCTTTTTAAAAGTCCTGTTAAAAAGTAAATGTTAGTTCTGTCCAAAGTAACAAGAAGTGACTTAAAGGTTAAAAAAAAAAAAAAACCCACGGCAACTAAAAAATAATTACACAGAATCCAGCATGATTTCCTTCTATGTATTATTTTTTATTTAAATTAAAGATATTATAGTGTTCATACAATTCTGAATCTTGTCTCCCCTCACCAATTTTTTTTTTTTTAAAGAAAGAAAGGAATACATTGAAAGAGCCATGTCTGGGCAAAACACAACCAGAGGAACAGGCTGTGTTACCTACGTCTTTGCACATGGAAGAACTTAAAAAGAATATCATTTCACTGATGTGAGAGTTTCGAGATGAGATGATAAAACAACAGAGTAAAAGGGAAAATGGAAACCAACTGTGAAACATAATAACACTATTGTCACAAGTCTAACAATTCATAACTAGGAAAAAACAGAAGAAACATGGCTGAAGATCAAATTAATGACACAGAGGCCAGACTTGGAAGTGAATGCAGTGTTGAGAGAGAGAGAAAGAGAAGCTGCAAAGAAAACTTTTGTAGGGATGGAAATGTTCTGGATCTTGAGTGGGACTGGGGTTTGAGGGGTACATACATCTGTCAAAACCCATCAGCGGGCGTGGTGGCTCATGCCTATAATCCCAGCACTTTGGGAGGCCGAGGTGGGTGGATAACCTGAGGTCAGGAGTTCAAGACTAGGCTGGCCAACATGCTGAGATTCCGTCTCTACTAAAAATACAAAAAATTAGCCAGGCATGGTGGTGCATGCCTGTAATCCCAGCTACTCGGGAGGCTGAGGCAGGAGAATCACTTGAACCCAGAAGGCAGAGGTTGCAGTGAGCTGAGATCACACCACTGCACTCCAGCCTGGGCAACACAGTGAGACTCCACCTCAAAAAAAGAAAGAAAAAAAACCACTCATTGATGGTGCACTTTAAATAGACACAGTTTATTGTATGTAAACTACATCTCTATAAAATTGATTTTCTGAAGCACAATTTTAAGGGACTAAGTTAAAGAGAACCTAGGTAATCCAATATTGAAGATAACTGGATTCTTCATGTAGAGATTCCAACGCATGAAACAGAAAAGCTGCTCAGAAATAAAATATGAAAAAAGTGACTGAAATACATCCTGAAAAGGTACACTGTCTTCCAGGAAAAAGTAATAAAAATGATGAACATAAAAACCTAGAATTGTAGGCAGAATAATGGCTCCTCACCCCTGCAAGTACTCCCATGCCCTAATCCCCAGAATGTGTGAATACATTACCATACACAGCAAAAGGGACTTTACAGGTGTGACCTCGAGATGGGAAGATAATCCCAGATTACTTTGGTGGGCTTAATCTAATCACAGACATCCTTAAAAACAAGGATATCACTCTGGCTAGAGTCAGAAATGTAAGTAGACTAATAAGCGAGAGGGATTTGAAGTGTAACAGGAATTTACCCACTGTTGCTGGCTCAAAGATGGATGAGACCATCAGCCAAGGAATGCAGGTGGCCTCTAGAAATTGAAAACAATCTCTCAGCCCACAGTCAGCAAGGAAATGAAGATCTCAGTTCTACAAATGCATGGAACTGAATTCTGCCAATTATTCAAATGAGCCTGGAAGCAGACTCTTGCCAAAGAAGACTTCAGACTGACAGACACCTTGATCCTGGCCTACTAGTAACTGGAACAGAGACATCAGCTGAATCTACTGGGCTTCTGACCCACTCAACTGTGGGATAATACATTTGTGTTGTTTTACACCGCTAAGTTTGTGGTATTAGCAGCTATGGAAAATGAATACACCTGGCTAACAAAACTTTGAGCATGAAGAAAGAATTGTCTAGGTGTCTAGGCACAAAAAGCAAGTCTCCTATAGGAACATAAAGACAGGGGTACCTCAGATGCACACAACATTCAAAACCAGGAAAAGATAGAGTAAGAGTTTTGAGAGAGAGACAGAATCAGAGTCCTATGAATATTATGTCCAGTAAAACTGTTATTCAAATACAAAGGTAATAATTTTCTGTAAAATAAGAACAATAATATTACCTACCTAATGGTATTGGGTGAGAATTAAATGTAATGATGTCTGAGTTAAAAGCTCAATAAGTACAATAAAATAAAAAAGTAACATCAGACATTCATTGCATTCTTATTCCTGTGAGACACTGTCTTCAGTGCTTCAAACAAATTCTATCATTTTCTTATAACAACAACCGTATCAGGAAATATTATTATGCCCACTTTACAGATGAGAAAACTGAGGTACAGACAAGTAACCAAAGGGTATACAACAGCTGCTAGCATTATTGTACACGGCCTCATCTGTATCAGAGGATACAGAAGCACTTAAACATCATCCAGGATGACAGCATATGAATCCAAAGACAATTTGACAATGCTCTTTTAGATAATTTATTTTTCTAATTCCAGAATAAGAAAACAAAGCACAAATATCCAACTGCTAAAATCATTCTTCAGCACAAGAGAAGAAGGCAGCATGTATTAGTGAAAGAAAAACATATCTTGGGACACTTAAACACTGTCAGTAGGAAGGTAAATTAGGACAACCTCCATGGAGATTTCTCAAAGACTTAAAAATAAAACTGCCGTTTGATCCAGCAATTCCACTACTGGCTATTTACTCATAGGAAAATAAATCATTATATCAAAAATATATCTGCATTTGTATGTTTATCAAAGCACTATTCACAACAGTAAAGATATGAAATCAACCTAAGTTCTCACCTACAGATAAATGGATAAAGAAAATATAGCCTATATACACAATGGAATACTATTCAGCCATTAAAAAGAATGAAATCTGGCAGGGTGTGGTGGCTCACACCTGTAATCCCAGCACTTTGGGAGGCCAAGGTGGGCAGATCACTTGAGGTCAGGAGTTTGAGACCAGCCTGGCCAACATGGTGAAACGCTGTCTCTACTAAAAATACAAAAAAAAATTAGCCAGGTATGGTGGTGCATGCCTGCAGTTCTAGCTACTAGGGAGGCTGAGGCAGAATTGCTTGAAGCCGGGAGGTGGTGTTGAAGTGAGCTGAGATCACATCACTGCACTCCAGCCTGGGTGACAGAGCGAGACTCCGTCTCAAAGTGAAAAATCATCAACAACAACAACAAAACAATGCCAATTTATTCATTTTAAACCTGGAGAAATCAGCAGAAATGGCACCATTCTAGATGTTTATGATAAAAATTATATAGGTTTGAGTGTGTTAAAAAAATGAAATTATAGTAGACAAATCTCCTGCTATTATAGAAAACAAATCAAGTTCATATAGCTCATGTAGGAAAACATCAGAAACAAGGAAACATTTAAAATGGAGACCAGAACTATCAGTAATAAAAAATCTATTTAAATGGATTAAACTTTCCTTTTAAAAATAGACTCTCTCTTTTTTTTTTTTTTTTTTTCCCAGAGACAGGGTCTTGCTCTGTCACCCAGGCTGGAGTGCAGTGGTGTGATCACGGCTCAATGCAGCCTTGAACTCTGGGGCTCAACCAAGTGAGCCTCTCACCTCAGCCTCCCCAATAGCTGGGACTACAGGTGCCTGCCACTGCACCCAGCTGGTAATTTTAAAACCTACAGATAATACAAATAACACAGAATGACTTCAGATATGTAAAAAGTAAAAGAATAAACAAAATGAGATAAGAAAAATACAAATGAAAATATAGTGGAAGAGCAAAAAAGCAGGTATAAATATTAGGAAAGAATAAACATAATAGACAAAATTATCATATTTGAAAATGACATAGCTATGAAAAGTACTAAAATTAACTGAAAAATTTTGGAAAAAACCAAAACAGTTCAATAAAGTAGCCCATAACTCTGTGTGTGTGTGTGTGTGTGTGTGTGTGTGTGTGTGTGTGTGTGTGTGTGTGTGTGGTGTGTGGCACTATATAAATATATAGATACATATACTAAAATTACCAGTTTTCCCAGAATTCAACCACATTTACTGTTAGCTGCCAGGCACTATGCTAAGCATATTACATGTATTATTTAATATAATTCTCGCCATGACCTTATGCATAAATATCATTATTTTCCTGATTTTACAGATGAGGAAAACTGAGGTATAAAATACTCAGGGGATTCTAAGCCTAAAAACCTGAATAAATGGAGAGACCACATGCCCCTGAATGGGAAGACTCAAAATTAGAAAGATGTTTATTCTCCCCTAATTAATTTAGAAAAAATGCAGTTCTGAGCCAAACGGCTGAAGCAATTTTTTGGGGGGGAAGTTGGAAACAGACAATACAACTCTAAAGTTTTATGTAAGGTTAGGTGAGAACAATCAAGAACATTTTTAAAAGGAATAACAATTACAGAGTACTTGCACAGTTTAATAGAAAAAAGTATTTAAAAGACACAGTAATTCAAATAATATGGTACTGGCACTGGAGTATTATTTGTACAATGACGTCATTTTAAAACCAAAGTGGGTAGTTTACTCAACAGATAGTGCTAGGGGCAGTTGGTTAATTACTTGGAAAAAATTGTTAGATTGAGATTACATATTACATGTGAAAGTAAATTTCCCATGGATCAAAGTTAAGTGCAAAACATGAACCATAAAAAAAACTACAAAATAACATTTAAAAAAAAAAAGATAATCTCCTGATTTTGATGAACGTATGGGGAAAAAGGCAAGCTGGAGTACTGCTGCTGGCGAGAGAAGCCAGCACTGATTTCTCTCTAAAAGGAAATTTGACAGTAGAAATTAAATGCTTATCCCTGGCCCAGAAATTCCACGCCAGAAAATATGTCCAATGAGACAATTAGAGATGTGCAATTTGGAATTCGCTGCAGTTTTATTTATCATTGTGAATAATTGGAAATAAACTGCAGACCACCAGAGGGATCTTTCAAAAATGTAATTGAGATTATGTCACTTTTCTGGTTAAAATCCTTACATGGCTCCCACAGCCTCCTGATAAAGTCCAAGCTCCTTAGTGAACCATGGAAGACCCTCAAGACTTGCTGGCTCCTCCAGCTGCATCCTTGCTGCCATTACTGCTCCCCGGGCCCATCCTCCTCGCCCCTCACCCACCTCAGACCACCTTAGCAACCTGCGTGGCCTACATGGGCCAGTGAGCCTGCACACAAGCCTCTATTCCAAATACCTGACATGCTGCTCTTCTGACATTGTAGGACACTCTAGGATCTCAGTTCATGTACCATCTATTTCCGGAAACCATCCCTGATCCCGAATAACACCATAACGTAATTATAATGCATTGCAACCTTACAATACCATCATGCAGTCACTCACTTCTCTGTCTACTCCATTAGATAAACCCAAGGATGGGTGAAACTTGAATTCAGGACATCTGACACGAAACTGCAGCTCTTTCTAGTCTTACGTGCCATAGAATCACTGTCCACCACTTAATATCTCCAAAACAATTCCTTTATGTTTCTACGCCTGTTTCCTCAGCCCCAAAATGAAAATAAGAATAGCACCTCCTCATAGGGTTGTTGTGAGCATTAAACAACTTAATCCACGTAGAACACTCAGAACAAGGTCTGGCACAAAGCACTCCTCAATATTAGTTGTTGTTATCATTGTTGTTGTTAGAAAAACAGATTCCTGAAATGTCACCTAATTTGACATTAGCAAATATAATCTCCACAAATGGAGAATTTAAGTCAGCAGTGAAGGAAACATACAAGGTGTGCTAACTAAGTCCACCCTATTTCCTTAGTTTTTGTATATGAAAAACGACAGCGAGGGCAACAAGTTTGCTGAAGTGTTAAGAATCCCACAGAAACAAACGAAGAGGCTCCAGGGAGGAATTTTAAAACAACCATGAACCAATGAACCATATCAACTGTCAACACATTCCACAGCTGAAAGCTAAGAAGGTCAGTACTGCAGTTCCCTTGGCTTAGATTTATACACTATAATTTTTATTTTCCTAATTTTAAAAAAAGCAAAAAAGCCTTTTGAACATCCGCTCCCTATGTAAATTCAGAACTCGAGCCATGGTAAACCACAGAGGCAGAAATATTTATCTCCTTCAGGCTGGCTTGGCAGGCTCTACTGGAGGGATGTAAAATACAGCTGCGTTCATCCTCTCCTTCACTGTCAACAAGCAAGCATCCCCAAACCACAAAAGACAGTGGTAATAAAAGGATGCACTGGAAGCTGAGATATGTTGCGGTTTTGTTTGGAAATCGAGGGAATGAATAGAGTCAGAAGTGGTGGCAGGAAAATATAAACTTCACACTAGATGGCCAGGACCAGGCCAGAAACTGCCAGGCAGTGTGAATTATGCAGGAAAATTGCAGAGCGACCACAGAGGGAGAGATGGCAGAAGGTGGGAAGAGGCAGCTGCTTGGGCCAGGGAACAGGTGCTGTCTGCTCAGTCTTCAACACGGGGGAAGAAAGGGTGGTGTCCTTCAGGAGTAAAGAACCTTTTGGCTTTGCTCTGTGAATACGAGGAGGAAGAAACCCCTAGCAAAGTCAGGTGGGGCTGACAGAAAAGGCAGGCTTGGAATGAATATGGGGCCTGAACCTCACTGTAGCTCCTTTTCTTTCTTTCTTTCTTTCTTTTTTCTTTTTTTTTTTTTTTTTTTTTTTTTTTGATGTGGAGTCTGGCACTGTCACCCAGGCTGGAGAGCAGTAGCAGGATCTCAGCTCACTGCAACCTCTGCCTCCCGAGATGAAGCAATTTTCCTGCCTTAGCCTCCCGAGTAGCTGGGACTACAAGCATGTACCACCACACCCGGCTAATTTTTGTATTTTTAGTAGAGACAGGGTTTTACCATGTTGGCCAGCCTGGTCTCGAACTCCTGAGTTCAAGTGATACACCCACCTCAGCCTTCCAAAGTGCTGGGATTATAGGCGTGAGCCACTGCGCCCGGCTGATATCCCCCTTTTCTAATTCAATAAAGTAAACAGTATTTTCTGAACTTTAAAGGGACCTTAGGGACGATCGGATCCAGTGGTTCCCAAACTTGGATATGCCCACTCCCCTGCCAAAGTTACCTGGGGTATTTGTTTAAAATGCTGGTGAATGAAAGAGAGACAGAAAATAGAATAGAGGTTACTAGAGTCTAGTGGGAGGGAGTAGGGAGTTATTGCTGAAGGTGAACAGAGCTTATGTTGGGGGGTGATGAGAAAATTTGAGAGATGGGAGGTGGTGATGGGTGCACAACAATGTGAGTGTGCTTAATGCCACTGAACTGTACACTTTCAAATGGTTAAAATGGTAAGTTTTGTGTTGTGTATCTCTCACCATGATAAAAAAAAAAAAAAAGATCTGGCAGCCGAAAGAAAAAGAAAATGTTGGTGATGGAGCCCCACTCCTACAGTATCTGACTCAGTGGGGCCTGGAAATCACCACATTTTAAAAAGCACCACGGGTGATTCTGATAGAAGTATTGAGGATAGCATTTCAAAAATGGTATTTTGATTATTTTTTAAAGACTTCTTTTTGAGATACATAATTATGAATGAAATGATGTGCTGTCTGTGTTTGCTTCAAAAATGATCAGGGGGTAGTGGCAGTGGTGATGGTTTCGATGAAACAAGGGTGGCCCTGGGTTGATAATTGTTGATACTGGGTTATGAACATGACATGGGGGTTCATTACACTGTTTTCTCCTCTTTTAAATAGGTTTGCAATTTCCTATGATTAAAAAGAAAGTTACAGAAAAAGACTTAACAGGTGGGGCCACTCCCAATTAAGAGGGGAGTGTAATTAAAGAGGAGGCAAGAGGCAGCTTGCTGTGGGCAAGAAACAGCCCGCAAGTCAGTGTGGCTGGAGCATCCCACTCAAGGCAAAAAAAAGGAGGTGGCCAGACATGAGGCTGGGGACCAGGAAAGGTAATACCCTGCCAAGTCCCATTGGGCATATGAACCCACATACATCTTTGAGTGATGGGGAGACATTTGGATATTCTGAACATTGCAAAGAAAGAATTAGACTTGGCCAGGTGCGGTGGCTCACACCTGTAATCCCAGCACTTTGTGGGGCTGAGGCGGGTGGATCACGAGCTCAGGAGATCGAGACCATCCTGGCTAACATGGTGAAACCCTGTCTGTATTAAAAATACAAAAAATTAGCCTGACATGGTGGCACATGCCTGTAATCCCAGCTACTCAGGAGGCTGAGGCAGGAGAATCGCTTGAACCCGGAAGGCGGAGGTTGCAGTGAGCAGAGATCACGCCACTGCACTCCAGCCTGGGCAACAGAGTGAGACTCTGTTTCAACAAAACAAAAAGAATTAGACTTGTGCCCTACCTAGATAGACTACTCTGGTGGCTGTGTTGTGTAGGGGTGGATTTGAGGGAAGCAATTCAGGAGCAAATTAGAAAGCTGTTGTAGGTGTCCTGGGAACTGATTTCAGGACCTGTACAAGGATGGTAGTTTGGATGGAAAGGAGGAGCTGGAACCAAGAAAGATTTTAGTAAATATAGTCGGCACAACTCAGTGGCTAATTACACATCAGAGAAGAATGAGAAGGAGCCAAGAAAGAATCCAGGCTTCTAGTTTGGGGAACTGGACGGACTGCAACCCTATTACCCAAAAGAGGACATACAGAAGCATTATCAACTATCATCTAACTGTGTTTTGAAAGCAAAAGATCTTGGTAGGACCCATCATTCTAGACAAAGGACTCTGTGACCTTCCTTCTGTGACAACTACACACTCTCTCTCTCAAGTGCCTCAAACCCTTTTCTTTCTATAGACTCCTTCCCTTACAGGATTGTAGGTGATCAGAGATGTGAGAAGGTTCCAGCAGCATTTAGCCTAATGCCTTCCTTATACAGTTGGAAGGTCTACAGATATTAACTGACTTGTGCAAAACCATATCTTTTTAATTTAAGATTGCCCTAACATCAAAATGAAAAACAACAAACACATACGTATACACTTTTCCATCAGCTTGACTACCAATCTTTGCTCCTTCTTTAGTACTTAAATACCCATTGCTCCGTTTTCTTCTTTTTTGGAAATTTATTTCTGAAATATCCACAATGTTTTATTCTCTACCCTTTGAATGCTACTACTCTAAAATTCACTGAAAAAGCCTTTCTTGTTAATCAAAGTAGGCTTTTCTTTTTCCTCATGGTTTTTCCTTGTCTTTCTGTGAGATTTGAATCCATCTGCTGCTTGCCTCCTTGCCTCCTTAAACTCCTTCCTCCTTTGGTCTCTGGAACAATAAGCTTTCCTGGGTCTTACTCCTCCCTCTCTCCACTACTTTACTCCCTTACCATCTTCCTCTTTTGATTCCCCCTCTTCCTCTAAATCTCCAAGCTTCTGTCAGGAGCCCAACACTCTTCTCTTTTTACTCAAATACTGTGAAGCCATTCCCCCTCACATGGTCCACAGTTTCTTCTGTGGTCATAGCCAGCACTGACAGTGGTCCACGTGGAGAAGTCTGTGCCTGTCATGAGTGTGATGTGCCAGCTATGTTGGCCCACATCACTTTGCCACATGTGCCTTCTCAAAGCAAAGTAACCCACACTGCCCTGGGGCTCACCACTGGGCTGGACCACAGTTAAAAGGGAGATTGACAAATGAGAGTGGGTTCTGAAAAGCACAGGAGGTTGGGAAGGGATCTAAAAACAACAGTGCATGAAGACTGCTGAAAAGGCTAAGAATGATGAACTTGGGAAAGACAAAGCTCTCGGGATCCATGGCAGCTTTCTTCATATTTGTGAAAACTTGTCACATGGGATGGGGCATAGATGTATTTTTTTTTCTGCTTCAGAGAACACAAATTAGGAGGTCTATTCTGTCTCATCAGAAGAAAAAGATCTTGCAAATAACGGGTTGCTCAACACAAGAATGAGGTGTCTCTTAATGCAGTGAACTCTGCCCATTGCTGAAGGTGTTGAAGAAGAAATGCCTGCTCCGAGAGGGAAAGTGGCCAGATTACTGCTGAGACCCCTTTTCCTCTGATGCTCTGGGAATTGCTCTCTTCATAGACAGCCTGTCAGCACCAAACACTTAACATGTTTGACATGGAATCAGCTGTTCTGTTCAATTACTTGAGTCTATCATTGGTACTGTTGTTCTTACAGATTCCTGGACTAGAAATCTCAGAGCACCTTTGATTTCTTGCTCTCTTTTTGTCCCTATATAACTGCCTCCAGAATGCTTCTTTGATTTCCTCTTGATTCTTAATTTCCACTGGCACTGTTACAATCCAGATCCATCAAATCACATGCAGATGGTAGTCATTGGATTTTTGAGTTGGAATGAACCCTGGAGAGATCAAGCCCAACCTGCTCCTTTTATAGGTAAGGAGAATAAGACACAGAAAAATTAGACTTGTCTTAGGTCATGTAGTTAGCAGGGGTGGTTCTAAGCTCCAATACTCTTAGTACCTTGTTCTTTCCATTTCCCTATGATCACTCAGGCGACTAATGCATTTCAACTTAATTGATTTTATAGAGATTGACCATGACTTACCCATGGAATGACTGGTTTATTTGTATGATACTATGATGGTTCATGGTCAAATCACATGCGTTAAAACCTAGAAATTATCCCCAGTCTCTTAAGTGTAGCAGACCACTGGATCTGCTTTGAGTTAAGTAACACTGTTCTTTTCTGTGCTGCTCAGAGAAACTGCCAAAGGAGGACTGCTGAATTGTGAAACAAAGAAAAATTCTAGCCAGCTCAAGCTCTCTAGAGTCTGTAAATCCAGGTCATTTGGATATTAAATGTATCACTGTACTCCAATGAGTACAAAAATTACATATATCATGTTAACTGGCTATGCCCTGATTATTCCTACAAAAGGTCCTGGACTCACGTTGGTTCTTCTGTTGCTATTCTGGTCTCTTCTAGTTCTTGTGCTTGTTTCAGCCAAGGCAATTTTGCTTCCACTGGACTTTTTTCTAAGAAAAAGAGAACATAAACAATGAGCCTAATTACTATTAATCATTAAGGAGTTGGATAGGTGATCATATTGGCTGAAGATTTCATTTATAAAGAGGTCATGTTTTTCAAATGCAAGTTGAGTTCCTTAGTACAATACATTAGGTGGCTGCTGGAATGAATTAAACACTTCTGCTGTATATTAAAAAAATTAATACATTATTAAAATGCAACCAAAATGATCACATGATACAGTTGAAAATGCTGTCAAAGTTAACATAAAAATGCCTTTTATAAATCAATACCAATTTCTGTTGTTCATATATTGAAGCTTTTACTTCAACCATATCAGCTTGCTATCTTTGGTCACATTTTATTTTTGCCCATGGAATGCAAACATTAATAGAGAAAGGCAAATAATATGAAAGTTAAGAAAGTTAGGGGGGATGAAGGAGTCTGTGTTATAGTTTACTCAGACTTTTACTGTTGTTGTAGTTGTTGAGGGAGATGATTACCAATTACATCTGGCATGGAGGAACAAACTGTTGCCCCCCTTCCTGTCCTTTGAAGCCTCCTTGATGTGAAGAAAGGAATAATCTATCTATGAAGTGAGAAATAAAAATAACTTTAGGGTGCTTCAAGGAAACTATGGACACAATGAAAGTGGCTATGAAAGTATCATAAATGCAGAAGGAAGGAAAAAAGACTTCACTGATGGAGTTAAGTAGTCAATGTTTGTACCTGTCATGGCAACTAGTGATTTTTCTGCAAGATAGACGTACTCAAAAATATTTATTGAATGGCTAATTATGAGGCTATTTGTATGAATAATGAACCCAGAAATAACAAAAGAGAGTTTTACCATCCTCTCTCAAGTACTAAGGAGGAGTCCTTCTTACTAATAGTTGGGAATAATCTTTTCTCCCATTTCAAGATGGAAGATACTTTTCATGAGGATGGTTAACATTAAAGAACATGGAAATAATTATGTACAGAGAAGATCATATATCAGAGAGCTGATGCCAAATCCTCCTATCCCTGGATGCTACCCATTTCTGCTCTTTCATGTGGAACAAATGTGAACTACTGGAGAGATTATAAATGCATCCATAGATCTCCACTGGGAACGGGAAGTTTTCATTCATTCCATGCATTAGTACACATGATAAAGATGACATCATTCCTCCCTCAAAAATCTTATACTCCAGCGGAGAGGTAGCTATAAAGAAGAATGAGAATCTTGGGAAAAGAATAATTTCCTCCTCCTCCTCTACTTCTTCCTCTGTTTCTTGCTCTTCTTTCTTGTCTTCCTTCTACTTTTCCTTCCCCTCCTTTTTTAATCTCTCCCCCGCCATTCTTCTTCTTTTTCTTCAAGGGAGGGACTGCATTTAATTTTCTTACGTCCACCAAGAAATGTTAGTATAAAACTAGATAGATAGGAGCTACTCCATCTGTACTGAATCAACAGGAGCTCAGTTTTCCCTCCAGATGAATAATTCACATATATCTAACTTCTTTATCTAGATGGGAAGGTCTATTGCAATCTGTCAATAAAACAATTTTTATAAGAAAGTAGTAAGTTGAAAGGGAAATGCTACAATATTGGAATGGGAGCTGGAAAATACCATTTGATTTGAATTTACAGTGCACCACAGACTTACCTTTTGGTTTATAACACGGGATGGGAATGACACATTCTTCTTTGATGTGTAACTTCAGTTGTGGATTGCAGCCCCCAACATGCTCTCCGCGGTGGTTAATACACAGAACAACCCGGTACCGTAACCCTCGGCCACAAGTCACTGTGCACTTCAAAGAAGAAAAGAGAAGCCAACGCATTTCTTTTAAGAGAACCACAAAGGCATTATTTTATCGAATGCAAAGGAGAGCCATTGAACTACATAAATGTTAAACACAAAAGACTTTTAGACAAATATTATGTAAGGAAGGGTACAGAGGCTAATTTTCTGTGATACTTGTATTTCAGGGCCCCTCTTTTGTACAACCTTGTTCCACTTCTCAATTCAAAAAGTATTTAAGGTGAGATCATAGTTCAAGAAATTAAAAATGCCCTGAAATCTTACTGCTCAAATATCAAAGAAACTTGTTACAAGTTTTCTCAAGTTTGATTAAACGTTTACATGACCCTACCCAAAATAATTTTTGAAGACGAATGAAACCTTTCTGAACTGTCAATAAAAATATAATAAAATTCTAATGAATTATGCCAGAGGATTATTTTTCTATTCTGTCTATAGAAGTCAGTCTTGCAAAACTGCTACCATATAACGAGGCCATCAAAGAGTATTCAGCCAAACGCTATAGAAAAAAATACTATAGATGTATCCCCATACATCTATAACTGCCTGCAGTTAAAGTTAATAAAAACATTATGCTATTATTTTTCTGAATTTTTGTGAAGTTTGTGTTGTCAGCATTTTTTTTCTTGGATTATTTGTTTATGATTTGAAAGTTACTCTTGCCTATGAGTGGAATGTTTTCATGTCATATAAAAATCTAGAATAGCTTTTCAAATTTATCTGTTATGATTTGGCTCTGTGTCCCCACCCAAATCTCATCTTGAATTGTAATCCCCATAATCCCCACTTGTCATGGGAGGGACCTGGTAGAGGGTGATTGGATCATGGGGGCAGTTTTCCCCATGCTGGTCTCATGATAGTGAGTGAGTTCTCATAAGATCTGATGGTTTTATAAAGGGCTCTTCCCCTTTCATGCTCTCTCTCCGTCTCCCGCTGCCTTGTGAAGAAGGTACTTGCTTCTACTTCACCCTCCACCATCACTGTAAGTTTCCTGAGGCCTCCCCAGACATGTGGAACTGTGAGTCAATTAAACCTCTTTCATTTATAAATTAACCAGTCTCTGGTAGTATCTTTACAGCAGTGTGAGAATGGACTAATATAATCTGCATGTTGGGGAGTGTATATATGTACGCATTAAAAAAAATTGATAGACTATATTTTTTGAGGACCATATTGGGTTTATAGAAATATTGAGCAGACAGTACAGACAGCGCCAATCTTCCCCTTCACCCCTTTTTCCCCCTATGATTTTCCCTATTATTAACATCTTGCCTTAGTGTGGTGCCATTGTTCCAACCGATGAACCCCTATTAATACATCATTATTAACATAACTAATACATCATTTAATATATCATTATTAAATATTATCAAGTCCAGAGTTCACAATGTGGTTGTTGTCAGCTTTCTAAAATTTGTAATTTCTTATAATTTCCTTTCTGATTCTAAATAAACATTCTCTTCAATACTCAATATTTGTGTTTTATATTCTTGTTTTTGAGGAGTCCCCTCCAATCTGTACAAACTTCAGACCCCACTAATTCTGGATCCACCCCAGGGAGGGGCTGAGGGTTCTTGGTTGCCTTTGGTTACCTGCTATGGGACAGGCACCTCCTTCATTTGTTATCTCATGAATCCTCCCGACCCACTTCCGGGTCAGTAGCTTCAGGCTTATTGAACAGATAAGCAAATGGCCCACCATCTAAGGATCTTGCTCAAGGTCACACAGTTCCTAACAGGCAGAGTGGAATTTCCTCCCAGAGCCATCTATTGCCAAAGCCACGGCCAAGCCACCGCTTTAAGGAGCTTGAAAATTATTTTCTGACCCCCTAAGCACTTTGTACCTGGGTGTTGCTAGGGACAAGTTTCAAAGATATGTTTCGAGGATATGGAGGCCTTTCTCAGTGTACACACATCAGGCAGAATATTGGGAAATCTCTCTAGTTCATGATGCCACTCTTGAAACCACTGAACAAATACTTTAATGAGTTCAGCGAAGCTTGAGATTACCCTGTTTTTGGAAAATTGACTCACCTACCCCCAAATTTATCAATTTGAGATATATATATATATAATATTGAGTGGCTGTTTTAGCCAAGAAAGAAAAAAATTCACCCAAAAAGAAAGAAAACAGTACAAGATATAACTATACTACAACTGGTTAATCCAAAGGAGTATCCTCTCCTTTTAAACCGCCGTTCTGGGAAGCCGGACACTTCCCCTAATGGCACTGTCACTGTTTACAACGGTTCCAGAACTCCTCTGTGGAGCTGCATATGTCCTCGATGATGGAAAATCCTCATCACTGAGAATATATTTGATTTTTGAAAAAAGTGAAAAGTATTAAGGGTGAAGTATGGTGAATGAGAAGAGCTAGTTAACATCCTCTATTCTGATAATATACATAATGATAAAGTCATGATATTTATGGGGATGGAGAGTGATATAAAAGCTCTAAAGCCAACATAAAACATATGGCTAGGACTTATGAGAGCTGAAAACAAGCTCTGCAGTTGTAGAAATAATGTTGATTGGGGGCTGAAAAAGTGAAAGTCCCTAATGTCTCGATAACAAATCCTTTTGCAGCTGAGATGATATTTTTTGCTTTCAACAAAATAGAAAGAGGACTTAAATTGCCAGTAGAAAGACCCTTAAAAATAATTTTTGATGATAGACCATCACATGAATTCTGGCACGTAACTCAAGAGTTCAAAGAACAAACCGACCTTGCTAAAATAAAATCCTTCCATCCCGGTCTATTGATTTATGTGAACAAGCTTTCCCAGTGTATACATGCAAAGGCAAACAAAACAAAATAAGAAACCAATAGAAAAAATTAACAATAAAATCATTGCTGAACACATGGCTCATTCTGATGATGAATATATGGACTATTTTTTAAGTTCCACTTATCTTCTATCAAGATATATTAATGCATGTACACGATGAACTAAGTGTGTATTCAAATGAAAATGTAATTTTTATGTGTTATTCTTATTTACCAAACTTTGAAATATATATATATATATGTTATTTTGACTGTGTATTAAAATTAACTCAATTCAGAGGAATATTTTAAATACTTAGGGCCTTATGGCCACAGGAAAGTAAAATAAATTAATTTCAATGATCATATATATTTTCTTGGAGAGAAGTAGAATAGTGTAATTAAAAAAAGACTTTAAAGCATAAAAATACATTATATTAGAATAAAATTCTGTGGGGAGAGTAGATTGCAAATGTGAGTTCAAAGGGAGAAATATGCTCAACATCCAAATTGTTAAAGAAGAGCTCGCCCCTGTATTTTTTAAATGAAAGATGGCAAAGACAGAAATTATCATGGCATTTAAATTCCACTAGACAGATTTTTTTGAATGCTGCAACACTCTTATTTTAAAATGTCAACATTCACAACATGTTGAAATGATATTCTTTGTAATTATTTAAACTTGTGATAGGAAATTTCAGATGTCAACCTAAATATATGTGAAGAAATACGTAATTCTCTAATCTTCTTTTTAGGGAGTATGTGACCAAAAATTAATTGGTAACTTCTTCCCCAGCAAGTTTGAATAAAGTTCTTACAGGGTGATGATGTTTAGTCTGGGGATATCAGAAAAAGATTAATATGGTCTTTACCTGACACTTGTCCTTCAGGTTCAAGTGCTACCTCCTTTCTGAAGCTTTCCTGACACCTTCAGATGGAGTGAATCATTCCACCTTGTGCCTCTGAAGTACTGGGCACATGACACTACTCATGCACAATACAATACTGTAACACAACTTTGTTTGCATGCATGTCTGTGCAACTAGATTCTAAGCTTTTGGGTGGTTGGAGCAAGTTGTATTTACTTCTTAGTATGGTAGCTGACCCATTGAATAAATATATGAATAGATATATTAATGCACATATATGATGAACTAAGTGTGCAGAAATCACTTAAGAAAGCTGGAGAAACTTGAGTCAACTACATCTCACTCTCTAGAAAATTAAAGGATTAAGATTAAATAATTAAATACCAATGTCTGCATTTTTCATCTTTGACTAATCCGGCTGCATTTTATTTGTTCTGGAGGCTTACTCAGTCATCTCTTTAGAAAGTGAAAACTACGCTAATTTGACATGAACCTTGTTATACCTCTGAGGTGTCTTCCTTCTTCTGTTTTCTTTTTTCATACAACTTGACCCCACGGATGATTTCTAAATAGGCTGCCCGCCTCTGGTCTTTCCCAATGTTAGGCTATCTTGCCTCAATTACTTAAAATATATTATGTCTTCACAAAAATTGTGAAGGTTCTTAGTGGCTACTGGATCAAGGACACACACTTTCATGTCGTGTCAGCATTTCCAACTTAATCTCCCAATTCTTAGTAACATGGGCCATCTCTTCAATCTCTTAATCTTCCAGTTCTTAGTATCATGGGTCATCTCTTCAAATCTTCAACTTTGAGTCACTTCTTGTCATTACTGCCTTTGCTCAAGCCATCTCTGTTTGGCCATCTCCCTAACACTAACCCTAACCCAGTGATGTTTCTCAGGTTCTTGCTTGTTTACATTCTTCAAAGAATTTAAACAATTTAAATTGTAATTCTTGCTTGTTTAAATTATTCAAAGATGGATTAGGCACCACAAGGGCAACAAATAATTCCTGATTGACTCTGCTTCAACATTTGTTCTTTACAGATTTGTTCTTTACAGTACTTAATATTAATTACGCTGGTAATTGTATGGAAATATTATTATTAATGTCCTTAATATTAATTATCCTTACCTACCATGATGCTTGTGGTCTTTCTTCCCTCGTCCTCCAACTGTCTTCCTAAGCTCTTTGGAGTAGGAACCATGCTCTTTTACCACTTTTTTTTTGTCTCCATGCTGTCTAGCACCATGGTGGGCATATAGAAAATATCCCTTAAAATATGAGAATTAATTAAAAGTGGCATATTCTCAAATCTTACCTGAGACCACTCCATGGCAATCCACTTGGGGCAATCAAACAGATTACAAGTTTGCATAACCTTGGGTTTGGGTGCGTACATGCACTTCCATTCTTCCACCTGCAATATCTCTCCATGCATGGATTCCTCTACACACACAAAGCTCCGTCTCTGAATCCCTCCTCCACAGGACACGGAACATGCAGTCCAAGGATTATGTTCCCAGCTCAAAAGCAAACAAATAAAATTATATTATTTATTTGTTGTTTGTTTGAAGTTTGCAAAGATGGTGGCAAAAAGTATGGCCTTAAGGTATCAATTGTGGTTCAGCTGAATGAGCCTGGGACTGGGAGTCATAAGACTTTATACTTTTTTTTGTTGAGACAGAGTCTCGCTCTGTCACCCAGGCTGGAGTGCAATGGCGCAATCTTGGCTCACTGCAACCTCTGCCTCCCGGGTTCAAGCAATTCTCCTGCCTCAGCCTCCCTAGTAGCTGGGATTACAGGCATGCGCCACCACGCCCGGCTAATTTTTGTATTTTTAGTATAGACAGGGTTTCACAATGTTGGCCAGGCTAATCTAGAACTCCTGACCTCGTGATCCGCCTGCCTCAGCATCCCAAAGTGCTGGGATTACAGGCATGAGCCACTGTGCCCAGCCTTTTTTAAATTTTAATTAATTTAGTTTTTTTTTTAAGATGGAGTCTCTTTCTGTCACCCAGGCTGGAGTGCAGTGGCAAGATCTTGGCTCACTGCAACCTCTGCCTCCTGGGTTCAAGCTATTCTCCTGCTTCAGCCTCTCAAGTAGCTGGGATTACAGGCACCTGCCACCAAGCCCGGCTAATTTTTCTACGTTTTAGTAGAGATGGGGTTTCGCCATGTTGGCCAGGCTGGTCTTGAACTCCTGACCTCAAGTGATCCGCCTGCCTTAGCCTCCCAAAGTGCTGGGATTACAGGCATGTGCCACCACGCCCGGCCAAGACTTTATTCTTAACTGCCACACACAAATTCTTGTCACAAGGTACTTAGCTCCTCACATCCGGGGTTTCTGTCAACTGGGAATAATATACCTTCCCTATTTACCCTTCATAAGACCATTGTGAAAATTAAATCAATTAAAACATACAGTGTGGCTGCATCTTCAAACTGCCTCTAAACTGTTAAATACTAATGGACAATATTATTAGAGAATCACAGAACCTCAGAGTCAGGAAGGACCATACTACTCATCTCGGTATAAAAGGGGATTAAAATTTCTGATTAATTGCAACACTTGAGCTCCTGCTATAATACTCAGTTGTCCAAGATATGCTTGACAGCTCTAGCGATGGGAAACATCATCTTTTGAGGCAGTCTATTCCATCTAATTCTTAGAAAGATTTTTCCTATTATTGAGTAGAAGTCTGTTTTCCCTTAGCTCTATAAAGTATTTAATATCTAACCCTCATACATTTTAGGCTATTGCTACAGATGCTACAGTTCCTTGCAAACTACTTAAATTGCAAAAAGGAAAAGGAAACATATAACTCACCGAGGAAGAGGTTGGAAGTGGTCATAGGGCATTATCTCTTTAAATCCATCACTACAAATGAAATCATTGTGAGAATATCATTTCTATAATAAATTAACACATTCATTAATTGACGAATATAATATTTGACATCCCAAGAGACAGAGCTCTTCCAAATTGGAAACTAAAAATATCAAGTGTTATCAACCATTCCCAAAAATTCAGCCACCATCTCTTTAGTTGTCAAGAATATCTACGACACAAATTCCCCAGTTCTATTTGAAAATGTAGAAAACTAAACTAGCAGTATATTAATCAAAGGAGAAAAGTATCTTGCAATTTCAATAAATTTATTCCTTTTTATAATCATTACTCTCTTAATATATTAGTGATATTAACACACTGTCCTATTAGTAGGCTCTTCAGAAAACCACTTTATTTCACAGAATTTGTCCTTTGAAAGGTCTCTATTAATAATTATGTTCAACCAGGCTTACAGGAAATGTGCAGTTCAGTAACAGGAAATGAAATCCACTGAGAACGCTTCCTTTTCCACTTGCACACTTCTTCCTAAGCCAGCTGGCAGATATCTGGAGGATTCTGGGACTTGATATTGTTCTGTTATTTTAAGGTATTGTAGTAAGCCAGGAAACTTCCCCAGGCAATCCAAGTCAGCAGGTACTAAATTATGCAATAGGATAGTTTACACATAGCTTTTTATACTTTGGCATTAAAACTTTTACTTCCTTGCACAATGCATTATTTATACTGAATTTAATATGAATACTTCAAAAGCCAAAAGATGATAATGAGTGACCCAGTTTAAAAGCTAAAGTGGTGAGTGAAAGATATTTATGATTGGCAGATGGACTAGACATTTTACTTGGATGAAGAGAGCAGGAGCTGTTCAAAAGGGTTCATTATAAAAAAACTTAGGAACACATAGCCCACGACAAGAGAAAGCTAGACTTTCATTCCTAATGAATGTGTCCTAATTCCTATGCACCATAGTTACAAATGTGAATGTAGGCACCTGCCGCCAGTAGACAAAGCCAGGAAATGGAAATGTATTGCCCTGCAAAGATTGATCAGTCTCAGTTGAAGCTGATTTGTTTCTTTTTGAAGTAAAAAGGGTGTGGACAATGACACAAACCTTGATGGGCAGGGATCCATGCTGCATTCCTTCAGTTTTGGTTTTGGTTTTACATTTTCAGGGTAGTAGTGACAATAATGGTCAGGAACTACCCTCTTCAAGCGGATATCCACACATTCAGCAGAATTGAGCTGATAACCTAAAGTGTTAGAAAAGGCAAGTCTGAATATTGCATCCGTTTCATTTTTACTTGGCAGAGTTATCACTTGCCACACACTTTTTTTTTTCCTCTTTAAGAAACTTAACTCAGTGGTTCTCAACCCTGGCTCTATAACAGAACCACATGGGAGCTTTTAATATACTCTAATGCCCAGGTTCCT
This sequence comes from Homo sapiens, assembly GCF_000001405.40. NCBI lineage: Eukaryota > Metazoa > Chordata > Mammalia > Primates > Hominidae > Homo > Homo sapiens. The sequence goes on along the minus strand of NC_000015.10, from coordinate 83,889,927 downwards.
TCATGGTCCAATTAAGTCAGAAGTCCTGTGGCTGGGATCCAGGAAAACAGTATCTTTTTAAAAAGATTCTCAGGTTCTTCTCAGATGACTAAAATGCGTGGCCAAAATTGAGAACGACAATTAATACCAACTGTGGTACTCTCAGCACTTCGAACTAAAAAATGACAATAGTCTCCTCTTAAGAACTGTTTCCAGCCCAGGTGCAGGAGAGTTATTCATTCTCCTGGGTTCATTGTCTTTTCTCCTCATTGTCACCACGGCACTGTGCAAGGCCCTTCTCTCATTTCCGTATAATCTCTCTTCTTCCCTTATTGACACTCCCATTCCAATCCCCGCAACACACCTATTTCGATTTGTTGTTGATACGTCCTGAAATATGCAACCGTCTTACGTAAGGTTGTTTTTTTGTGTATCTGTTTTTAACTTAATAAATGATAATGTGTTTTAAATCTTGTTCCGTTTTCCACTTTTTTCACTCAACATCATGTTTTTGAGAACTACCCTTGCGCTGGGTGGTTGCTGGGTTGAATATTTCTTTCATAACATTTTATGATATGCATACACAGTACCGCATTTTACTCCTCTGCTCCCCTGGGATGCCACAGGCACCTGCAATACCAATAAGCTTTCCAAATGGGGAATTAAGCATTGTCTATACAGAAAGGAACAAAATCCATCCCCGTATGTCACTCCCCAGCCCTCATCTCACAAGCCTTCAAACGGAAGGAATGAAGACTTATTCCTGATTCTATTAAATCTAATTTGTAGAGTTTCTGAGGAAAGTGAACTTTGCAAATAGATGAGTGCTATAAATTTAAAAAGCAAGTCACAAAATGATGCTTCTATTTCCTGAAAGATCTGATTCCAAGTTTCCTGTCACCACATAAGTGTCTTGTTAAAGTTAAACTTTTTCAAAAAAAGGTAATTTTTCAAAACTAGAATGAGCTCTTTACGAAAGAAAAAATGCCCAAAGCCAAGCACTCTGCCTCTGCCAGTTGGTCTAAAGGTCTAAAAATACATTTAAAGTCCTGATTGTCGAGAGGAATCTGATTTTATAAACCACTAGACAGCTTTCTACAAGACATGGCTTGGATGTAAGCTGAGTGCAGAAGGACGGACTGGTATGCATTATAAAAAGCAAGGTCGAAACCGCAAGAATGAAAATCCAAATGGAGTCAATAAAATGTTACTTGGGTGCCAATATCTGCCAGAAAGTCAACGATATCAGATGGCAATGGCAATCTAGGTACCTTCTCCAAATTGATCTCAAGTGTCTCACATCGACGATTACAGACGGGACTAGGAAAGTCCATTCAAGTACCCCCGGTACCTTAGAGACCGATGAACTAATTTTCTTGATTATCCAAAAAACTCTGAAATTCCATTCACACACATCACACAGATTTGATTACTAATATAATTAAATTTTGGTAATGTTTTCCTTGTGGGTTTTATGTGTGTGTTTTATTTTCCCCAAAACAAGTACAAAATGAGATTACAGCTCCTTGAGTCAGAAAAAAAAAATCTTTGTTCTAAATAGAAATAGACTTCTAAATGAAAACAGGGCATATACAGGTGTTTATAATTTGAGGAGAGACAATTAATTTTCCTCTTTTGTTTTATCACAGTTTAGAAATAGCAAAAAGCAAAAGAAATGAGGCAGATTGCCTTTCTATATCTTGAACAAATGTATTGAAATTCTGCCAGTGTATAGAAAACGGCAGGAACCCCAAAAGCAGCCTAAAATCTCCCTTCTGTTCTTACATCCACTGCTGTCTTTGGAGACGATCTCACTGCTAAGTGCTCATGCACATTTATAGTTCCAGCAGGACTATGTCTTTCCATGGGCACCCAAGTAGGAGAAACACCTATTTGCTTCCCAAGAATTTGATCAACTGGACTAAGCTGAATCCCACTATAAAATGTCTCCTCTGGAGTAGTAAGTGTCTTTTATCTTATGGATCCAAATGTGAACGTCTCTCTGAATGACTATGTGTAAGAACAAAGAAATAAAATTTAAAAAAAAATAGATGTTTGAGCCAAGCATGGTGGCACACGCCTGCACTCCCAGCTACTCGAGAGGCTGGAGTGGGAGGATGGCTTGGGCCCACCAGTTGGAGACCAGCCTGGGCAACATAGTGAGATGCCATCTCTACAAAATACTTTAAAAATTAGCCAGGCATGGTGGCACATGCCTGTAGTTCCAGCTACTCGGGAAGCTGAGGCTGGAGGATCGCTTGAGCCCAGGAGTTTGAGTCTAGCCTGGGCAACTTGGTGAGACCTGCCTCTAAAACAAACAAACAAACAAAAAGGAGAGAGAGAAATGTTTGTTTTTCTGCAGAGTAAGAGTACCCAAAGAGTCATAAGTGACTCAAAGATGTAAAGGAACCTTTGCCTCATAAAAATGCTTGTAACATTCAAGAAAATTCTGGAGGAATTGAAAATAACCTGAATGAATGTCAGAGCTGGTAGAAACTTGAAGATGACTTACTCCACTGGTTTGTTTTCACTGTATTAATTTTGTGATTGTACTCTATTTGTGACAAGGGATAGATTTCCACTTACGGTAGTACTACTAAATTCTTTTTGTTAATATGTTTATTTAAGTTGAATAAATGCCCCCTTAAAGAAAAATCCTTTAGTAAATAACAGTGCAGGAATAACACAGATATGGCAAAAATAGTGATGGCAATATGGCTCCAGCTGCTATCCAAAGACACTGGCTTAAAGAGGCAATGGTTCTCAAAGTGGAGTGTGTACCATCATCTCCTGGAGGATGAGCCACACTCTGGGGTTTCTGACTCAGTAGGTCTGTGGTGGGGCCTGAGAATCTGCATGTCTAGTTAGTTCCCAGGAGATGCTGATGCTGCAGGTCCAGGAAGCCCACTGTGAGAATCACTGCTGCAGGATCATAATCAAGTGGTCCATTGCCTCAACCCTGGCCCTGGGAAGAACTAGCTGGCGAACTGGGGAGATTCACTTTTACTTTCTTTCTGTGGCACTATTCAGTCTTCTCTTCCATTTCCAGGGACATAAACTTCTTCTTGGGCCTGGGCTGCCCAGTGCTTCCCAAAAAAGTGCCTGCCCTGTTGTTTTAGGGGGAGCCTAAATTCCAGAAGAGAGACATCTGCCTGCATATTCACAGCATATTCACTGACTGAAGAGCCCTCCTTCATATACCTGTAGTTTAAAGGAGAAAGGCCAGTTTCTGACTCTAAGTAAATTGATATGCGGTAGGCTTCAAGGATTGAAAAGATGTGGAGCTAGGCTGGGCTGGAGAAGGATTTATTCTAGCTCTTCAAACAAGACCATACCTGAGCCTGTATACCCTGATCTGGTCCCAGGTGTAGTAGGAGGTTTAGGGGAGGCAAAGGGCAAAGTCATTTAGAGCATGACTCTGACATCAAGCAGACCTGGCACCAGATCCTAGCTGCACTGTTTACTAGCTGAACAAGATACTACTGTATGCTCTTTACACTTTCTAAGTGTCAGTTTGTTCATGCATAAGACAGGAATAAAAGAGACCTTCCTTAGGGTTTTCGTCAAGAATAAATGTGATTATGAACATCTAACCCTTGGCTTGACACATGGTAAACACATAGTACCACTGCCTGGTACTCTAAGGGGAAGCTTCAACATAAATCCCTATTCTACTAAGTCATGGTTCCTGGGTTGCATGCATTTATTCTTTGATTTAAAAGGTCAGTTCAGAAAAAGAGAATTATTTTGACAGTAGCTCTAGTTGCCTCCTAATTTGCTCCAGAGAGTTGCCAGTTCTCCATATCAAATGGACAATTATCTTCCACCGGAGCATGAAAGATGCTGCTTTTGTAGCGTGTGTGTGGAGCCCTGGATTACACTTGTCCCCAAACCTTCCTCAACTGCCTATGAAAACCTTGAAAAAGGCTGGGCACAGTGGCTCATGCCTGTAATCCCAGCACTTTGGGAGACCAAGGTAGGTAGATCACCTGAGGTTGGGAGTTCAAGACCAGCCTGGCCAACGTGGTGAAACCTGTCTTTACTAAAAATACAAAAATTAGCCAGGCATGGTGGTGGGCACCTGTAATCCCAGCTACTCAGGAGGCTGAGGCATGAGAATCGCTTAAACCTGGGAGGCGGAGGTTGCAGCGAGCCGAGATTTGGCCACGGCACTCCAGCCTGGGCGACAGAGCGAGACTCAAAAAAAAAAAAGACCTTGAACTAAGCAGACAATAAGCAGGGCTTTCCCCTTAACACTTAGTAGGGACCCTTTCTCTTTTTAATAAGCTTATACTCTTGCACCTGAGGAGAGAAAAGTTGTAAATCTAACGTTAGAACCAACACACCCATTGACTCAACCAGGCTGGGCAAGTCACTCCATCTTTCTGCTTCTCAGATTTTTCATAGAAAATTAAAAATAATACGTACTTTAAGGGCAATCAAGAAGAGAAATGCAGTAACACATGAAAACAAGTTTGTTTACAGTTTTGTTTTGTTTTTTTTTTTTGGCTAAAAGTAAAAGGTATTTTCCAAATCCAGTTTTGCACCTGTCTTCAAGAATAAAGGCAAATGCATCTTCTTCATTAACACGATTGCATTCAGGCTGCTGAGTAAGGTGCTGTGTGATGAGACATCTCTAATCACCACACCAATTTTAAAATCAGCTTCAAAAATGTAAATGTCTAATTTATCTAACTCTGAGCTCTAAATATTCATGAACAAAGCCTGGGCCTCACCTCCTCCACACGTCACAGTGCAGGGAAAGAAGTCAGTTTGTCTCCACTGATGACTGATGGGCTGGTAAAAGAAGAACTGAACCACGCTGTCTTTGGCTGCAGTGTACCTGGTCTGGACAAAGAGAACTGTGAGAACACACGTGCAAACAAGGAGCTAGTGCTTTCCACACCTTTCAAAATAAGATAAATGTTCTTCATGTATGTAGACAACCACCCATCCATTAGAAAAACTATGGGGCAAGAGTCCAATAAGTTTAAGATGTGATGACATTTCATTAAGATTTGTCATAAATGGGGGCTCAGGTGATCTTCTGCAAATCTCCCTGGAGTCATTTTTCCAGATAATTCCATGCCTGTGAATGGATTCACAAAAAATGTAGGTAGACTTTTTTGTTTGTTCGTTTCACACTGTCTTTCTTCCTGAAACATTGGATTTTAATTTTGACGACACAGATTGAGAATTGATTTGGGTTTGCTCACAATATAGCACATAGTGGAGACTCTTACATTTTTAATAATAATATATTTAAGCACATCCTTCTGAAAAATTCTTCTAGAAGCACAACTGCAAGAACTCAACTTAAGTGTACAAATATATGGTGTTTAAACAGTCTAGTATCTAATTAAAAGGAAATGGGGGCCAGGCACGGTGGCTCACACCTGTAATCTCGGCACTTTGGGAGGTCAAGGCAGGTAGATCACTTGAGGTCAGGAGTTCGAGACCAGCCTTGCCAACATGGTGAAACCCCATCTCTATTAAAAATACAAAAATTAGCCCAGCATGGTGCCACATGCTTGTAGTCCCAGCTACTCAGGAGGCTGAGGTGGGAGAATGTCTTGAACCACTGTCTCAAAAAAAAAAAAAAAAAAAAAAGGAAATAGGGCACCAATGAGGTAACATATATGTTAATTAGTTCCATCTAGCCATTCCACAATATACACATATTTCAAAATATCATGTTATACACTATAAATATGTACAATTTTTGTCAATTAAAAATGCTAAGAAAAGATTAATGTGGCCAGGCACAGTGGCTCACGCCTATAATCCCAGCACTTTAGGAGGCTGAGGTGGGTAGATCATCTGAGGTCAGGAGTTTGAGACCAGCCTGGCCAACATGGCAAACCTGGTCTCTACTAAAAAATACAAAAATTAGCTGGGTGTGGTGGCATGTGCCTGTAGTCCCAGCTACTCAGGAGGCTGAGGCAGGAGAATAGCTCGAACCCGGGAGGCGGAGGTTGCAGTGAGCTGAGATCGCACCATTGCACTCCAGCCGGGGCAACAAAAGTGAAACTCCATCTAAAAAAAAAAAAGTAAAAGAAAAAATTAATGTGTTAGAAAAACCAGGCCAGGCACAGTGGCTCACACCTGTAATCCTAGCACTTTGGGAGTTCAAGGCAGGAGGATCACTTGAGGCCAGAAGTTTGAAATCAGTCTGGTCAACATAGCAAGATCCTATCTCTCCAAAAGAAAAAGTTTAAAATTAGCCAGGTGTGGTGGCATGCACCTGTAGTCCCAGCTATAGCTACTGGGGATGCTGAGGCAGGAAGACACCTTGAGTCCAGGAGTTTGAGGCTACAGTGAGCCATGATCACGCCACTGCACTCCAGTCTGGGAAACAAAGCAAGACTCTGTCTCAAAAAAACATGAAAAAGAAAAATCTCTAAAAAATGCAATTGAAAAAAAAAAAAGAAATAAAATTGGGATAAAAAATTTTAACAATAAAAATAAATATGGTGGGCCAGGCGTGGTGGCTGATGCCTGTAATCCCAGCACTTTGGGAAGCTGAGGCAGGCAGGTCCCTTGAGGTCAGGAGCTCAAGACCAGCCTGGCCAACATGGTGAAACCCTGGCTCCACTAAAAATACAAAAATTAGCTGGGTGTGGTGGCACGTGCCTGTAATCCCAGCTACTCGGGAAGCTGAGGCAGGAGAATTGCTTGAACCCGGGAGGCAGAGGTTGCAATGAGCCGAGATCACACCATTGCACTCCAGCCTGGGCAACAGAGTGAGACTGCATCTCAAAAAATAAAATAAAATAAAATAAAATAAAATAAAATAAAATAAAATAGAAATAGTATTATAAAAGATATTTCATATGAGAAATGCTATATTTAGTGGAAGAAACAGCTTATCAAAATAATACAGTTTAATTTTTAAAGGGAATTTTAATAAGGAATATCAATAAATCTGCTATATTTCTTTAAAAAATAGAGATAATAGACAAATAGAATGATGAAGAGACAATATTTAATGATATAATTGCTTAGAATTTCCTAGATTTTAAGAAAGACAGAAGTCTCTGTTTCAAAATGCTCATTGAGTTCTAGACATTTTAAAAAATAAAACAAAAAGCATAAACAAAAATCCTAAAAGTTATCACATACAAAAATATGATTACCTAGAAAAATGTGAAAAATCAGATTAACATCACATTTCTCACAAGCAATATTGGATTCAAGAAAACAAAGTCAAGTCCTCAAAGTGGTGAGGGACAAGAATATTGGATCTAGAATTCTATAACCAAGTTATTAATCAGTAATCAGTTATCAGCTATTCACCTATAATCAGATGACCAATCATTAATCAATGAAATAAATATATTTTCCGACACAAAAAGATTGTGAAACTTTAACACTTAGAGATATTCACTGGAAAAAAAGAAAAAAAACTACTAAAGAATGTACCTAAGAACTAATATAAATACAGAAGTGGTGAGATGCAAGAAGCAATAATGATTAAATAAATCAGTAAAGCTTATGAGAGAATCTAAACAAGGACTGATTTTAAAATAGTGGTTTTATGTGCTTAATTACAAAATGACATAAAAATTCCAGACACAAGATGTGTGTGTAGGGGAGGAGAGGCAGGGTTATGGTAACGGAGTGGAGACAGCACAGGTATTACAGAGATAGGATACACTGCTAAGGAGCTTTGTTTCTGGCTGTGGCAGGACTGCTTGTTTCTGATGAATCTCCCCAATGAGAATAAATAAAAATGCTGCCTAAAATTTTCCTTTTTCTTTTTCTGTCTTTTTTCTTTCTTTCTTTCTTTTTTTGACACAGAGTCTCGCTCTGTCGCCCAGGCTGGAGTGCAGTGGCGCGATCTCGGCTCACTACAAGCTCTGCCTCCCGGGTTCACACCATTCTCCTGTCTCAGCCTCCCAAGTAGCTGAGACTACAGGTGCCCGCCACCATGCCTGGCTAATTTTTTGTATTTTTTTTAGTAGAGATAGGGTTCCACTATGTTAGCCAGGATGGTCTCGATCTCCTGATCTCATGATCCGCCCACCTCCGCTTCCCAAAGTGCTGGGATTACAGGCGTGAGCCATCGCGCCCGGCCTTTTTTTTTCTTTTTTTGAGAGGGAGTCTCGCTCTGTTACTCAGGCTGGAGAACAGTGGTGCGATCTCAGCTCACTGCAACCTTCGCCTCCCAGGTTCAAGGGATTCTCTTGCCTCAGCCTCCTGAGTAGCTGTGATTACAGGCGCACACTATCATGCCTAGCTAGTTTTTGTATTTTTAGTAGAGATGCAGTTTCTCCATGTCAGCTAGGCTGGTCTCAAACTCCTGACAGCAGGTGATCCACCTGCCTCAGCCTCCCAAAGTGCTGGGATGACAGGCATGAGCCAAAGCGCCTGGCCCATAAAATATTTTTAGTGTATTTTAGTGCATCAGAAAACTACCATGCCAGTGAGGATTTGCAGGACTAAGACCAAAGACACAAAAGAAACTCAGAAATGTGAGCAAATTTGGCATGACATTTGGCTCTACCTTTTTGCTCAAGGCATTTTCCAGTCTGCAAGTGGTGGCTGAGCAGCTGAGAAACTGGACAGATCTGTCATCAGCCTCACGTAGTGGAAAGCGAACACTAGAGCTCAAGGCCTTCCAAGGTGTCAGGTGTTGGTAAACACCCCAGGTTCCCAACCCAGGACCCTAGAAAGTTCTATCATAGGAATAAAGTAAACTGGAAACACGACAACCTTCAAAGGGAATAAAGCCCTGGTTCAAGTTATTTCAATTCTTTGTTGGATAAAGATCACTGGTTGCTAACCTAGCTGTCTTCTAGAAGCAAAAATAAGACAGCTAAAATAATCCAGTTGGAAGAGTGTTAGACTGAAGATCTAGAAGCAAAAATAATCCGATAATAATTTTTAAAGGGGATTTTAACAGAGTATCAATAAATCTGCAACAATCTCAAATTATATCCACAACCTTTCTTCCACAATATACAGCACAAACTTTAAAAATAACCAAGAATAGAAAAAACAAAATTTAATGACAACCCAAAAAAGTGAAAAAAAATAGATATTATAAACATAATGACAGGAAATCCAGATATTGGTATTAACTGATGAAAATATAAAAACTTAAGTACACCATTACCACCTCCTGCAACCCTGGCCTTGGCTTCAGTCTTGTTTCCCCGCAGGAGGGGCCTAGCAACACCTTATGCTATTCCTATGATTATAACATAAGTATTGGAACACTTTGCCTCGGGCTCTGTTTTTCAGAGAACTTGGAACAAGATTAAAATGTTCAAGAAATCAAATTATAAGATGGGGAATTTCACTGGAAACAAGCTATAACTAAAATGGAAATTCTAGGAATAAAAGATGCAATAATTTAAATCAATATCTCAATGGACAAACTTAAAAGTGGATTAAAATAGACTTTGGCAAGTATTTTATAAAGAGCCAGATAGTAAACATTTTAGGTTTTCAGGCTACATGGTTTCTGTTGCAACTATTCAATTCTGCTAGTATAGTGCAAAAGTAGCCATTGACAATGTGTAAACAGATAGGGGTGGCTGTTCTGATAAAACTTTATTTACAAAAACAGTGATGGCCTGCTGGTCGTAATCTGCTGATCCCTGAATCAGACACACCTGAGCAAAGGATCAGTAAAATGACAGATAAAAAGAAAGTGGAAATTAGACAAATTGGATACAGGTAAAGGTATAATTACATATAAATACATAACAAAGAGCTTGGGACAGAAGTTAATCTGAAGAGATAATAAATGAGAATCTGTCAAAACTGATGGTGGATCTCAAGCCACAGATTCATGAGACACCTGGACCTCAAGCTGAAGAAAGGCACTAATTACACCATAGCCCAGTTGATGAAAACCCAAAACAAAGGGAACACACTTAAAAGCAGATGAAGAAAAAGGACAAATTACTTTCTAAGGAACAAAAAGAAGACTGATAGCTGACTTCTTCACAGAATAAACTGAAGTCAGAAGACAATGGGGAGATATCCTCAAAGTGCTGAAAGAAACGTTTTATAATAACAGAAGGGTCAATTCACTAGGAAGATGCAATGATTCTAAATGTGAACATACTTACCAACCTAGCCTCAAAATACAGAAGGCACAATGCACAGTCACGGGGTAGTTTTAGCACATCTCTCATGATAGAATAAGCAGACAAAAATCAGGAAGGTTATAATTTTGAATAACACAATTACTAAACGTGACCTAATTGACATACATAGAACATTGTATCCAACAACAGAAGACTACACACCACATTCTCCCAAACTTTGTTATATTCTGAGCTACAAACCAAGTTTTACAAATTTTGAAATATTGAAATAATATGGAGTATGTTCTTTGACCACAGTAGAATTAAGCTATAAAAATAAATTTTAAAAAGATTACTGGAAAATTCCCTCATGGTTGGATGTTATACTTCTAAATAATCTACAAGTCAAAGAATATATAATTATGAAACTTACAAAGTAATTTAACTGAATGATGAAGGAAAACATTTCATATCAAAATTATTAAATTAAATATAAGGCATGCATTGAGAGAAATTTATAGACTTAAATGTACATGTTTTAGGGAGAAAAGATGAAAATTAATGATTTCATAATCCATCTCAAGAAGTTTAGGAAAAAAACAGCCTATGGGATCTAAAGAAGTAAGAGTGGACATAATAAAGATAGGGGCAGATATTAATGATATGGAAAGAAAACTAGAGTAAAACAGTCATGAACCCAAAAGTTGTTTCTGCGAAATGTCTAATAAAATTGATAACCCTCTGATGTGACTGAGCAAGGAGAAGAGTAGGCACAAATAGTCAATGACAGGAATGAGAAAGAGGACATACTACAGGTTGTTCAGAAAGTGAACAAATAATAAGAGAATGCTATGAAAAGTATGCCAATAGCTTTTTAAAAGTTAGTTGAAATAGACAAATTCATTGAAACAAAACGGACATAAGAAATAAGAAAATCTAAAGAATCTGTATCTTTCAAAGACATTAAATGCATAATTCTAAACATTTCCTGGTGCACACTGCCAAACATTTAAAGAAAAAAAAAGGCATCAAACGTTTGCAAACTATTGCAGAGAATAAGAGGAAACACTTCTAAACTTGTTTTATAAAAGCAGAATAAAATGTCAAGACCTGAAAAAGGCATTCCAAGAAAACAAACAAACAAGCAAACCCTTTCCTTCACATAGGTACCAAAACAACAACAAAAACCTTAAGTGAAATAATTTAAAATCACATCTAGTGATATATAAAAGGATACACCTTTTAACAAACAATAAAATAATTAATATTAACAATGAATTCTATTTTTTTTTTTTGAAATGGCGTCTCACTCTGTCACCCAGGCTGGAGTGCAGTGGCGCAATCTTGGCCCACTGCAACCTCTACCTTTCAGGTTGAAGCAATTCATCTGCCTCAGCCTCCCAAGTAGCTGGGACTACAGGCACATGCCACCACACCCGGCTAATTTTTTGTATTTTAGTAGAGACAGAGTTTCACCGTGTTAGCCAGGCTGGTCTCAATCTCCTGACCTCGTGATCCGCCTGCCTTGGCCTCCAAAAATGTTGGGATTACAGGGGTGAGCCACCACGCCCGGCAACTAACAATAAATTCTAATTGAAAAGAATAATGACTAAGTAGGTTTATCACAGGAAGATACAGTTGGTTTAACATTTGAAAAATCAATGTCATTTATTACATTAAAAAGGAAAAAGGAGAAAACCATGTGATCATCTCTAAAGATGCAGAAAATGCATCTGATAAAGCTCTATGCTTGTACATAATGAAGCAAACTAGAAAAAGAAAAAATTCTTTCACCAAATAAAATATCTATAAAAAATTTTATAGTAAACATCATATACAATGGTGAATTACAGGGAACTTTGCTCCTGAAGTGAGATGCAAAACAAGGACAGCTGCCATCTTCATTATTTGCAGATGTCACAATTGCGTACGTATACAATCCAAAAGAATTCACAAACTATTAGTATTAATACATGAATATAGTAAGAATATAATGTCAATACACAAAAATCAATATTTCCACACCCCAGAAACAAATAGAAACTGAAAAAAATACCATTTATAGTAACATCAAAATAACCAACACCTGAAAATAAATGTAATAAAAGATATTAATGACATAGAGTAAAAATTATGAACATTATTGAGAGAAATTTTAAAAGAACTAAAAAATGTATGGATATGGCATATTTATGACTTAAAAGACTTAGTATTGGAAAATGTCAATTTTCCTTAAATTGACATACAGATCCAATGCAATTCCAATCAAAATCCAGCAGATTTTTAAAAACAGACAAGCTGATTTCAATGATATAAAAATGCAGTGTCAAGAAAAGCAAAGATAATCTGCAAGAACAAAGCTGAAACTTACATTTCCAGATATCAAGACTTATTTTAATGCTACAGTAGATATCTCACAATGGTATTGGCACAAATAAACAAACAGATCAATGAAACAAAGTAGGGTCCATAAATACATTGTTATTACCAGACTTCAGAGAAATAGGCAATGGATCATTCTTCACCTAATGGCTCTAGGTCAATTAAACAGTCATATAGAAAAAATATTGATTCTATTATACCTCACAATATATACAAAATAATTTCTAGATGGATTATAGCCTTTGGTGTGAAAAGAAAAATATTAAGGCTTCCAAACACAAACATAGAAGAATATCTTAGGGGATGGGCATGTATTCCCAGGACTTTGGGAGACCAAGGTGGGAGAATCGCTTGAGCTCAGGAGTTTGAGACCAGCCTGGGCAACACAGCTGGATCCTGTTACTACAAAAAAAAAATTTTTTTTGTTTAATTTGGCTGGGCACAGTGGCTCACACCTGTAATCCCAGCAGTTTGGGCGGCTGATGTGGGTGGATCACTTGAGGTCAGGAGTTCAAGACCAGCCTGGCCAATAGGGTGAAACCCTGTCTCTACTAAAAATACAGAAAACTTGCTGGGTGTGGTGGCATACACCTATAATCCCAGTTACACAGGAGGCTGAGGCAGGAGAATAGCTTGAACCCATGAGGTGGAGGTTGCAGTGAGGTGAGATCGTGCCACTGCACTCCAGTCTGGGCGACAGAGAGAGACTCAAATAAATAAATGAATAAATAGCCAGGCATGGTGGTGTGCACATGTAGTCTCAACTACTTGGAAGGCTGAGGTGAGAGAATCACTTGAGCCCAGGAGGTCAAAGCTGCAGTGAGTCATGATTGTGCCACCGAACCCCAGCCTGGGCAACAGAGCAAGACTGCATCTCAAAACAAAACAAAACAAAACAAAAACCCACAAACAAACAACAACAAAAAGAAGAATTTCTTCATGATTCTGGATGAGGCAGATTTCTCAACCAGGATACAAACAGCACTAAGTATAAAGTTAAAGGCTGATAAACTACATTACAGTAAAATTGAGAACTTCTGTATAGGCAAACTGATAGCCCTAAATACATTTAATGGAGAAAAAAAATGAAAATAGAATGAATTAAGAATTCAGCTCTAGCAGCTGAAAATATAATACCAAAATAAACCCATACAAAGATAAAAGAAGTAAATAAAAATTTATATAAATAGAAATGTAAAAAAAACTCTGAGTTAACGAACAAAACAAAAATGTAGTTGTTAGATGTCTCAGAGACAATGTTTGGATGGTCTGAACAAAACAACAATTACGCAAGGAACCAATAAACGAGTTTAGGAATGAAAGAGACATTGTTATAGGTAAAGAGGAGATTGTTTTTAACAATAAGGGAATACCATGATTACATTTGAAGAGCTAAGTTTGAAAAATGGATGAATTGGATACTTCCGTAGAAAAATGTAAATTTCAAAATTGGCTAAAATAATAAGCCTAAGAGAAACATAAATGGTTTCTAAGTCTTTTCCATTACCACCGAAAAGAAAAATAAGAAAAGAAAAGAAAAAAAGAGAGAAAAGGCATTAAGCCAGATGTGTTACAGAAAGAGAAATCCTTAGTGTAGTAGACACATTTCATTGCCTACCAGCATCCATTTCTCCTTTCCAGTCTACAGACACTCAATTTTGTTCTTGTTCATTCCTTCCTCCTGTGTCTTACACATACATCCTGATTGTTCTTTTTTTTATTTATTTTATTTTATTTTATTTTTTGAGATGAAGTCTCGCTCTGTCACCCGGCCAGAGTGCGGCTGTGCAATCTCGGCTCACTGCAACCTCCACTTCCCGGGTTCAAGTGATTCTCCTGCCTCAGCCTCCCAAGTAGCTGGGATTACAGGCGCGTGCCACCATGCCCAGCTAATTTTTGTATTTTTAGTAGAGATGGGGTTTCACCATGTTGGCCAGGATGGTCTTGATCTCCTGATCTCATGATCTGCCTGCCTCAGCCTCCCAAAGTGCTGGTATTACAGGCGTGAGCCACCGCACATCCTGATTGTTCTACGTGAATCACCATGGTCACATTTGCCTTGCTAGTGGCAGGACCCATGAGTGTTCTGCTCAGATACACAACTGCAAAGGGTGTCACTGGCCAACAGCCCCAGTTCTGGGTCAAGCTTCCCATGGGATGCTCCTAGCCAGTGACTAAGCACAGCAAGGGTACTGAAGGCAGAGCCATTCTTGGGAGACACTGGAGTCCTATGATGAATGACATTGGCTCAGGGTTTCCTCTCCAGCTTTGCTGAATTCTCCTAGAACCTACTGCATTTAATATGCTTGTATCCAACCTTCCTTCCTTCCCTCTCTCCTTCACTCATGGTCAGATTTTCAGTGCAAACTGACGGCTCTCTCAGCATCACCCTGCTTTCTCTCCCTCTTTTTTCTCACAGGCATTTCCTGAATAAATTTCTTTCACTTCTCATCCTGCCTTGGCATTTGATTCTTAGAGGACCCAGATGAACACAGTGGTGGATGGTATAGAGTGGGCACGTGACCCAATTCTTGTCGATGAGAGGTGGTAAAAGGTCTACTGTGGAGTTTCTGAGGTTTCCTCGCTGAGAAGGTCCACAAGAAAGACAAACGCCTACCGGGCTTCCGGAGATCACATCGTCTTGTTCACATGTGACACCTGGACCAGTGCCTTTTACTTTCAGTGCAGGGCAAATACACAGCAACTTACTCAAATCCATGCATGATATCCTCAGATGGGCCCTAATTGCTGCCAGTGAGCACACTATCTTTCCCCTAGTCCCTCGACACTGTCATTCTTGTCTTGCTGCACGTTCTCGGTGGTGTGGCTGGGACCCCTATCCAATCCTTGGCTGGCTTTAGAGCTCTGCATCTAGGGAGACCATCGGCTTTATTGTTCATGCCAGGATGGCTCTGAGAGTGAAAGGAGGAGCTACTAACAATTAAGCAGGGGTAACAGGCACAAACTGGGCCTTTTCTGAACAAAATAGGACCCATAGTCTCTCTACCTACACCTCTCCGCTAAAGGGTCATTTTGCCAGCACCATGTCACCCCCTGGCCAGTCAGGAGTACACTAAATTTTCTAGATGTCTTCCATTACCACTCAGGAACTGAAGGAGACTCCGGGGAGACTCAACCTGTGACTAAACATTTCATGGCACTAATTCCACTTTCACTCTCATGTGGCTTCTCTGGGTTGCTGCTGATGGAGGTGGGATCCCTATGAGGCGCTTTCCTCTGGGAGCTCTGCGTGGGATGGGAGCAAAAGCTCCTTTTCTGCTTTTGGCTTTCCCTGAAAGCCTCCCTGCCCTGGAGAGCAACCACCATCATGAATTTCATGGCTCGCTGCCCGCTTCCTTTGTCCTGGCGCCAGGAGAGGGAGAAGGCTTTCCACATCCTGGCTGGACATGCCCTGTGGTGCACATCCTCCTGAGGACACTAGACCGAGGTGCAGCCTTACTGGAGAAAGGAGCATCCTCTCCATGTTATAGAAGATGTGCTATGGGTTAGGACCCCGGGCTTGGCCCTGGAAATGTTATGGGGACTAAATCAATTTGGAAAATCTTCATCTCTCTCCACTAAGGGTGGCTGTCAAAACAAAAGACTAAGCTAAAAATAATAATAACCCTACTTTAATCATGAAAAGATGAGCATGAATGCTTTCTCTTGCACTCCTGCTAATCACTCACCTGCCATACCACTGCTGTCAAATCCGCAGGGCAAACAGCTCTGCTGACAAAGCAGATGGTGAAGTACAGAGAATGGCAAAAGAGAAATGCACATTAACATTTGCAAAAGTGTATTACCACTGTTTGATGAGGAAAATGAGTTTTATAATAAAAGTATGTGGCCAGCCATGGTGGCTCACACCTCTAATCCCAGCTCTTTAGGAGGCTGAGGCAGGAGCGTTGCTTGAGCCCAGGAGTTCAAGGCCAGCCTGGGTAACATAGTGAGACTCTGTCTCTACAAAAAAATTAATAATTAGGTGGCTGTGGGGTTGTGTGCCTGTAGTTCCAGGTAGTTGGGAGGCTGAGGCCAGAGGATTACTTGCAGCCTGTACTTGGCCTGGGTGACAGAGCAAGACCCTATCTCAAAAACAAACAAACAAAAAAAACCAATGGTATAAAAATGAATTCAAATTCAACTACTTGACTTGGCCACTTCAAAAGAATTCATTCTTCCATTTACTTTTTATTATTTATTTTTTTAATTACTATTTTTTTGAGATGGAGTCTTGCTCTGTTGCCCAGGCTGGAATGCAGTGGTGCGATCTTGGCTCACTGCAACCTCTGCCTCCTGGGTTGGAGTAATTCTCCTGCCTCAGCCCCCTGAGTGGCTGGGATTACAGGTGCGTGCCACCACGTCCGGCTATTTTTGTATTTTTAGTAGAGATGAGGTTTCATCATGTTGGACAGGCTGGTCTAGAACTCCTGACCTCAGGTGATCCACCCGCCTTGGCCTCCCTAAGTGCTGGGATTACAGGCATGAGCCACCACGCCCAGCCACATTCTTCCTTTTAAACATTATTTTAAGAATTAGATATTACAAAATGTTATCCCCTCTAAAATAGTCACTGTTGTTTTCAGTGTTTCCATTTTGAAATGTATCCTTCCAAATTATTTTTAAAAATATACATATACATATACGTGTGTGTACATACAAACTCATAGAAATATGCAGCTTATGTGTGTTTTTATAAATGGTGTCAATAAACAATATATTATTAAGATCTACTGATGCTGACACTGTAACCAAACAATATCTTGAAATACTAATCTTTGTGGGTACTTTCCTCGTTTCATCATTGTATTAATGTCTCCTATTCAGTCAAGGACCTCCAAGTTGACTTGAGAAGAATACAGATTCTCTGAGTAGTAATTAAAAGAGAACAAAAACTCTGTGTGTGTGTGTGTGTGTGTGTGTGTGTGGTGTATATTTTCTACTTGAGAATCACATAGGAAGGCCCTAAGGAGGGCAAGGAAAGCATAGAATTTATGTCATAACAATAGACCAGAGAGAGACTTTAAAAAAAAAGGTAATTATGGCTTCCCCAAAACCTTTCATAATATGACTGTCTAAGAAGACTATTGGATCAATGCTTTAAGGATATGACACAGAAGTCAGAAACATAAATGTCTGTGGAGGCTAGGCAGATGCTATAAATGCCCAGATCAGGATGAATGGCAACCAACCACTTACGCCTTTAGTGTTAGGGACACAATACACAGTGGTGTGGACCACGGCAGACCCGAGACTGGAAGGCAGCTGTTCCTCAGTTACAGTCACTTATTGCTATTGTAAAATGCAAGCTCTTCCCATTTTTACAGAGAAGCAGAAAGAAAAAAAAAACAAACCCTGATCTTTTGATGTAAAAATCTCTTGATTTTTAAGAGTTGATTATTCAAAATCCAAAGTTTCAGAAACAAAACAATACACTGTGCAGGCCAACGCTTGGCCAGTCCCACTGCAGGCTGAATTTGTATCTCAGGGATTGGGATGAGTCAGCAACTCTAATCTACCTCCGTGCATGTTCCTCTGCTGACACAACTGATGTCTCAGTGAAACATTCCGTGACAAATTAATATGTAGAACACAGACAGCTTTTTAAAGCTAAAGGGTTTTTTTCATACAGAAAAATATAACTGGTAATTGGGGCTATTTCCTAGCTTCCATTTACATTTTGGAATGGGTTTCTGAAACAGGATACGGCAAAACCACACACTGAACTATCTTTTTCATTTCTTAGGCATTTTCAAATTTATCAGAAGAGTTTCAAACTGTGTCACCTTGGAAATATATTGGCCACTATACTTCATGTCCTCTGAATGAGGGAAGATGCCCCAGCAGTATCCAGAGAGGGGACACAGGCTCATGGTTCCAGAGAAGAAGAGTTCTTCTGAAGGTATCTTGTGACAAGTATCTGTCATAGAACATCTGGGGAAGCAAATCCTGATCTTGAATCAGCCCACCGCAAGACTGCATGTTCTAAGGGCTGAAGGTCGAAGTAAAGACGCCTTAAGGATAACTATCTTAAAGGAGGCTAAGGAATGAGCCGCTGTTGTCTCTGCTCTCCTTTGCAAGAAGACATGCAGCGGCACAATACTGGTTTAGGATATGGTGCATTTAACCATCGGCCGTTTTCACCAAACTCTATCTAAAACTGAACACAGCTACTTGGGAGGTTGAGGCAGAAGGATCACTTGGGCCCAGGAATTCAAGGCTATGACTGCAGCTGTGAATAGCCACTGCAGCAGCCTGAGCAACACAGGGAGACCCTGTTTCTTAAACCAACAAACAAACTGAACAAAGCAACCAGAGATTATAAATACAGAATCAATCCTTCCCCCATAAAAGTGAAGTTTGTTTTTTAACTGTTAGGGTTAGGAGCAGAAATTTAAGAGTGCTGAACAATTTTTAAGAATGGACTGCCAAGATGGAAATATTGATGACACATGCTCTGTATAAAAAACAATGATTGATGACCTCTTGCTAAACAAACTCATTGTTTTAAAAATCAAGATGTTCTGGGATTCAGGTACATGAAGTTTATGAAGAGGATCATCCTACCTTGAAGATGAAATCAGCCATCAGAGGTCCTGGAATCTTAAAAGTTTGCCTCTCGGAGCCCCTCTGAAATTCCACTGTTGTGTTTTCTACGAGAAAGACGCCGGGGCTGTTAAAGCTGTGTTCTCCTTTGCTTCCTTGAAGTGTTTTTGATTCAATAACTAAAATTAAAATATATGATTCAAATAAGAAACAATCTTAAAGGTATTTTATTACAAAAGACATTTTAGCAAATACAATGTCAGTATATGATATCAAAACAATGTCAAAATAGCCACTCAGTTTACAAACATTCATTGATATTGGTGGAATAGATATATCAGATTTTTAATTGCCCGTAACAAAAGGAGCTAACAAGGGTGGCAGGCCCAAATAGTTCTACTCAAATATTTGGAGCCATTTCTAGCATAAGGGGAAAGAGAAAACTTTTCTTTCTTTATATGTTTTCATGATTTAGCTAATACTCAAAGTAAAGCTATGTTCACTCATTTTATTACTTGTTCAAAAGATCTTATGCCTACTCTTTTAGACAAAAATCACAGCAAATTTCAAATTTGCTTTTTATCAAACAAAACTTTTGATTTTGAAATAATTTCAGATTAACAGGAAGTTGCAAAAATAGTATAGAGAGGTCCTTTGTAACCTTCATTCCCTTTTGTCTAATGTTTACATGTTACAAAAGTATAGTTGAATATCAAAACCAGGAAATTGACACTGGTACAATATGTGCATATAGTTCAATGCCATTTTATCACCCACCACCACAATCAAAATACAGAACCACTCCATTGCCACAAAGACCTCCCTTGTGCATGAAACCCCTTTATGTGAATTTGCTTTCACATGAACAAAAGTGCTTTTAAGATTTCCTACAGAAAAAAAGTTTGCTTATCACAGTTTAAACAAAAAAACATTTGTACTTTATTTAAATTTCTGTCTTTCCTCCCTCTTTCTTTTCTTTCTTTTATTTTCTAAGTGTCACCACACTTAGTAGATCTGGTTTCATGTTGAGAGAGGCAACAAAAAATGTATATACAGCTAGGTTCTGGGGCACCTGCGTTTCTGGCCCCGTATTTTTCTCTAACTTTCTGCCTTGGGTTTTCATTGCCTCATACCTAAAATGAGGAGTCAGAGCAGACAATCTCTCAGGTCCAGCTCTATTCTAAAACCCACACTTGATTCAATGATATCATACCAGTCTTTAAAAATCTCAAACAAAGAACACAGAAGAACCAAAACTCCGTTGAGTGTCAAAAATGGAAAGCTGATAAAATGCAACAAAATCGTCCAGCATTAGGGAGCTTCCATCCATAGCCTGCTGGGCTTTGGTTGTTTTCATTTGCTGGATTTTTCTCTGTCACTGGAGCAGCTGCAGGAATTCAAGTGCCCTGGACAGACTGCATAACAGGCCTTAGGAGACATCCCTGATTATCCCTGACAGGCAGGCTGGGAACTTTTCTGGGAAAATTCAAAGGCTGGACATGAGCTACTTGATCTGGAGGAGTCATTAGTGGTCGAAGAATAATGCTGGCTACTTGCAGGCATACAAAACCCCAACCACTTTGGCCCTGATCTCCATGACCGCAATAGATTTTTGGAAAGTGTGAGATTAAATTCATTTCCTAGTTCCAATGAAGATATAAAACTGAGTGTTATAAAGTGAGTTGTCAGTAAAAATGAAATGGGGAACTAGAGATAGTAAATGGGCCCTACAATGGATGTCTCTAAAGTCCATGAGAAAAAAAAATGATAAGCAATAAGAGCATTAAGGCAATATTAAGATGCAAAGTTCAGTGGAACATAACACATCCTCACAGAAGGCATGCAAAATACAAGTTTCTAGACACTGATTTAGCCTGAAATGACTTGATTAAATTCAAGTAGCGTGCAATGGATTCCGCGGCTGTGTTGGAGTAGTAATTGCTTTACCATTGTGCTAACCTTCTGGACCACAGCGTTCCAAGTTGCAGATCGGGATGCAGAATTGGGGCAAGGGGTGTAAAAATCTGGGAAGGTGATCTGGGAGGAAGGGAGGACCAGTTGCTACGATATCCATTCCCTAAACCATAGGCCAGCATTTTTGTTAACTTGGTTTTGATACTTTGTTTTTAATACAGAATCTAGCCACTATTTTAATGGTGTCTAAGAGTCTCAGTGACATGGATATAAAAACACAAGTAGCAAAAACAATTTTCAAGTTCACATAAATTACCCAAACCACTCTGCTTCTCCACTAAATGGTACGCTTATTGTAAAATATTTTTAATTTGAGTATTTCAAAAGGCTTCCAGTTCTCTAAAGCACAAACACTGGTTGCCTATCTAGGAGGCAGAAAGCAGGTGTTTTGACCTCAATTGTGTAAATGGGTAAGCAGAGTCAAAGGTGGGTGAAGAAAGACTGGTGAAGTGATTTGGTGAAGGTGGAGTTTATGGATGCAAACAATTCTGATAATCTGGATTAACAAAGCCACTGTGCCCAATCCACAGCAAGGTGGAGGCCGATGCAGTTCTTTAAAAGTTGTCATTTTTATTGGTGGCAAACTTGCTTCTTTGTGCTGGTGCCTCTTAAAAATAAATGACAAAAAAAGGAGTTTGTGGTGTTTCAATCAACAATTCAGATGATGTATTGACTTATGGATACCTTTAAGTTTTTATTAATTTCCACCATTTCCCTATATTTACTGTAGCCCCATGTTGTTCACAATGTGTGATTCATAGCTAGTGAGAGCTGCATGCACAAGCCCTTCGGTTCTCAGAGGTTTCACTGACCCTCTGTGGTTTCCGCAGCAAGGTGGTTAGTGTGTAGGCGACCCCAGGAAGCCTATAAGCATCCCCACCAGAATTAAGGGAAGAGAGTGTGAGCCTTCTTTCCTGCTGCCCACGGCCCAACTTCTTTCTCCTCTCCAGACTTAATATTGAGGGGAGGGAGGGAAGTGTTGAGGAAGATATGATAGGTAGTCTCAAAAAGAGTAAAAATTAGAAATCAAGACTTTCTTGTATCCCAAAATCTTCACAACTCAGGTCTCTAGTGATGCCTTTAAATATTTTAATCCACTACTAGTTATTTGTAAAAGAAATTATGCCTAGAAAATGATGAATGCTTCTAATTGCTTCTAGTTGAAGGATCTGCACTGAGAAGTATCAGTTCAGGCTTCTTTCAAAAAAGGCAGGGTCATGGTAACCATCCCCAAGAGGTCTCCCTAAATTCTAAAGGCCATGAAAGTACTGTCAGGTAAATGTGGAATGAGTGTTTAGCATGGCTAACATAGTTATAAATACATCAAACTTATATGTACAGTAGAGCTGTATTTCTATAGCATATGCTAATTTCATTCATGTCAATTTCCTTTGACTGGTCATCAGGTACTGCATCCATGCTTATATTTATACATCTCTATATATGGTCCTCAGATAGGGCTTAAAGGGAAAATATTCTTCCAACTGAATTGGAGGTTTTTGGTTTATGACCTCTTGGCTTCTTAAGTTTACTGCTAGTTAAACACATTTAATGCTAAGGTTTTGCTACAATAAAATCTGTTTTGCAGGGATCTGCTTATTGCTTCCATTTTTGAAGGGATGCACTCCTGGAAAATTTGGGGCTGTGTGCTCCCCATAATGCTGTGGCCAGGCTTGGGACAGGACTGGAAATTCAGGATCTAAACAAACACCTCTAGGCAGTATGTAAGATGGATATTCTGTAATTAAAATTCACTTCACAGCAAAGAGACTGACATTGATGTTGCTGGGTATTTTCAGTTCTTAGTAATGCAGTCTTTTGGATAGTTATAGTTAATGTGGATATTAAAAGAATGATTTATTACTGCAAAATAAGCTTCATTTCAGAAATATCTCTTTTACAAATAAAAACTAAGAAAAAAGTTGCATAAATCCAGAAAATAAAACCACTTCTATATTTAGATATTCAGAAATGTTAACTAAGTCCTTAGTAAATGAAGCCAGTTCTATTCATCAGCAAAGAAGGATAACTTTCAGAAATACTTCTACTGCCAATTGTGAGATTGTTCAGAAAGGGAAATAGTCCAAGCAACAGATTTGTCACTCTTGGAGAAATGGGAACATTTCTGAGCCCTGTTCTTGGACGAGTGCCAGTCTTGAATATAAAGTTATGTTGAATATGCCAGAACATATACACATAAATGAATTTTTGCCTCAAAGTGTTCACCTTTACTTATTCTTTTTTTTTATTATACTTTAAGTTTTAGGATACACATACACAATGTGCAGGTTAGTTACATATGTATACATGTGCCATGTTGGTGCGCTGCACACATTAACTCGTCATTTAACATGAGGTATATCTCCTAATGCTATCCCTCCCCACTCCCCCCACCCCACAACAGGACCCGGTGTGTGATGTTCCCCTTCCTGTGTCCATGTGTTCTCATTGTTCAATTCCCACCTATGAGTGAGAACACACAGTGTTTGTTTTTTTGTCCTTGTGATAGTTTGCTGAGAATGATGGTTGCCAGCATCATCCATGTCCCTACAAAGGACATGAACTCATCCTTTTTTATGGCTGCATAGTATTCCATGGTGTATATGTGCCACATTTTCTTAATCCAGTCTATCATTGTTACACATTTGGGTTGGTTCCAAGTCTTTGCTTTTGTGAATAGTGCCACAATAAACATACATGTGCATGTGTCTTTATAGCAGCATGATTTATAATCCTTTGGGTATATACCCAGTAATGGGATTGCTGGGTTAAATGGTATTTCTAGTTCTAGATCCTTGAGGAATCACCACACTGTCTTCCACAATGGTTGAACTAGTTTACAGTTCCACCAACAGTGTAAAAGTGTTCCTATTTCTCCACATGCTCTCCAGCACCTGTTGTTTCCTGACTTTTTAATGATCACCATTCTAACTGGTGTGAGATGGTATCTCATCATGGTTTTGATTTCATTTCTCTGATGGCCAATGATGATGAGCATTTTTTCATGTGTCTTTTGGCTGCATAAATGTCTTCTTTTGAGAAGTGTCTGTTCATATCCTTCACCCACTTTTTGATGGGGCTGTTTTTTTCTTGTAAATTTGTTTGAGTTCATTGTAGATTCTGGATATTAGCCCTTTGTCAGATGAGTAGATTGCAAAAATTTTCTCCCATTCTGTAGGTTGCCTGTTCACTCTGATGGTAGTTGCTTTTGCTGTGCAGAAGCTCTTTAATTTAATTAGATCTCATTTGTCAATTTTGGCTTTTGTTGCCATTGCTTTTGGTGTTTTAGACATGAAGTCTTTGCCCATGCCTATGTCCTGAATGGTATTGCCTAGGTTTTCTTCTAGGGTTTTTATGGTTTTAGGTCAAACATTTAAGTCTTTAATCCATCTTGAATTAATTTTTGTATAAGGTGCAAGGAAGGGATCCAGTTTCAGCTTTCTACATATGGCTAGCCAGTTTTCCCAGCACCATTTCTTAAATAGGGAATTGTTTCCCCATTTCTTGTTTTTGTCGGGTTTGTCAAAGATCAGATGGTTGTAGATATGCGGCATTATTTCTGAGGGCTCTGTTCTGTCCCATTGGTCTATATCTCTGTTTTGGTACCAGTACCATGCTGTTTTGGTTACTGTAGCCTTGTAGTATAGCTTGAAGTCAGGTAGCGTGATGCCCCCAGCTTTGTTCTTTTGGGTTACGATTGACTTGGCAATGTGGGCTCTTTTTGGTTCCATATGAACTTTAAAGTAGTTTTTTCCAATTCTGTGAAGAAAGTCATTGGTAGCTTGATGGGGATGGCGTTGAATCTATAAATTACCTTGGGCAGTATGGCCATTTTCACGATACTGATTCTTCCTACCCACGAGCATGGAATGTTCTTCCACTTGTTTGTATCCTCTTTTATTTCATTGAGGAATGGTTTGTAGTTCTCCTTGAAGAGGTCCTTCATGTCCCTTGTAAGTTGGATTCCTAGGTATTTTATTCTCTTTGAAGCAATTCTGAATGGGAGTTCACTCATGATTTGGCTCTCCGTTTGTCTGTTATTGGTGTATAAGAATGCTTGTGATTTTTGCACATGATTTTGTATCCTGAGACTTTGCTGAAGTTGCCTATCAGCTTAAGGAGATTTTGGGCTGAGACGATGGGGTTTTCTAGATATACAATCATGTCATCTGCAAACAGGGACAATTTGACTTCCTCTTTTCTTAATTGAATACCCTTTATTTCTTTCTCCTGCGTGATTGCCCTGGCCAGAACTTCCAACACTATGTTGAATAGGAGTGGTGAGAGAGGGCATCTCTGTCTTGTGCCAGTTTTCAAAGGGAATGCTTCCAGTTTTTGCCCATTCAGTATGATATTGGCTGTGGGTTTGTCATAGATAGCTCTTATTATTTTGAGATACGTTCCATCAATACCTAATTTATTGAGAGTTTTTAGCATGAAGCGTTGTTGAATTTTGTCAAAGGCTTTTTCTGCATCTATTGAGATAATCATGTGGTTTTTGTCTTTGGTTCTATTTATATGCTGGATTACGTTTATTGATTTGCGTATGTTGAACCAGCCTTGCATCACAGGGATGAAGCCAACTTGATCATGGTGGATAAGCTTTTTGATGTGCTGCTGGATTTGGTTTGCCAGAATTTTATTGAGGATTTTTGCATTGATGTTCATCAGGGATATTGGTCTAAAATTCTCTTTTTTGGTTGTGTCTCTGCCAGGCTTTGGTATCAGGATGATGCTGGCCTCATAAAATGAGTTAGGGAGGATTCCCTCTTTTTCTATTGATTGGAATAGTTTCAGAAGGAATGGTACCAGCTCCTCCTTGTACTTCTGGTAGAATTCAGCTGTGAATCCATCTGGTCCTGGACTTTTTTTGGTTGGTAGGCTATTAATTATTGCCTCAATTTCAGAGCCTGTTATTGGTCTATTCAGAGATTCAACTTCTTCCTGGTTTAGTCTTGGGAGGGTGTATATATCAAGGAATTTATCCATTTCTTCTAGATTTTCTAGTTTATTTGCTTAGAGGTGTTTATAGTATTCTCTGATGGTAGTTTGTATTTCTGTGGGATCGGTGGTGATATCCCCTTTATCATTTTTTATTGCATCTATTTGATGCTTCTCTCTTTTCTTTATTAATCTTGCTAGCAGTCTATCAATTTTGTTGATCTTTTCAAAAAACCAGCTCCTGGATTCATTGATTTTTTTGAAGGGTTTTTTGTGTTTCTATTTCCTTCAGTTCTGCTCTGATCTTAGTTATTTCTTGCCTTCTGCTAGCTTTTGAATGTGTTTGCTCTTGCTTCTCTAGTTCTTTTAATTGTGATGTGAGGGTGTCAATTTTAGATCTTTCCTGCTTTCTCTTGTGGGCATTTAGTGCTATAAATTTCCCTCTACATACTGCTTTGAATGTGTCCCAGAGATTCTGGTATGTTGTGTCTTTGTTCTCATTGGTTTCAAAGAACATCTTTATTTCTGCCTTCATTTCGTTATGTACCCAGTAGTCATTCAGGAGCAGGTTGTTCAGTTTCCATATAGTTAGCAGTTTTGAGTGAGTTTCTTAATCCTGAGTTCTAGTTTGATTGCACTGTGGTCTGAGAGACAGTTTGTTATAATTTCTGTTCTTTTACATTTGCTGAGGAGTGCTTCACTTCCAACTATGTGGTCAGTTTTGGGTGTGGTGTGGTGCTGAAAAGAATGTATATTCTGTTGATTTGGGGTGGAGAGTTCGGTAGATGTCTATTAGGTCTGCTTGGTGCAGAGCTGAGTTCAATTCCTGGATATCCTTGTTAACTTTCTGTCTCATTGATCTGTCTAATGTTGACAGTGGGTTGTTAAAGTCTCCCATTATTATTGTATGGGAGTCTAAGTCTCTTTGTAGGTCTCTAAGGACTTGCTTTATGAATCTGGGTGTTCCTGTATTGGGTGCATATATATTTAGGATAGTTAGCTCTTCTTGTTGAATTGAACCCTTTACCACTATGTAATGGCCTTCTTTGTCTCTTTTGATCTTTGTTGGTTTAAAGTCTGTTTTATCAGAGACTAGGATTGCAACCCCTGCCTTTTTTTGTTCTCCATTTGCTTGGTAGGTCTTCCTCCATCCCTTTATTTTGAGCCTATGTGTGTCTCTGCACGTGAGATGGGTTTCCTGAATACAGCACACTGATAGGTCTTGACTCTTTATCCAATTTGCCAGTCTGTGTCTTTTAAGTGGGGTATTTAGCCCATTTACATTTAAGGTTAATATTGTTATGTGTGAATTTGATCCTGTCATTATGATGTTAGCTGGTTATTTTGCCCATTAGTTGATGCAGTTTCTTCCTAGCATCAATGGTATTTACAATTTGGCATGTTTTTGCAGTGGCTGGTACCAGTTGTTCCTTTGCATGTTGAGCTCTTCCTTCAGGAGCTCTTTTAGGGCAGGCCTGGTGGTGACAAAATCTCTCAGCATTTGCTTATCTGTAAAGGATTTTATTTCTCCTTCACTTATGAAGCTTAGTTTGGCTGGATATGAAATTCTAGGTTGAAAATTCTTTTCTTTAAGAATTTTGAATATTGGCCCCCACTCTCTTCTGGCTTGTAGAGTTTCTGCCAAGAGATCTGCTGTTAGCCTGATGGGCTTCCCTTTGTGGGTAACCCGACCTTTCTCTCTGGCTGCCCTTAACAATTTTTCCTTCATTTCAACTTTGGTGAATCTGACAATTATGTGTGTTGCAGTTGCTCTTCTCGAGGAGTATCTTTGTGGCATTCTCTGTATTTCCTGAATTTGAATGTTGGCCTGCCTTGCTAGATTGGGGAAGTTCACCTGGATAATACCCTGCAGAGTGTTTTCCAACTTGGTTCCATTCTCCCCGTCACTTTCAGGTACACCAATCAGACGTAGATTTGGTCTTTTCACATAGTCCCATATTTCTTGGATGCTTTGTCCATTTCTTTTTATTCTTTTTTTCTCTAAACTTCTCTTTTCGCTTCATTTCATTCATTTGATCTTCCATCACGGACACCCTTTCTTCCAGTTGATCGAATTGGCTACTGAGGCTTGTGCATTCGTCACGTTCTCGTGCCTTGGTTTTCAGCTCCATCAGGTTCTTTAAGGACTTCTCTGCATTGGTTATTCTAGTTAGCCATTCGTCTAATTTGTTTTCAAGGTTTTTAACTTCTTTGCCATGGGTTCGGACTTCCTCCTTTAGCTCGGAGTAGTTTGATTGTCTGAAGCCTTCTTCTCTCAACTCGTCAAAGTCATTCTCCATCCAGCTTTGTTCCGTTGCTGGTGAGGAGCTGTGTTCCTTTGGAGGAGGAGAGGTGCTCTGATTTTTAGAGTTTCCAGTTTTTCTCCTGTTTTTTCCCCATCTTTGTGGTTTTATCTACCTTTGGTCTTTGATGATGGTGACGTACAGATGGGGTTTTGGTGTGGATGTCCTTTCTGTTTGTTAGTTTTCCTTCTACAAGTCAGGACGCTCAGCTGCAGGTCTGTTGGAGTTTGCTGGAGGTCCACTCCAGACCCTGTTTGCCTGGGTATCAGCAGCGGAGGCTGCAGAACAGAGGATATTGGTGAACAGCAAATGTTGCTGCCTGATCGTTCCTCTGGAAGTTTTGTCTCAGATGAGTACCTGGCCGTGTGAGCTGTCAGTCTGCCCCTACTAGGGGGTGACTCCGGGGTCAGGGACCCACTTGAGGAGGCAGTCTGTCCATTCTCAGATCTCAAGCTGCGTGCTGGGAGAACCACTACTCTCTTCAAAGCTGTCAGACAGGGACATTTAAGTCTGCAGAGGATTCTGCTGCCTTTTGTTTGGCTGTGCCCTGCCCCCAGAAGTGGAGTCTACAGAGGCAGGCAGGCACCCCTAGGTGGAGTAGGTGGAGTCTACAGAGGCAAGCCTCAGCAATGGTGGGTGCCCCTCCCCCAGCCTCGCTGCCACCTTGCAGTTTGATCTCAGACTGCTGTGCTAGCAATGAGCAAGGCTCCGTGGGCATAGGACCCTCTGAGCCAGACGTGGGATATAATCTCCTGGTGTGCCATTTGCTAAGACCATTGGAAAAGCACAGTATTAGGGTGGGAGTGACCCGATTTTCCAGGTGCCGTCTGTCACCCCTTTCTTTGACTAGGAAAGGGAATTCCCTGACCCATTGCGCTTCCCGGGTGACGCGATGCCTTGCCCTGCTTTGGCTCAGGCTCAGTGTGCTGCACCTACTGTCCTGCACCCACTCTCCGACACTCCCCAGAGAGAGGAACCCGGTACCTCAGTTGGAAATGCAGAAATCACCCGTCTTCTACGTCACTCATGCTGGGAGCTGTAGACTGGAGCTATTCCTATTCGGCCATCTTGGCTCCACCTCCCTCACCTTTACTTATTCTATTTATTGCTTACTTATTCTGTTTTTACAATTTATAAAACTAGTTTTGGAGCTGAATTTTGGGGAATGGCCTTTAATATCATGAGAATATCAAGACCATCCATTGCATTTTTTTGTTTTTTAAGCATCTTTTCCATATATACTTTGCATGCCATAAACTTTGCCCTTTTAAAATGCATAATTTAATGGTTTCAGTGTATTCCCAGAGTGAAATCATCACAATAATCTATTTATTATTTGAAAATCACAGTATTCTGGGAAAACAGTGTCAGCCTTCAGGGACCCCTACATGGGAAGCTGTGATGTGCTAGCAGCAAGGCTTGTTCTGATCGGCCATATTCACTGATAAGGTTTTGTATTTTAAATTTTGTTTTGTTTTGTCCCACTTTGCTAAAATCTCCAGAACATTCCCAAATCTTACTTTACTCTCCATATACTATTATTATTTTAGAGACATGGTCTTCCTGTGTCACTCAGGCTGGAGTGGCAGATTGCAGTGGTGCAATCAGAGCTCACTGCAACCTTGAACTCCTAGGCGCAAGGAGTAGCATGGACTACATGCCTGTAGTAGCCAAGCTACTCCCTGGACTACCTCAACCTCTTGAGTAGCTTGGACTACAGGCGTGCGCCACTATGCCTAGCTAATTTTTTTTTTTAATTTTTCGTAGAGATGGGGTCTTCCTGTGCTGCCCAGGCTTGTCTCAAACTCCTAGACTCAAGTGATCCTCCTGCCACAGCCTCTCAAAGAGCTGGCATTACAGGCGTGAACCACCACACCCAGCCATCCTATACAAAAATAGTTTATTTGACATAAAATTTGGTTTTTATTCTCCCATGAGGGGATTAATCTTAAACAGGCAAATTTCCCATTGGGGTATGAGAACAGAAAAATTCAGGGTACAATACAGATAATTTCCCTGGTTATATAGACTATTTTGCCCACTACAGAATAGTTGGGGGTACCCAACAGGGTACCACCACCCCCATGAATGGAAATAAGGGAAAATCTTGAATTCCTTCAAGAGAAATTCCAGGCATCTAGCTAGCCTTGAGAAGTAATGAGCAACTTCACAGGCAACAAGGTAATAGTGGATTAAAACAATAGCCAGAAAAAGTTAGAGTCACAGGATGTATGGTTCCCTATAGAAACTGAAGATAACATTTTAACATATGTCCCTGGGTAGTTTTTCAGGAAATCTAGATCCCTACCAAATGGATCCACCGGCACAGAGACCTCCGGTAAGAGGGAACTGAGGCTGAACTCTGACTGCCTTTCTTTGTCCTACATTTCTTCCTGAGGCACCTGGAGGAGATCACGCCCAAGGGCCAGATCTAACATTCTTTTCTGCTGACTCCAAGTCTTTAGGCAAAACTTCCCTCTCTTAACCAATTGCAAATCAGAAAATATTTGAATCTACCTATGGTCTGTAAGCCCCCACTTCAAGATATTCCACCTTTTCAGGTCAAACCAGTGCGTAGCCTCCAGTATTAATTTGTGACTTTGCCTGTAACTTCTATCTCCCTGTCTTTAAAAATCCTTACATGTAACACATCTGGGAGTTCAGGTCTTAAGCATGAGCTGTTTGATTCTCCTTGCTTGGTGCTCTGCAATAAATGCCTCACTGTCTCTGGCTGCAAATCCTAATGTCAGTGTTTAGCTTTGCTGTGCCAAGTAAGTGGACGCAAGTTCAGTAACATTACCCATTAACTTAGAGAAAGTTTTTTTGCTTGTTGGTTTGGTTTGTGGGTTTTTTGTTTTTTGTTTTTTTTGGCTAACTAAACTTTCAGGATATTAAAAAATGTTAAGATTAAATTCTACTTACAGAGGTGGGCAGGTCCTTTCACTGTAATTCTCACACTTCGACTTCCCAAAGGAACAGCAATTACATTTTCTTCTCCTGGGAAAGAACAGAACGCAACTGCAATAAAACCAGTACACTAAAGGCCCATGAAAATGAGCAAGTCAATCAAAACTGGGGGCGTCTGCAAAATATTCTTAACTATATTTCATTTCTGTAATCCTAGCACTTCAGGAGGCCAAGGCAGGCAGATCACTTGAGGTCAGGAGTTCGAGACCAGCCTGGCCAAGATGGTGAAACCCCATCTCTACTAAAAATACAAAAATTAACCAGGTGTGATGGCGTGTGCCTGTAGTCCCAGCTACCCGGGAGGCTGAGGCAGGAGAATTGCTGGAACCCAGGAGATGGAGTCTGCAGTGAGCTGAGAACGTGCCACTGGACTCCAGCCTGGGCAACAGAGTAAGACTCTATCTCAAGAAAAAAATAAATAAATCTTTGGAAATCACAAACTATGTGTAAAGCAGATGAATATTACATAATTTCATTTAAATACACCCTTAAATAACATTAAAGAAACGTTTAAAGTAAATGCACTGCCTACCTCAATTACCTTTACTCTCATGGCCCAATCCATGTGCTTTGATGAGGGTCTGCAAACTGTGGCCCCTGGGCCAAATCTAGCCACATCTCTTCATTCATTTAAGGCTGTTTATGCTCTTCAAGGTAGAATTGAGTTGTAGTAATGAAGACCATATGGCTCAATAAGGCTAAAATATTTACTTTACTATCTGACTTTTCACAGAAAAATTTCATGATCCTTGGCCTAGACAATTACCTACTGGAAATCCTGGTCCTCAGAGATGTTTTTTCACACTGCTACATACACTGATAATTTAATTTCTGTGTTCACATAATAATCTAAGCTCATATATGATATTTTATCTCACTAGTCCCCTCTCTGAAGATTGTCTGTTTCTAAATGAAACTAGAACATTATCAATGATACGAATTACTTCAAGCAGATGTTTTTGTCTAACTTACGCAAAACAATTTTTTTTGGATAAACTCTCCAGAGTGAAATTAGTGAAGCAAAGGATATCAATATATTGATTGACTAGTTTGCAAGTTTTTATTAAATAGAAATACCTGTTTATTATTAAAAATTAGAAAATGTAGATAAACAAAAATACAAAATAAATCTTTTTCTAACCCTATTGCCCAGAGATAATCACTTCTAACACTTTGATGAATGTCCATTCCAGATTTTTTGTTTGTTTAACATGTATACATGTAAAAGGAAAGACTGAACCGTACCTAAATGTCCATCAATATGGGAAAGATTACATAAACAAGAACATCCATACTCAGGAATACTCTACAACTGATAAAAGTAATGATAAGAAGCTATATGACCTAACGTGGAAAGCCTGCCAATATACACATTGAAGACTTTAAAAAAGGAAGGTTAAAAAATAGGGCAGTGGTATCTTGGATATGACACTAAAAGCACAGGAAACACATGAAAAAAAACTAAATTTGACCAAATCAAAATCAAACCTTTGTGCACAAAAGGACACTATGAACAGAATGAAGAGGCAACCCACGGAATGGGGGAAAACATTTGCAAATCACATCTTGGAAAGGGGTTATTATCTAGCATATATAAAGAATACTTGTAACTCAACAACAACAAAAAACAACCTATTCAATAAAAAGGACAAAAGGACTTGGATTTCTCCAAAACAGCTATACAAATGGCCAATAAGCACATGAAAATGCTCAGTATCAATAATTATTAGGGAATTGAAAATCAAAACCACAATCAGGTACCACTTCACACCTATTAGGATGAGAATTACACACAAAAAAAATAACAAAACAAGCAGAAAATAACAAGTATTGGTGAGGATGTGGCGAAAAGAACCCTTGTGAACTGGTGGTGAAAATGTTAAATGGTACAACTACCATGGAAAATAGTATGGCAAGTCCTCAAGATATTAAACATAGAATTACCATATGATCCAGCAATTCCACCTCTAGGAATATACCCAAAAGAATTGAAAGCAGGGACACAAACAGACATTGGTACATTGATGATCATGGCAGCATTATTCCCAATAGACGAAAGGAAGAAACAACCTAAGTATCTGTCTATGGATGAATGGATAAGGCTGTTTTTGCTCTACAAAGGCAGAATTGAGTCATGGTAGTGAAGATCATACAGCTCAATAAACCTAAAATATTTACTGTGCTATCTGGGCTTTCACAGAAAAAATTCGTGATCCTTGGCCTAGACAATTACCTACTGGAAATCATGGTTCTCACAGATGTTTTTTGGTATATACCTACAATGGATTCTTATTTAGCTTTTTTTAAAAAAAAGGAGGGGGCCAGGCATGGTGGCTCCCATCTATAGTCTTAGCAGTTTGGGAGGCCAAGGCAAGAGGATGGCTTGAGCCCAGGAGTTCGAGACCAGTCGGGGCAACATAGGGAAACCTGGTCACTACCAAAAAATTTTATAATTTTTTTTTAATGTGGGTATGGTGGTGTGTGCCTGTAATCCCAGCTACTTGGGAGTCTGGGGTGGGAGGATCACTTGAGCCCAGGAGGTTGAGGCTGCAGTGAACTATGATCAACCCATTGCACTCCAGCCTGGGTAACACAGTGAGAGCTTGTCTCAGGGGGAAAAAAAAAAAAAAGGAAAGGAAAGGAAATGATGCATACTACAGCATCAGTCATTTTAAGGAGGCTAGCAAACAGCTCATCGTTTTTGAAAACTGGTAAGTAAAGAAAAGATTAATGCATTCATCATGCTTTGTTGTTTTTCTTTTGTTTTGTTTTGTTTTTGTTTTTTGAGACAGGGTCTCACTCTGTCACCCAGGCTGGAGTGCAGTGGCCTGATCTAGGCTCACTGCAGCCTCTACCTCCTGGGCTCAAGCAATCCTCCCAACTCAGCCTCCTGAGTAGCTGGGGCCACAGTTGCATGCCAGCATGCCTGGCTAATTTTTGAATTTTTTGTAGAGACTAATTTGAACAAACAAGCAAAAGTGATAAAGACTTCTGAAAAATCCTCTCCTCCATAAAATCAGTAAAAACATGGTCAGAACCAACATTTTTAAAACTCTGGAAATTAACCAAAGGCTTGCAACAATCTGAGCAGTAATTATCAAAGAAAAATGCTCAGTAAGAACAGTGAGCTTTGTGGCATGCTAAGCTGCCTATTTCCATCTCTCCCCATTCTCCACCTCCATGGTAACCTTGAAAACAACAGCCCGTAATCATAGTGCAAACCAGCAGCCTGGCAGACTTTGCAGGGGTAGAATGGGTTTGGAGCTCCTTCAATGCCCAATTCCCAATTATTATTTGACCTGTGTAGTGGTTCCCTGGAAGACTTCACTCACAAAGCTGTCTTTGGTTTATCTAACTGGGAGTTTGCCCAGTGTAAACAGCTTTTCCCCAGGAGGCATTTGTCCAAAACAATCAGAGATACTTATATAACATTGAGGCTGCATGAGGTGGTGGATAACAATTGGGGAAAACAATAAGCTAACCAAAAAGCTGGGAATGAGATGTCCACAGGTGGTTTTGAAAAACTCCAACATATTCCTGAAAATCTAGAAGACCGCATGTCTATGTGGGGCTCTGCGTATGCCAGAGCTTTGTGCATGCCCAGAAACAACCTGAGAAGGTCCTAAGCTGTCATCTATGGCTAACCTACAGACTCTAAGGAAGCAGGAAGTAAAGGCCAGAACAAAGTTGTCAATTACCTTGGCTGAGTGTTGAAGGTGTAACCCAACATAGACACATATGCACACACACACAGACACACACACACACAAAGTCCACTAAAAATAACCAACTCTCCATGAAAAACCAGGTAATGCCAGGTCTGGAGTAGGGAAAATTCAAGGTGGGCTTGGAACACCTGTTGCTCTAGAAACCAAGGCAATGTCTAAAATTCAATGGAATTATGACAAAAGAAGACAGTTTAAAGTGCTCCCACTGGCTACATTTTGGACAATTTGAAACCCAAAAAGAATATTGTCAGTAACATATAAAACATTAAATAAATAAAAATCTCTGAATACAGAGTGAGAAATTAAGAAACAGAAACCTTTTTTTAAAAACAGAAGAATGAGTGAAGAAGGAATGATAGAATTAGAAAATAACCGTTTGCAACTCTCTGTGTTAAATACTGTTTCAGGCAAGGATCATCAATGTACACTAAAGCCATTGTGTGAAAGACTGTTGCAAGCCAGAATATTTACACGTTGTCAAGGCATCACTCTGCAGATTTCTTACAGGGAAACATGGATCTATACAACACAGTATGTGTAGTTCACCACCTGTGTGAGTAATACTGGATCAAGCTGACATCATCAACTTCCTGATATGATGCAACATAAATCACGCATCACTTTTGATGTGCTGCTGCCACAAATGTTCAATCCAATTCTAATTAAACCTAAGACCTTGCTGATCAATTCACAGGAATTACGTGAGGGAGATCAACAAATTAATCAAATTAACAAATTTTGTCTGGATTAGACAAATCCAGAATATGGGACATGCTAAAATACAACTGGAATGAACTCTTTACAAAGTCGATACCATGAAAAAATAAGTGCACTAAAAAAAAAGAAACTAAAGAGATAGAAAAACTAAATGCAATGAGTGAGCCTTGACCAGTTCAAGGGGAAAAACAACTATAAAAGGAGAAATTTTAACATAGATTGGATATTAGATAATATTTAGAAATTATAATTTTTTAGGTGTACTAGTGAGATGATGTTATGAAGAAGATCCTTATTTTTAGAAGAGTCATGCTAAAGTATTAATACTTAGAAGTAAGTGTTGTGATGTCTGTAAATTAACAAGGGTCAGCTAGCTAGTTGGATGGAGGAATTAGATAGATAGATAGATAGATAGATAGATAGATAGATAGATAGATAGATAGAGATAGAGTGATAGGGATAATGAACCAATGTAGCAAAATATAAGTAATTAGTGAATCTAGTTGAAAAAATGTACAGTAGTGAATTGTGTTATTTTATCAACTTTTATGTATGCTTGAAAATTTTACACAGTACAATTTTGGAGATAAAACTACATTCCAATGTCATTAACATCTATTTGATACCAAATTCCTAAGTAAAATATTTGAAAAGAAAATTTAATCATAAATTTGAATTATGCACTATATACAAATGAAGTTTACCCAACAAATGCTAGTGTTGCTCAAATTTAGGAAACCTACTAATGTAATTTACTATATTAATAGACAAAGTAGAAAAGTTTGATTACCTCAAATAAGTTTCCAGCATTTAGTAAAATTCAGTCATTATTCCTGATAAAAATTCTGTATATAAAATAAAGTAAATGTTTGTAACACCATTTATAAATGCAAGTCATGATTAATATGCTTAATGCTTAAACATTAGAAACACTGCTGTTTAATTGGGGAAATGATGGGATACCAGTCAGCACCGTATGACTGAAGAGTTTTTAAAAGATTAGCCAAGGTAATTAGGCAAGAAAAAAATAGTCTAAACATTGGAAATCAAGAAGAAATTAATATTAAAAAATTATTAGATTTTAGAAATACCAAGAATAATCATTTAGAAAAATAATGGAAGAAAATGCCCCATTTGCAATGGCTAGAGAAAAGATAGAATATGTTGGAATGAACTTTTAAAAAATGGGCACAACCGGCTGCGCATGGTGGCTCATGCCTGTAATCCTAGCACTTTGGGAAGCTAAGGCGGGAGGATCACCTGAGGTCAGGAGTTCAAGACCAGCCTGGCCAACATGGCGAAACCCCATTTCTACTAAAAAACACAAAATTTAGCTGGGCGTGGTGGGTGCCTGTAATCCCAGCTACTCAGGAGGCTGAGGCTGGAGAATCACTTGAACCCAGGAGGCAGAGGTTGCAGTGAGCCAAGATCACGCCACTGCATTCCAGCCTGGGCGACAGAGTGAGACTCCATTTCCAGCCCCCCAAAAATGGACACAACCTACAAAAACAACATTTAAATCTCTCTCTCTCAAGATATAAAAAAATGCCTTGAGAAAATCGAAGGAAAATATTAATCATTTGAAATAAAAATTAAGCAAAATTAAATGTCAAAGAAGGAAAAATTATAATTATAGGCAAAGACTGTTTTCTTAATATCCAGAGTGTTTACAAATCAGTAAGAAAAAAACACAAATTAGCAGGAGAATTGATCAGACACTTGAAAAACTAGTTCACAGAAAAATCAAAATGTCAAGAAGATTATGAAGAGAGAAGAGAAATTACAGTATCTTTGAGAACTAAAAGCACATAAAGACATGCTTGCACAAAAGTACAAAGTTGTTGTAACACTGAGAGAAAATCTAAATGCTCATTGATATGAGTCTGGTTAAATAAATTATGTAATGTCCTTTTATATCACCAGTTAAAAAACAAGCCAACTGGGTGCAGTGGCTCACGCCTGTAATCCCAGCACTTTAAGAGGCTGAGGCGGGTGGATCACTTGAGGTCAGGAGTTCAAGACCAGCCTGGCCAACATGGTGAAACCCTGTCTCTACTAAAAAATACAAAAATTATCCAGGCATGGTGGCTGGCACCTACAATCCCAGCTACTCAGGAGGTTGAGGCATGAGAATTGCTTGAACCCAGGAGGCGGGGGTCATAGTGAGCCGAGACCATACCACTGAACACCAGCCTGGGCGACAGAGCAAGACTCCATCTCAAAAACAAAAAAAACAAGCCAAATTATGAGAACTGATAGGCAAAAAAACCTCAGTGAATAAAAAGAAATTGTAAAAAAGTTTATACCTAATGATCAATTCTGTATACTTCTCAAAAGCATACATGTTTGTATGGAAAGGTGCACACATACACATCCATAGGAAATATCTTAATAGAAGCAACCATTCATCCTGTTTAGACCTCTAAAAAGTGGAACTGGTTAGGAGTTTGTGGATGGTAGAGGGTGACATTTACTTTCCATTTTATATCCTTCTGTGCCATTTGAAGTTTTTGTAAGTTTAAAAAACTTTTTAAGTTTTATAAAAAGTATGTATTAATTTTACAATATAAATTATCAATATATGTTATGCATCCTCAACCACTTCACCTCATCCCCGGAAGGATACACACTAATATGATAACACATGTAATCTCTTGGCAGTGTGATTGAATACATGACATGTTTGTCAATTTCCTTGCCTGGATATTCTGGATTTTTTTTACAACACATATACAGCATATTATATATGTAATAAAAATTGTTTTGAAAATACATATAAATTAGAAAGCTTTACTGAACTGAAGAAAACCTATTTGGGCATATTGGTTGGGCTCTCTTGCAAAATCTTTGTGAATGTAGGCTGTGGTATCTTGGGGAAGCATTTGTCTAGGGGTGTGTGTGCATATATGTGTATATTCCAACCATTGTCCCATTGATAATTACACACTTTAATGAAACCCTGCAAATCAAATCCCTTGCAGTTGATTTTAGCCAAAAAGCCTCAAACTTGAGGAAAATGTTCTTCTGGGTGGAGCTGCCTACTATATAACTCTTGGAGAGAAAGCACACTGCCGAGCACCCAGGCAAAGCTAAGAACAAGGAGCAGCCTATAAGGATCATCTCCTAAACTGGAATTCCCTTTCATTTCTGTAACCCTCCACTAAAGTTTCATACATTTGTAGAAGTCTCTGTGATACGCTGATAAGGCAGTACTTCCCAAACATTTTACCTAAATATGAATCATCTAGAAAACTTGTTAAAACACAGACACCTGCTCCACCCATAGAAATTCAGATCCAGCAGTTTAGGGTGGAGCCCAAGAATGTGCCCGACCAGCAGCAGCCTCCCAGGTGATGCTGATACTGCTAGACTGTGAGCCACATTTTGAGCAGCACGGGCGCAGGATATAGAGAGGGAGAACTCAAGTCATAAAGGGCAGAAAGGGAGGACTGGTCCACAGTCACAAACTTTTCAGCATTTCTTCACTGTCCTGCAAGAGACGGCCCAGTTCTAGGTCTGACCAGAAATGAAGTGAGAATCCTGTGAGGCAGAGGATTTTAAGGAGGCAGGAGCCAGGAGTACCAAGTGCTCTGCAGATGAGGGCTTAAAAGTGCCTTTTGGATGAGCAGTAAAGAGACTGTTAATGTGCTTTGCCAAAGCAGTTTCAATCAAGTAGCTGGCACAGGAAGCTGTGATCTGAGGAATACATTGATGATGAAAAATTAGAGACAGCAAATGTAAACAGTTTTTTCAAGACTTGGCGATAAAGAGTAGGTGAAAAATTAGGGTCGTAGCTGGAGACGTGATTAAAAGAGTGTTCTATATATATATATAATTTAAAAATATTTTTATATATAAATATTATACACCCATATACATACACATATATAAACATACACATATATATACACATATGTATATACACACATATGTATATACATGTATATACATAGACATTTTTAAAATTATACTTTTATTTAAGATGGGAAGAGACCCGCTGGTCATATTAACCCTGATAGGAAAGAGACAGTGAAAGAAGATAAAGGAAAGAGAGGGGATGATGGGTGGAGTGAGTTCTCTGAGGACACAGAGGAGCTGGAATGCAGAACACAGATGGAGGGATTAATTAGTCTTGGAAAGGAAGACAGACATTTGTGCCTCCGTAGCGGGAGGAAGCAGGGAATGGATGGGTGCAGCTGCAGGGCGAGGTCTCTTCTGATGGTTTCTGTTTTACTTGGATTTTTTTTTTCTAATCTTCCTTGGAGCGTTGCATAGAATCAGTTTTTGTATTATGGTGCATAAATGTTTGAAAAGAAGGTATATTTCCTCACCATGCAATGTTCTGTTACCTATTAATGTAACATTAGTAATTATATTGCACAGATTCTTTATGTAATTTTCACTCACTTCAATGTATTAAAGTCTCTCAGAAGTTTTACTGATTTCAATTTCATCTTATATAACTACAGGGGATTTTTCTTTACATATTTTGATGTAATGGCATTTGGTTCACAAATTCTTCAAACTATTTGTTTTTTGATTATCAACAAAGTACTCATTTTGTATTTTTGCTTGAAATTCTACTTGCACTGATACAAAGACTATTACCCACGCTTTCTTTATCTTACCCTTCAGAATGGGCCATTCATAAATTGCAGACAAATGGCCTCCTGGTAAAGGACCCCCTTGGCCTGGAGGTAGACCTGGAGCTGGAGGCGATGATAAAGAGAGGAAGCAATTGTAAGTACAGTAAGAAAGAGCAGACTGCTGCTTGTGGTTCAGCACAAGCTCAGTATAGACTGCCTGAAACCTCCTATCAGAAGAATGCAGATGGCATTGCCAAGCAGGTCTGATTCTAAGCCTGCTTTGAAATCCTATATTTTCTATTGGTCTATAAGCCAATTATTGAAAACACAGCGGACGGTGGCTGGGCGTGGTGGCTCATGCCTGTAATCCCAGGACTTTGGGAGGTTAAGGTAGGAGATCACTTGAGGTTAGCAGTTTGAGATCAGCCTGGGCAACATAGTGAGACCTTGTCTCAACAAAAAATTTAAAAATTAGCCAGGTGTGGTGGTACATGCCTGTAGTGCCAGCTACTTAAGAGGCTGAGGCAGGAGGATTCCTTGAACCCAGAAGGTCGAGGCTGCAGTGAGCCAGGATTATGCTATTGCATTCAGCCTAGGCGACCGTGTCTAATTTAAAAAAGAAAACATATAAGATGGAGAGAAAAGGCTTCCTCTCCATCCCATCTTATGGTGTCGCTAACAGTAGGCTCATGTCTGGGACACCTAGATTTGTTGTTGATGGTGGTAACTGGTTCCTGTTGATCACATTCATTGTCTGGAATTATTCCAAAACTGTCTTATTGAAATTTGGTGGTAAGAGATTCTTGATAATCTCTTGGAATAGGAATACCTGTTCCAAGGGGTTGTTATGAGTGTTCAATGAGGTAATATATGCAAAGGGCTTAGAAAAGAACCTGGTGCCAATTAGGCGTTGGGTAAGTATAAGTTATTATTAAAACCATGTTGAGCACTTACTCTGCCACCAGGCAACATGCTAAGAAACTTGAGATAAGTTACCTCATTCATTCTAATGAAAACTCATTTCTATAATTAAGACAATTAAAATTTTATAAGGTTAAAGTGACTTGCCCAAGATCACGGTGCTCCTAAGCATTAGAACCAGGGTAAGGACCCAAAACTACACTTTTAAATCCTTCTACTATGAGACCAAGTGATGCTGTATAAACTCAAATTCACTCATCACACAGAGTTTCATTTTATGGGTTTCACTTGTTTGATTTTGCAATCACTGGACTGACCTAAGATTCACTGACTTTCCCTCCCACACATAAATGCTCAAGTCCAGCTGTTCCATCATATTTTTTCTATGTCTCATTTCCTGCTGGATATCACAGCTTTGCTAAGTAGCAAGATGTACAGGAAATAAATTGTCCACACAATATTAACTAATCAATAAACATCAGTTTCAGCCCAGAAGCACTGTAATTTATATCAGATCATTTATTTTCACTATAAAGTTCAACCGGAACTACATCAACCTAAATATATACATTCCAAGGTAAAACAAGGAAAAGGATGTCTTAGTGACTCTCACTTTGACAACCTCATCCCCACTTTCTATTTTTGTTTTGTTTATTTTTTTATTTTTTTGGTGTGTGTTTTTTTAGTTGGTTGGGTTTTTTTTTCTGAACAAAATTTTCTGTCGAGTATTTTTCATGTTACATTTATAGAACCTGCATTTATTTTCTCCTTCTGCTATTTAGATTCAAACACACACACACACCATTCCCAAGGCATAAAGTAGTTTTTTTAAAAAATAAGAAAACTTTTTAAATACATGCTAATGCTAATAATTTGAACCCTATAGAAAATTGCAAAAAAAAAATAGGTTTTATTTTTAAGGAATGCATTTTTTAAAATGAGATAATGTTGTGACAACATTTTGTAAACTGAAAAAAAAAAAAGTGTTTGTTAATTCCCTCACACACCCATAACTATTTGTCATCACTTAGACTAAAAAGAGTTACCGAGGCAGGGCATGGTGGCTCACACCTGTAATCCCAGCACTTTGGGAGGCTGATGCAAGTGGATCACCTGAAGTCAGGAGTTCAAGACCAGCCTGACCAACATGGTGAAACTCCATCTCTACTAAAAATACAAAATTAGCCGGGCATGGTGGCACGTGACTGTAATCCCAGCTATTCAGGAGGCTGAGGCAGGAGAATCACTTGAACCCAGGAGGTAGAGGCTGCAGTGAACTGAGATTGCACCATTGCACTCCAGCCTGGGCAACAAAAGCAAAACTCCATCTCAAAAAAAAAAAAAAAAAGTTACCTGGCATGGTATTGTACAGAACAGGGTCTGCACAATTTTTCAAAAGTAGGATAGTAAGGTTTGCTTCAAGCTCATCTGTCATTCTGTAGGAGCAGTGGGGGATTTTGGAAGGCGAAAAAAGGAAAAGTCAATGGGTAGCAACACTGATTCTGCAGCTGGAGGACTGTCTATACACTACTTTGCAAATGGGGGTGAGAAAAATGCAGTATGCCAGTAAGCAAAAGTAGAAAAAGCAAATGTAGGAAATTAACAGCAAATTTTTTACAAAAGAAGGAAGGAACACAGCAGAGCTTTGCCTTGTTGAGAACAATCGGCTGCAAACTGAAAACTGACCAGCATGCCTTGAGCTGTTAGGCCACATTACTAAAGTCTCTGATTGCTCAATCTGCAAATGAGTATCTTCAGCCCTTAGCTCCTATGCAGAAACATCTGCTCCCAACCTGACGTATGTTTATTTACTGGCCTAAACTGCCTTTACCTCAAAAGACCATGGTAACAGGCAGACTGACCAATAATGTATGCCTCTGTGCTTATTGGCAGGGCTAGCTTTGGAACAGCATGCAGGAGATGGGACTATGTCACACAGCATCTAATAACAAATATCTGTCCAGATGTTCTCGAGCATCATAGTGTAACTCTCATTTTCTGCCCTTTATAATACTGCCTCTAAGAAATCAGGAGGCTGGTGAGGATAAAACAGTCATCTGCCTTCTGACTCTGTAGTGGGGCATCAGACACTGAAAAGCAGAGGCGTTAACCAAAGGCATGCACCAGTGGCCACCTGGGAAGTTTGGCAACCTGCAATTGCCCAGATTTACCCCTCAAAATTCTAGGGTGGGGCCTGAGGATTAGAACATGGGACAAGTTCCCCAAGTGCTCCTGATGTGCACCCTGGGTTAGGAACCATGGAGCTGGCTGGGCTCTGCCAAGGGGAAACAAGGGGTGGGTTGGCTGAGGCAGCCTTTGCTCCCCTCTGACTCCATTTCTGTGCTATCTTTGTTCCCTGTCCCACCACTCTAAGCCTCGGTGCACCTCTCGCCTCATGCTCATCTCGCCGTCCTTGGAAGACACTTTGGGAGGGTGGTTAAGCACATGAACTCTGAGGTCAGAACCATCTTGACCACTCACCAGTTGTGAGACCTTGACCAAGGTGCTTAATTTCACTGAGCCTATTTCTCCATTTGTTAAATGGGGAGGGTATAGTAGTACCTACCTTGCAGGGTTATGTTAAGAATAAATAATGTCACACATAACAAATACATAGCACAGTGTAAGCATACAAACCCTGGGGGCCATTATTATTACTATTATTTTCCCAATAAGTATTTTTACTAATAATCCCAGTGCTCTCAGCTGGTCAGCAGGTGTCAGGTCTCCTGGGTGACCACGGGTGTTGCAGTGCTTGGCTACTAATAAGCTGCTTCTGATTTTAATTCACATTCCTCAAGGACTGCTTCCATAGGGATGCTGGTCTAAGTGGGCTCTTCAATTCTGTGTAGGTCAAGTCGACACACCTTTACTGGAAACATACTGGGTGCCAGGTACTGGGCCAGGTGCATGAGGTTCTTGAGGAGCTCACATACCAATGAGGGGGTCAGTGCAAAAACTAAACCTCCCTCTTGCAGGTTGTGACAATAACATGTTAAAAGGCAACCAAGTAGCAGTTCATGGGAGATAAGAGGAAACCTCACACCAACTCATTCTTGTGGTGTATCTAAAATTTCCTGGGCCCTTTAAGAATAAAGACAAGCCATCACTGTCAAGCCCTTTATTAAAAGTTTGGAAAATTGCTTCATATAAGTTCCTGGGACTTCTTTCTCTAAACTCCATTCAATCCTAAGATCTATTTTTTTTTAACAATGAACAAATTACACACACTTAATAGATTTTCAGAGCTAGAAGATTTCTTATAAATTGTCCATGCTCACTGTGCAGATGAAAAAGTTGAGGTCGCAGTAAGTGAAGCATCTTGCCTAAGAAGATAGATTGTCAGAGGCCAAACTGAGGTTATTACCCCAGTCTTTGGCTTCCAGTCCAGTTCTATTGCACAATATCATTTAGTCCCACTGAAATCATAACAGGAAGCAGAA
Source organism: Homo sapiens (assembly GCF_000001405.40). Lineage (NCBI taxonomy): Eukaryota > Metazoa > Chordata > Mammalia > Primates > Hominidae > Homo > Homo sapiens. The sequence continues at coordinate 83,845,400 of NC_000015.10, read as the reverse complement.
TCATCTCCAGCGAAGGCCATGTATTCATTTGTTCAACATTAACTGAGCTCCTAGGATGTGTTCAGTACTGCACTAGCACTAGGAATAAAATGGTGGACATCATAGACATGGTGCCTGCTCTTGCAAAGCTTACTAGTGGGAGAGGCAAACTAGACAAATAAATGAAATAACCACTTCTTTCCCTAAAGGCTAAGCAAGAACTAAACAGAAAAGAGAAGGGCCTACTTTACGTAGAGTGGTCAAAGAAAGCCTCTCTGAGGAGGCGACACTTGTGCTCAACGTTGAGAAAGAGGTAACTACGTTGAAGAGCAGGGAGACACATGGTCCAGGTTCAGGGATGGGTCGGTGCAAAGGCCCATCGGGGGAATGGGCACCTGACATTCTGGAATCTCCCAGAAAGCCAGTGTAACTGGGGATTAGGGAATGAGGAGCAGATGGCAGCACATGATGTAACACAGGGGCCAGATGATACAGGCTTTAAAGGCTTTGGAGAGGGACGCGGATTTCATCATAGGTGTAAGGTGATTCATGAAGAGGCCAGGGAGTTCACAGTCTGTCTGCTTCTCCATGTAAAATACAATCTATGACATTCCTTTGCAACACAGTCTACATGCTATTTTTCCATTATCTCTCTTCATGCACAGGGCCAGAAGACAAACAAAACCATGCAAAAGAGCTAGGCAAGGACTAGAACCCAGGAGTCTTTATTTCTAGTCACAGAGTCTTCCTTCCAGGCCACACTCTCCCTTGCTGAATTAAATGGAGGAGGGTGAAACTTTTAATTCCATTAAAAGGAACAGGGTCTTTGGTTTGAATATTCCTTTCTCAATCGCAGTTCTGATAGAAGAGTATGACCAGCCAGAATCTCACCCTAGAAAGACGAATGTGGAGGTAGAAAGAGATGATGTGGGAAGACAGGAGAATGAAAACCAATTCATGTTACCATGTTAGCAGACCCTTTATATCCTACACAATCTTCCTTGCTATGGAATAAGTTAAATTTGTAAATGGTTTTTGGGAGTGACAGTCAAAGGAGAAATGAACAGTGGATGAAGGGAAAAAATCTTAAGAATTACACTGTGAGGCAGCCCCATGATCCACCTAGCCCAGGATTCTATTTGTGTCAAGGAATGCATTAGAAGAGTGTGTGTTTATCTTCATACTGCCAAAACTTGAGCAAAATGCTGGTGTTCCCAGTTGGCCTTAGGTATCACTGTATCAATAGGCTTGGCTGCCACCATGTAAAAATGGACAAAAAGCTTAGAATAGACAAGCCGATCTTGTTTATTTGCCTCACACACGTGTGCCCTGATGTGGACAAGACCAAAATAAGGAACAAACCTGGAAATACAACTAAGTTTCTAAATGCCAAGTCAAGACTCTCTAAACAGATATGTTTGTTGTTGTTTTTACAGCTTTCTCTCTTTAATACCTGAGTGGCCTCTAGTTTCCTTTTCCAACATCCAAAGCTGTTTATGTTGGTTGTCAGTTCCGTCTCTCTCCTCCTCCCTCTGAACAGGAAATCTGTATGTTGTATCTGGATAAATTTCTGATATTTTTCATAGCAAAGGTTTTGGCTCCAGGCTCTTACACCTTGTGTCTGCCTCACTGCGTGATGGAAATGATATTCTGTGTGCAGCCTTGTGCACATTCTCCAGTGCAGGGCTGTGCCAACAGCATCTCGTTGCCATGTCCTGACTCAGGGTGAGTCCCAGGGAAGATTGGAATGAATTCTTGGCAAGGTGTGGATGTAGGAGCTGCGTAGATTCTGCAGGCTCCAGTGATGCACACTCAGGGGGAGACATGGCTTCATTTCCTACATTTCTTTCACACAAAGCATGATTATAGGGAAGTGCTTCCATATGGCCTAGGGAAAAAATCCCAGCCAAAAACAGCTTCAGCTGGTCAGTTTCAGAGCTGTAACAAACATGATGGGGCCATAATTAGAATCAAGATGGTGAAGGACTGTGTTTTCACGCAGGCAGGAATCTTTGCTACCTTTAGCCTTAGCTCAAGCGCATGCATACGGAACCTGATAACATGCCAGCATCCTGTGGGATGTTCCTGGCTTATACCATGTCACTCATGCCCTGCACTGAAGGATCTGTGCCCTCCAGTTCCCCTTTCTACGTAGAAATTGATTTTTTTTAAAAAAAAGGACATTTTAGGGGTTCTTAACCTGGAATGTCCTAAACAGGCATCAGGGGTCTGAGAACCCCACAAAAAAATCAGAATGGCAAATGTGGGGCTTATAAATACACATGCATTTTCCTGGAAAGAAAATGCATAACTTTTAATAGATTCTCAAAAGCATATGTAATCCAAAAGCTGAAAATCAAGAGACAGAGAGAGAGAGAATAATGAACTACCTTGCATTTCAGTACCTCTTCTGCACACTTCTCCAAATAAGACTGCCCTTTGGCACAATTTCATCTGGCATTTACCCTGGTTCAATTAGAATTATCTCAAGTTCTAATCTTTCTTGGACCCTGACAAAACGAGGTATTTTCTGATGAGATTTCCAAACTTTCTAAGGCCAACACTAACTCTACGTACTTCCATTACACCGGGATCTGGCTATTGTCTTTCTCCCTTACTCCCCTCATCCACATGCCTTCCTGGATGAACACTTCTCAGTATAGCCTCTCTTCAAACTGTGTTCACTGATCTGAGTCCTAAAACTTTGGTTTGTCCTACAATCACTCTGTTTTCACACTTTCAACGTTTTCCTCCATACCAAGCAGTAGCTCTCTTAAAATCAATCCCCAGACGGACTGATTGTTGATTTTCAAATATGTTTACAAATACCCACATTTACACTTAAAGTATGTAAGAGGTATTGAAAGGGGCAAAGTTCCCTTATCCCCCTCTCAGGGCATGCAACAGGAGGAGTGGCTTGCTTCTTCCGTGCCCAGCAGCTCAAGCCCCTAGGGGGAGCATGCAGACGGGCAGGTTATGGGGAGCTTGGGGCTCCAACCCCAAGGCAGCGTCTAGAGTTGAATGTTTACAGCTCCCAAAGTTCCAGCATGTGTTACAGTGTGCTCTTTCAGCTTAGCTGTCCGCAGGTGGCTTCTGTTAATCAGCTCAGTTAGAACCTCTGCCTTTTCTCAAGGACAGAGGGCTTTCGGTATCGCAGCGCTTTCTGTATCCCTTGCCACTCCATCCCCCTTCTGCCTCCTCATCCATCTGCTGAGAGCTACCTCCACCATTCAATAAACCTTTGCACTCATTCTCCAAGCCCATGTGTGATCCATTTTTTCCAGTACCATGGGCTTGGAGAATGAGTGCAAGGTTTTATTGAATGGTAGAGGTAGCTCTCAGTAGATGGATGGGAAGGCAGAAGGGGGATGGGGAGGCAGAAGGGGGATGGAGTGGGAAGGTGGTCTTCCCCTGGAGTCGGGTCGCTTAGCAGCTAGGATCTCGTCCGTCCGCCCTCGGCCAAATTTCCCCCTGAGTCTCTGTCGTTCCACTGTCAATGGCCTGTCGGCGTCTGTGTGTTCTTCTGCCAGTGTGTTCCTCTCAACATCCAGTCACTTGTGTGTGTGACTGCTAGGGTCTTGGGGTTTTTATAGACACAGAATGGGGGGCATGGCAGGCCAGAGTGGCCTTGGAAAATGCAACATTTGGGTGTGAGGACAGGGACTCTGTTTTCAGAGTCCCTGTCCTCACCCAGGCCAGTGGGCACAGGCCCAAGGGCGGAGCCCTAGCCAGGAACCCCGCCCTTCAATTTCCTGCCCCCCCTCCCGTATCAGTGTGACATCCTTTAGTATCCCAATGGGTAATATTTTTAACAAAAATGCAGCTAGCATTTACTGAGTACTCTCTAGTTACTACGCTATTTGGAGTTCTCAACATGGATTGATCTTTTAAATCCTGATAACAGCTCTACAAAGGCAGTACTGTTGTTATTCCCAGTTTAAAATTAGAGATCCAAGATACCCATGGAAGTGAAATAACTTAAATAACTCTGCACAGCTCATAAGCAACAGACCCAGGACTTAACCCTGGAAGGCTGGCGGCTCCGGACCCCAATTTCTTAACCACTTCCCAATATTTCCTTTCATAATTAATTATGGGAGATGTTTCTTAACATTTCTCATCCTTAGTTTCCTCATCTGTAAAATAGGCAGGACATTATCCAAATTATAATGTAAGAATGCTGGTAGAATTAAATGATAAGTCTGAAGAGAACTTTGGGAATTATAAAGCATTTGATCAATATTAGTAATAGCAGAATGGATAGAATGCTAACTACTTGGTTTCCTGCCTCCTTGGAAGCCAGGGTGTCACACACCATAATTCTGGTCAATGAAGCAAAATTCCCTGGGGAGAATATCCTTTCCTGGATAAAGAACACAGTATTTAAAAAAACGCTTTTCACACTATGTTCTTCCTTATTATCTGGGATGTGGATGTAACATCTCAATGTCCAATAATGACTTTGCAGCCAAGTAGGCAAAAGCCATCCTCTAAGGATGTGAAGAAGAGAGAAAGGTGCCTGGTTCCTGAAAGACACAGTAAAACAGCATCCCCAGCCTTAGCTGCCTACTCCAGGCTTTTTGTTAGAAAAGACTTATAAACTCCAATGTTTCTAAGTTGAGTTTTCTGTGATTTCCAGTAGGATACATTCCTCATTGGTATACCACCATTCAAAGCCACCTCCTTCATGAAGTCCAAAAATTGGAACCTCCATGAATTCATGGTTTCCCATCTCAGCTAGGCCCTTACAGCTACTCCTCTATCTTTGTACTGTTGTTGATGGTTCCTTCTTCTTTCCTTCATGGGAACAGGCTCAAGTCTCTGAGCCCTCACTCCTACTGGCCAACTCTATCTCCTAATGAAGAGTCAAATAAAGACAATAGGCTGGAACACCTCACGGTGTTCTCCAACCAACCCTGTAGAGCTATCCAGTTGTTGACACGGTGTTGGTCTGTTCCCCTCCTCTTGTCCTGAGCAAATCCTTCCCTCTATACATTCTCTTCACTTATCAATCCATTGCAATGAAGCTTTGATTTCAGCCTGAAGTTCATCAAAATCACTCTTGTTCACATCACAAATGACCTTCAAATTGCCAAAGACAAACTTTTGGGCCCTTATTCCAGTTGAACTCATAAAAGCATTTAACATTGCTGGCCACCCCCATCTCATTTTTGAAATTACTTATTCCTTTGGGGTCCATGGTACTGCTCTTGCTAAGTTCTGCATTTACCTACTTACTCTATTCATTCCTTCTCGGTTGGATTCCCTTAAACTTCTTCCCTGGCTAAATGCTTTGACTTCAGCTTTTCCTCAGGATGCAATTATTGGTTTCCTCTTATATTCTACATACTCTCTTTAGAGGAACTCACCTACATTTATAACTGAATACCACCAACAAGGGGTTTTGCTATCAGCCATGATAACCTAGCATGTTTCAGATAAACCCTCCAACCACAAAGAAAACATAATCAACATCTGTTTGCAGGCATCAGAAAGATACTTAGACATTGGATACTTATGGGGTGAAAATTTTGGAGAGAATAAAATTCAGGGAGGTGGAGTCTCACCTCTGATATGTGTCTCCTCTTCATGAATTCCTTACCCAAATGAATAGCAAACATGTCCACCGAGCTGCACAAGATGGAAAATTTGGGCCATTCTAGCTGCTTCTTTTCTCTTATAGCTGTCATTCAAAGAATTACCAAACTCTGTTCATTCTACATGCTAAAGATCTCTCCACCTGTTCCTTCCTCTACGTTTCCTCCCACGCTACCCTAGATCAAGGCCTCATGATTTTAAACACTCTTGAATAGCTTGAAAGACACTTCCTATTTGGACTACCTGCTTCCAAGCTCATCTGACAGGTAATCCAGCCTCCATATGCCACCAGAATTATTTTACTAAAACACTAACCTAACCATATCACTCCACTGCCTAAATTGCTTTGAGGGCTCCACTTAATCTGAAAAATAAAACACAATAACGAAGGCTTTGACTCCAAATGCCGTTCTGTCTTATCTTCTACCCTATTCAATGTACAGTCAGGCCTGAACAACATATTAGGAGTTCCTCAAAACACCCAGACTCTTCTCCAGTGTCACGCCATGAACTTTGTGTTTCCTCTGCCTGAAAAACCCTCCACCCCTCCCGCAATGCTTTCCCCATTTGGGAAAATAAGTAAGATGCCGACTTTACAAGTTACATCAAACTAAATTCAAAGGAATAAAAGATTTAAAATCAAATCTTTGGCGGAACTCACCTACATTTATAACTGAATACCACCAACAAGGGGGTATTCAGAAAGAATTATTATAAAGAAAAACAAAACCATAAAAGTACTGGCAGAAAACATACGTGAATAATTTTTGTTTCCTTTAAAGGAGCGGTTAACAAACCTAAAGGCCAAATTCAGCCTTCAGGCTACATTTGTAAATAAAGTTTCATTGGAATGTAGCCATGCTGATCTATTTACAGGTGTCTGTGTGTGCTTTTACACTGCAACAGCTGTGTTGAGTAGTTGAGACTATATGGCCAGCAAAGCCTAAAATATTTATTATCCATCCCTTTACAGAAAAAGTTTACTGATTCCCCAAACTAAAGGATGTTTTAAAGGACAGATATTATTAAAATGAAAAGATGGAAATTTCCAAATACATAATACTTAGAAACTTAGAAACTCTAATTACACAAAATTGAAAGTCAATTAACAAACTGGAACCATATTTGAAATAGGTATGACAGAAAAAATGTTAGTATTGGTGATATATTAAAAGCTCTCAACAATGAGGAAAAGATCTACATCCAAATAGGAAAATTGATAAATGGCTTCAGTAGCTAACTGAGAAATTAAAAAGTATAAATGGTCAATAGATACATGACAATATTTTCTACCTTGTTAGCAGTCAAAGGAAGACAAATAAAAGAAATTACTATTTCATGATTTACCTGAAAAATTGGCAAATATATTTTTTTAAAACAGTAATACCCTGCATTGGCAAAGGTTCAAAGAAAACGGGTCCTCTTCAAAGATATAATGGGAACAAAAGTTTGATACACACTTCTTGGAAGAAATTTCACTTTTAGAAAATTGGTACAAAAGCTACTTCCAACTAAAAAAGCTTAACATTCAGAAAATGTTATTCTAGCAATAGACAGTCTAAAATATATCTTGTATGATGGTAATAACGTATTGGGTTTAAAACCTACTTTTTTCAGGAGAAACGTGTGACTTTGATTGTCCCCGTACAAGCCTGCAGGTGGAGCCATCGCCGGCACAGACTCCACAGTTGTCCTCCTTGGCATTGCTTCCCAGTTGCCGATCGCAGCCCACTGCCTGCCAACAGAAGCATGGCAGTCAGTGGTGCCCAAAGCCAGGGGAGGGGGAGCTCTCTTCATTTCAGGAAGCTTAGTTGTGATGTAATCCTTAACTTTACAGTTTGGCTCTCTTTTATGAGAACATAGTTTTATAAATCTAAATAATATAATGTCTTACAGGATAGTATCATTTATATGATTCTAATGTAAGGCCGAAATATTAATATTAAGATTTGAAGCTGTCCCTCCATACCCCTCCCTTTTCTATTTATATTTTTATTCAGATTTCTGTCTTTTTTTTTTTTCAAGACAAGATCTCACTCTGTTGCCCAGGTTGGAGTGCAATAGTGGGATTGTGGCTCACTGCAGCCTCAACCTCCTGGGCTCAAGTGATCCTCCCACCTCAGCCTCCCAAGTAGCTGGGATCACTTGAGCCTGGGAGGTTGAGTCACAGGCCTGTGCCCCAACACCCAGCTTTTTAAAATTTGATGTAAAGACAGGGTCTCCCTATGCTGCCCAGGCTGGTCTTGAATTCCTGGGCTCAAGTGATCCTCCTGCCTTGGCCTTCCAAAGTGCTGGGATTACAGGCATGTACCACACTGCCCAGCCCAGGCATTTTTATATATATAAAATAAACAGAACATTACAGACGTTTCCTCTCTCCCCAGCCCTACACTTATCCTATTCTCTCATTTCCTCCCCAAAACAACCACTGTCCTAAATTTGATGTATAACCTTCTGGTTCATAGTTTTACTTTAAATATCTTTTTTTTTTCTGTTTTTACTTCTATCTCTAAATATCTATATCCCTATATTAATATCTGTCTATAGTCTTTATCTATATCTTTATATCTCCTTGTCTTTATCATTAGCTGTACCTATGCCTATGTATCTCCACCGCTGTCATTATACCTATATATTTATAAACAATTTTTAAAATATAAAAAATAATTAAAAGGAGAGATGTCTCATATAAAATACGTGTTTATACTGCTATCCTTCCTTCTCTTGTCATTTTTCATGTGTACATATGTGTGTGTATTTGCTATATTATAAGCTTCCTTATATGAGAAAAAAGGTCATGTCTTATATTTCTTTTTTATTTCTTAAGCATATATTTTACATAATGTGTAAACAACAATAATATCAACTGATCTGATGGTTTATCTCTTCCTTCCTTCCCATATTCATCTAACTTTATTTATAAATCTGGTGTTTAAGTGCAGGGACTTTGGAGGAAGAAAACACCCACGTACAAACCTGGATCCACTCACCACCCTTTCAAGCTGCAGGATGTTGAAAAATTCAAACTCTCAGAGACTCGTTTTCCTCAACAGTAAAATAGAGATAATAATACCAATATATACTTCACATAGGGCCTAGTGATGATTCAGTGAGAAAATATATGTAAAATTCTTAGTATAATGATTCAAACACTATAAAGGATTCAATAAAAAAGGGCCAATGTTATTATTTCTCTGTGTTTTTCATCTTATTTTGACTCCTGGGTAGCCCTCATGCTTCAGCTTGGAGAGTTGTTGAATCAGACTCTATATCCAAGCTGTTGAAGAAGAAATGAAACTAGAGGAAGTTGAGACAATTATTTATAACAATTCTTTCCAACATTTTGGTGTTGAAGGGAAAGAGAAAGATCAAGTGAAAATTTCAGGGAGAGATAGTAAGTTTCAAGGAAGTTTAGAGAATAGCTTATGATTAGAGATATTTTCAAATTCACAAAGAGCTATCATGAGGAAAGGGTCTACTTTTGTTCTGTATATTTCCAAATGGTGAAAGCTACAGGTTTAAGCATAATTTGGTTCAATATGAGAAAGTTTGAAAAGTCAGAGTTATCTAATAATAAGTATTCAATCATAGTCTAGGAGATCTCTTGGTGGAAAAATTGTAGGGGGGATTAAATTATTGGATGAGTAGCTTAATCCAATGACTTTTGAGATCCTTTAATCCTGATTATATGATTTTATAAAGATAGTAATACAATATTAATAATTGCTGATTTTTATTGAATGCTTAGCATGTACCTGGCATTATGCCATGAATATTGTACACATTATTTCATTTAATCTTCAGAGCAATTTTGTCATGAGGTGATACCTTTAACTCTATTTTATAAATAAGGAATCTAAACATTACTGAGTAAATGATTTGCCAATATTACACAGCTAGTATATAGTGTTGGTAATGGTTTTAAAACCCAAGTTATCTGACTCAGAATCTTAACACTACATTACAACTTCCTCTACCTTAAGTATCAGCAGATAGACAACAACAACAAAAGCCCAGTTACACAGGCCATTAAATTAACATTTACAAGTACATGTGGAACAACTTAAGAGTGATTGATTTTGGAAACACACTTGCATGGTCAAGATTCAATCAATGAGTAACTTGTGTTCATGCAACTTTCTCCAAGGGGAGTAATACCACTATTAAATTATAGAAACACTGCTCCTGGGCCAAACTCTGTCCTCACACATTCATGTCCCTGAGCACTCTGCATTTCATGAGAATGAGAATCACTCTCTATCTGGTCATCCAGGAAGGGCGTGGGCTTAGGAGCTAGGAGGGGCTTGTTTTGAAGAGTGTTTAAGGCCTTGCAAGATCTCAGGCAATTGAATACCTCCCTGAGCACTGATATTTGCTTCATAATTTTTTTTAAGTTACAATTCATCCAAATGTTATAGCAAAATAAAGCATGTGAAAACATCACAGAAAAATGATATTTGAAAAGAAAGTCTTGCCTTGTGATTCATAACGAATAAGCCAGAAATGCCTTTGAAATTGAGGGGCCACTGAATTTTGGCTTTCATATCCCATCATAATCAACAATAAGCAACTTTTTTTTTTTTTTTTTTTGAGACAGAGTCTTGCTCTGCCGCCCAAGCTGGAGTGCAGTGGTGCAATCTCAGCTCACTGCAAGCTCTGCCTCCTGGGTTCACGCCATTTTCCTGCCTCAGCCTCCCGAGTAGCTGGGACTACAGCTACCCGCCACCATGCCCGGCTAATTTTTTGTATTTTCAGTAGAGACAGGGTTTCACTGTGTTAGCCAGGATGGTCTCGATCTCCTGATCTCGTGATCTGCCCGCCTTGGCCTCCCAAAGTGCTGGGATTACAAGCGTGAACCACAGCGCCCGGCCCAACAATAAGCAACTTCTAAAAAATTGCCTGAAGTGTTTCCAACTTCTATGACATCATCTGAAGTCATGATCTCTAATTATAGTGATTTATTAACTACTAATTGACAGATATATCAATAAAATTTATTAACATCTATTAAATAACCATTTTCTATACTGCCAGACACTACAGAGCATAAATTAATAACATAAGATTCTTACCTTACAGTGTAGTTAATGAGACAAGTTACACAAGATAGTGGATGACATAAACAAATATTTAAAATATATGAGTAGTGCTTTTTGGAATAAATATTCATCTATAAATCATCACTTCAGCTAAAAATTATTTCACAGTTCCTGCATATGATTTCCTAATCAGCTAAAAGATGATAATACTTAAATAAGTGGCACTAGTCCAAATGAAGCAAAATATGAATTTTTCAGAGCAGTCAAATTTAATCATTCAAGAACAAAACAATTTTTTTTTTAAATCAACCGTTTGAAATCTCTGCAAATCAGAATCTAACTTGGGGGAAAAATCTGACATTTCTGCCTTAAAAATCAGAGTATATGGAGCTGTGGTAGTCAGTGGGGATACTCAGAAACATTTTGCTTCAGCCCACAGAAGGTCTGCACTTCTCCACCCCCTTTGAAGTTAGGTGTGGTCATTAACTAACTTTGGCCAATGAAATATGAGTCTAAGTGATTGATCTGTGTCACTTCTATAAGAAGATTTAAGGGTCAGTGTCTGAGTCTCATGTTCCCCTTGCACTATTGCAGTTATTATGTAAAAAATGTGTCCAAATAAAGCCTGAGTCTCCGAGACGTTCTAAGAGCTGAGGCTCCTGTCAACCACTGTTGGGCAAGTGGCATCAGCAAGAAGTAACCTTTAATTGTTTTAAGCTACTGAGCTTTGGGTGTTGTTGGTTACTGCAGGAAAACCCAGCCTATACTATACAGGACTATAATTTAACCATTAATGGATAAAGCACGGTTATTAACAGGAAGACGATTTTTAAAATTGGAAGTTTCACATTAAAATCCAGTTTTCTGGCTTCTCTTGACAAAAACAAAAACAAAACAAAACAAAACTTCCGACATGTTTATACATAGTTGCTCCCTTCACAATGAGCATGTATCCTCCAGTTCACCACTACAGTCACCAGCCAATGTGACTACATCTGGGCAGTTTCTCTCTGGGGCAGTATGTAGACATCTGAGTTTTAATCCCCGTACTAAGCCATCTAAGCATGAATCATCTGTTGAACTGACTGTTCTTTACCGAATTATATCTCATTTTCAGTTACAAACTTCAGCTACACTTGTACCAATATAAAAAGTATCATCAGTATAGCCCAATAATTAAGAAATTGGATTCTGGAATTAGGTTGCCTGGGTTCAAATTCCAGCTCTATCACTTCCTAGCTATGTGCTATAGACTGAATGTGTCCACACCCAAAATTCATATGCAGAGACCTAACCCTCAAGTTGATGGTACTAGGAGGTGAAACATTTAGGGGGTGGTTAGGTCATGAGGGTAGAGACCTCATGAATAGGATTAGTACCCTTATAAAAAATACCCTGGATACCTCCCTCATCCCTTCTGCCATGTGAGGACACAGCCTCTATGAACCAGGAGGCAGGGAGCAGACCCTCACCAGACACTGAATCTGCCAGCACTTTGATTTTGGACTTCCCAGCCTCTAGAACTGTAAAAAATAAATTTCTGTTGTTAATATGCCACCCAATCTATGGTAGCTAGTGACAGCTGCCCAAACTGACTAAGATACTGTACAACTTGGGCAATTTACTTAGCCTCTTCAATTTCCAGTTTCCTTATCAACAAAGTGGGGAATAAATACTGTACCTACTTGATAGGATTATGATGAGCTAACAGTAAAGGACTTCCACAATGCCTGATACCTGGGCTAAGCACCCAGTGTTAGTTGCTATTATTTTTATTTTTATTCTAAATTCTAAGTGGTTTCTTCATCTGCACAGCTATCAGGGAATTCAATAAACATGAATGACAAATCAAACTTGGTCTGCAGAGCTGGTACCAACCAGGTCGTGCCTCTAATACAAATCAGACCTCCAAAGCAGAAGCAAATTTCATTCAGTGAGCACCACTGTCTCAGGCTGTCTGCTGTGCTCAGGTTAATGGAAAGTTGTTCCCAAGAGCACTGTGACATGTTCATTTAAATGAGAAAACTATACAGACATTTACAAGACTTATGTGTAGTCTATGCCAAGTAGTCATTATGGCTCACATCAGTGATCCTGGGGCAAGCAGAAAGAATCACCAGGAAGCAGGAAGTAGGCCCTCACCAGACACTGAATCTGCCTAACTGATGCCCATGGCCACGTGGCACAAGAAAGGCAATTTATGTGAACATTATCCTGCTGAAGGAAAGATACTGAATTCTACCAAGAAGTGTCTAAGTCACTTCCGAGGAAGAACACATAATTATTTAATTCAAATCACCTAGCCAAAAGAGCATCCAGCTTTCAGCAACCAGGGTATCACTCCTCATCACCCAAAGAACTGGCTTACTCAGTAGCATCACAAAAACGTGATTAGAAGCACTCATTTAAAATGCACTAATTCATACTGAAACCACCTTTATCCTGCAAGCCCCTTTAAACCCTGGAAACTCCTGGAGTCAACTAAGCAACTGGATTTAGACCATTAATAAGAACAGGGGGTGGCGAGTAGTGAGCAGAAGGGTAAATGTGGGAAGGGGAGCTCATGTTGACTGCAGGCAAATAAAAGCTCATGTTGACTGCAGGCAAAAAAAGATGCCTTTGCTTTATATTTCACTCAATTGAGGCCATCAAACAATATCTCACCTTCCTGTCCATTCCCATACCAAACTGATCAGTGGCCCATATTTACCCCTTCCTACCTGCCTCAAGGGAAAAGGTGTCCCTCCTCCTTGTCCACGAGCAATCTGTCTCCTTTGTTTCTGTTATCAACTCCTTTGAAGAGCCCAGGAACTTCACTGCATTCATTGTATATTTCTACCTCTCAGTCAATACTCCACTCACCCACCTGCCTGGCAACATATATCCTTGCGCATTCATGGATTTACCATGAAGTTAATGAAGCTTAAGTTTCAGGGTCAACCACTCTCTCCTTTTCCCTCTGTCTTGCCCACCTGCTGTTCCCAGTCTGGGCTCCCACAAATGCTTAGAGTTGTGGGGAATTGAAGTATTTGAGGTGGGGAGGGGAAGCTGGGCTGCAACTGGGAAGGATTTCTACGGAAGAATCTGCCATAAATTAGCCAGTGGTGGCACACCTGTAGTCCCAGCTACTCAAGAGGTTGAGATGGGAGAATCACTTGAGCCCAGGAGGTCAAGGCTGCAATGAGCCATGATAGCACCACTGCACTCCAGCCTGGGTGAGAGAGACTTTGTCTCAAAAGTTAATAAATAAAGAGGGCACTTCTAATTACATATGCTTCAGGTACCCTAAAAACTGCATCTGCTCCAGTGCTTTTCCAAGTATCTCTGATCTTGAAGACATTCTTCCTGAACCTGACATCCCCTCTGGCTGTAGTTGTATCTTTCCCTCTATTCTTCTGATTCATACTTTTTGAAAAGGGGGTTTATGCTCATCATCCCTACTCATTTCAGCCTATTCATTCCTTACCATGTGTAGTGGGTTGACTTGTGCACTCCCCCCAAAAAAAGACATGGCACCCAGATCCTGTGAATGTGACCATATGTGGAAAAATATCTTTGCAAATGTAATTAAGGATGTTGAGATGAAATAATAGGAAGGTGTCCTTATGAAAGGAGGGGAAAACATAGAGATAGACAAGAGGAGGTAAGGTGCAGACGAAGGCAGAGATTAGAGTGATGCTTCCACAAGCAAGGAACACCAAAAATCATTGGCACAAAAATCTGTCCCCTTTGTTTCTGCCTATCAACTCTTTTGATTAGCCCAAACTTTACTTCATTAGTTGTATATTTCTACATCTAAATCAATACTCCACCCACCCACCCACTTGGCAACATATATTCTTGTTCATTCGTGGATTTACCAGAAAGTTAATGAAGCTTAAGTTTTAAAGTCACCCACCCTCCTCTTTTCCCTCCATCCTGCCCACCTGCTGCTCCCAGTCTGGCCTCCTGCAAATGGGCTCTTTCTAAAGACAAGCCCAAATTCCAGCACCAGAAGCTGGAAGAGAGGCAAGGAATGGATTCTCCCTCAGAGCCTCCAGCCAAGAACCAACCCTGCTGATACCCTGATTTTAAACTTCTGGCCTCTAGAAGTGTGAGAAAATAAACTTCTGTTGTTTTAAGCCACCAAATTTGTGGTAATTTGTCACAGCTGCCACAGGAAACTAATGCATCCTGCATCCCCTGCCAGTGCCTACTCCAACACCACACTGAGGCTGTGCCAGCTGTTGCCAGTGATCTTTAGTCAAAATGAAGTGGGTGGATTTCAGTTCTTACTGCTCTTGACTTCTCTGAAGTATGTGCCACTGCTAACCGGCCTTCTTAAATGCTCACCCGCCCTTATCTTCCGTTTTTCATGGTCTCGCTACTATATAGAAAGCTATTCTGTTCAGTCCCCATCAGGGGCACCTCTCCCTGTGCTAGTTCCTTCAATTATGGGCACCAGGACTCTGTACTTGAGAGTACAACCTGTCCTTCTTACTCAGTCCCCAATGACATTAGATCATTAGATTTAACCATGTGAGAGCCCCAGATCTATATTTCTAGTCTAGATTTCTCTCCTAAGCTCTAAATTCAAACATCAACTTAGATTGACAGGCACGCCCAGCTCATCACCTTTGCCCCATGCCCCCTGTTCTCACCCAATATTTTGTCTTGATGAATGGTCTCACTATCTATCTACTTAATCATGATATCAGAAATCTAAATATCATTCTCTCACTCCCCACATCCAACCAAACATTCAGCCGTAAAAGATCTGTTTCCTCTCCATCCCAAATCAACAGAATATACATTCTTCTCAGCACCATATCACACTTATTACAAAATTGACCACATAGCTGGAAGTAAAGCACTCTTCAGCAAATGTAAAAGAACAGAAATGATAACAAACTGTCTCTCAGACCACAGTGCAATCAAACTAGAACTCAAGATTAAGAAACTCACTCAAAACCACTCAACTACATGGAAACTGAACAACCTGCTCCTGAATGACTACTGGGTACATAAGGAAATGAAGGCAGAAATAAAGATGTTCTTTGAAACCTATGAGAACAAAGACACAACATACCAGAATCTCTGGGACACATTTAAAGCAGTGTGTAGAGGGAAATTTATAGCACTAAATGCCCACAAGAGAAAGCAGGAAAGATCTAAAATTGATACCCTAACATCACAATTAAAAGAACTAGAGAAGCAAGAGCAAGCACATTCAAAAGCTAGCAGAAGGCAAGAAATAACTAAGATCAGAGCAGAACTGAAGGAGATAGAGACATAAAAAAACCTTCAAAAAATCAAAGAATCCAGGAGCTGGTTTTTTGAAAAGATCAACAAAATTGATAGACTGCTAGCAAGACTAATAAAGAAGAAAAGAGAGAAGAATCAAATAGGCGCAATAAAAAATGATAAAGGGGATATCACCACCGATCCCACAGAAATACAAACTACCATCAGGGAATACTATAAACAGCTCTACGCAAATAAACTAGAAAATCTAGAAGAAATGGATAAATTCCTGGACACATACACCCTCCCAAGACTAAACCAGGAAGAAGTTGAATCTCTGAATAGACCAATAACAGGCTCTGAAATTGAGGCAATAATTAATAGCCTACCAACCAAAAAAAGTCCAGGACCAGATGGATTCACAGCCGAATTCTTCCAGAGGTACAAGGAGGAGCTGGTACCATTCCTTCTGAAACTATTCCAATCAATAGAAAAAGAGGGAATCCTCCCTAACTCATTTTATGAGGCCAGCATCATCCTGATACCAAAGCCTGGAAGAGACACAACCAAAAAAGAGAATTTTAGACCAATATCCCTGATGAACATCGATGCAGAAATCCTCAATAAAATTCTGGCAAACCAAATCCAGCAGCACATCAAAAAACTTATCCACCATGATCAAGTGGGCTTCATCCCTGCTATGCAAGGCTGGTTCAACATATGAAAATCAATAAACGTAATCCAGCATATAAACAGAAACAAAGACAAAAACCATATGATTATCTCAATAGATGCAGAAAAGGCCTTTGACAAAATTAAACAACCTTCATGCTAAAAACTCTCAATAAATTAGGTATTGATGGGATGTATTTCAAAATAATAAGAGCTATCTATGACAAACCCACAGCCAATATCATACTGAATGGGCAAAAACTGGAAGCATTCCCTTTGAAAACTGGCACAAGACAGGGATGCCCTCTCTCACCACTCCTATTCAACATAGTGTTGGAAGTTCTGGCCAGGGCAATCACGCAGGAGAAAGAAATAAAGGGTATTCAATTAGGAAAAGAGGAAGTCAAATTGTCCCTGTCTGCAGATGACATGATTGTATATTTAGAAAACCCCATCGTCTCAGCCCAAAATCTCCTTAAGCTGATAGGCAACTTCAGTGAAGTCTCAGGATACAAAATCAATGTGCAAAAATCACAAGCATTCTTATACACCAATAACAGACTAACAGAGAGCCAAATCATGAGTGAACTCCCATTCACCATTGCTTCAAAGAGAATAAAATACCTAGGAATCCAACTTACAAGGGATGTGAAGGACCTCTTCAAGGAGAACTACAAACCACTGCTCAACGAAATAAAAGAGGACACAACAAATGGGAGAACATTCCATGCTCATGGATAGGAAGAATCAATATCGTGAAAATGGCCATACTGCCCAAGGTAATTTATAGATTCAATGCCATCCCCATCAAGCCACCAATCTTCTTCACAGAATTTCTTCACAGAATTGGAAAAACTACTTTAAAGTTCATATGGAACCAAAAAAGAGCCTGCATTGCCAAGACAATCCTAACCCAAAAGAACAAAGCTGGAGGCATCACGTTACCTGACTTCAAACTATACTACAAGGCTACAGTAACCAAAGCAGCATGGTACTGGTACCAAAACAGAGATATAGACCAATGGGACAGAACAGAGCCCTCAGAAATAATACCACACATCTACAACCATCTGATCTTTGACAAACCTGACAAAAACAAGCAATGGGGAAAGGATTCTCTATTTAATAAATGGTGCTGGCAAAAATAAAAATGACTAGCCATATGTAGAAAGCTGAAACTGGATCCCTTCCTTGCACCTTATACAAAAATTAATTCAAGATGGATTAAAGACTTAAATGTTAGACCTAAAACCATAAAAACCCTAGAAGAAAACCTAGGCAATACCATTCAGGACATAGGCATGGGTAAGGACTTCATGTCCAAAACACCAAAAGCAATGGCAACAAAAGCCAAACTTGACAAATGGGATCTAACTAAACTAAAGAGCTTCTGCACAGCAAAAGAAACTACCATCAGAGTGAACAGGCAACCTATAGAATGGGAGAAAATTTTCGCAATCTACTCGTCTGACAAAGGGCTAATATCCAGAATCTACAAAGAACTCAAAACAAATTTACAAGAAAAAAACAAACAACCCAGTCAAAAAGTGGGCAAAGGATATAAACAGACACTTCTCAAAAGAAGACATTTATACAGCCAACAGACACATGAAAAAATGCTCATCATCACTGGCCATCAGAGAAATGAAATCAAAACCACAATGAGATACCATCTCACACCAGTTAGAATGGCGATCATTAAAAAGTCAGGAAACAACAGGTGCTGGAGAGGATGTGGAGAAATAGGAACACTTTTACACTGTTGGTGGAACTGTAAACTGGTTCAACCATTGTGGAAGTCAGTGTGGCAATTCCTCAGGGATCTAGAACTAGAAATACCATTTGACCCAGCCATCCTATTACTGGGTATATACCCAAAGGATTATAAATCATGCTGCTATAAAGACACAGGCACACGTATGTTTATTACGGCACTATTCACAAAAGCAAAGACTTGGAACAAACCCAAATGTCCATCAATGATAGACTGGATTAAGAAAATGTGGCACATATACACCATGGAATACTATGCAGCCATAAAAAAGGATGAGTTCATGTCCTTTGTAGGGACATGGATGAAGCTGGAAACCATCATTCTCAGCAAACTATCGCAAGGACGAAAAACCAAACACCGCATGTTCTCACTCATAGGTGGGAACTGAACAATGAGAACACTTGGACACAGGAAGGGGAACATCACACACCGGGTCCTGTTGTGGGGTGGGGGGAGGGGGGAGGGATAGCATTAGGAGATATACCTAATGTAAATGACGAGTTAATGGGTGCAGCATTCCAACATGGCACATGTATACATATGTAACAAACCTGCACGTTGTTCACATGTACCCTAGAACTTAAAGTATAATTTTTTTAAAAGTCCTATAAAAAAAGAAATAAAAAATTGTACCTGTGCTATAAAGCATGGTTTGATAAAAATTAAAAAAAAAAAAAAAAGATCTGCTTCCAGGGCCAGGCTCAGTGGCTCATGTCTATAACCCCAGTGTTGTGAGGGGCCAAGGTAGGAAAGTTGCTTGAAGCCAGGACTTGGAGATCAGCCTGGGCAACATAGTGAGACCTGATCTCTACAAAAAATGTAAAAAATAAAAATTATCCTAGCATGGTGGAACATTACTGTAGTCCCAGCTACTTAGGGGTGGAGTGCAGACTAGGTTGGGAGGATTACTTGAGCCCAGGAGCCCAAGGCTACAGTGAGCTGTAACCACACCATTACACTCCAGCCTGGACAACAAAGCAAGACCCTGTCTCAAAAAAAAAATACATCCTTAATCTTTAGAATTTGTCTCCATTTAATTCATCCTACCTCTTGCCTTATTTTAAGCTCTTGTTATCCCATACTTGACCTTCTACTGTTTGGCTAGATCCTGTCCTCTGCAAATAATCTGCCACTTTGCCACTGAAATGACCTTTCTAAAGACAAGCCCAAATTCTTTATAAAATTATGAAACAGCTCCTCTCTCTACTTTCAGAATAAGTTAATGATTGGTTTCCCACCTCCACTGGTAGCCTCATCTCCTAGCACTATTCCATGGGTATTCTCACCTCAACTCTACAGAATGCACTCCTGGACCTTAAACACATCTGCACCTGCTGTTACATTCCTGTCCCTTCTGCTTGTCATTCTCTTCCTCACCTTGGTTTATCTAACTTTTACTCAACTTTTCAAAACCTCAGTGTCCAAACATCACCTTATCCAGAGAGCGCTCCTTGAGGCCAGACTAAATTCCTTTTATTTATTTATATTTTTATTTTTTAGAAACAGGGTCTCACCCTATCATAGGCTGGAGTACAGTGGTACAATCATAGTTCAGTGCAGCCTCGACTACCTGGACTCAAGCGAATCCTTGCCTCAGGTACCTGAGTAGCAAGTAGCTAGGACCATAGGCTTGCGCCAACACACCCAGCTAATTTTTAAAAAGTTTTTGTAGAAACGAGGTTTCCCCATGTTGCCCAGGCTGGTCTCGAACTCCTAGGCTTAACGAACTCTCCTGTCTTGGCCTCCCAAAGTGTTGTGATTATAGGCAGAAGCCAATGCGCCCAACCTAAATTGCTTTTAATAACAATTCATTTTAATTATAAAAACAATGCATGATCATTGTCAAGAACTTGGAAAACAACAGCATAATCCCACTGAGAAGGATTACTATTATCATTTGGTCAAAGAGCCCAAACCTTAACTGATGGCAATAATGGGGAACAATAGACGGTTTATAAAATGGAAGAATTATATGGTAAGCTTTGACCTTTTGTCAAAAGTCTACTTTTGGTTGCCAAAAGTAGAAAGCAACCAAAGTGTCCTTCAGCAGGTGAATGGATAAACTGTGGTACATCCAGACAAGGGAATATTATTCAGTGTGAAAAGGAAATGAGCTATTGTGCTCACTTTGGCAGCACATATTCTAAAATTGGTATGATACAATTTTATGATACAATGCTAATGATACAGAGATGATTAGCATGGCCCCTGCGCCAAGATGACATGCAAATTTGTGAAACATTCCATTAATTTAATTTTTTATCTTAAATTTTTTAAATTAAAAAAAGGAAATGAGCTATCAAGCCATGAAAAGACACTGAGGAAACTTAAATGTATAATATATTATTACATGAAAGAATCCAATCCGAAAAGGCTACATACTATATGATTCCAACTCTGTGACATTCCGGAAAAGGCAAAAACTATGGAGACAGTAAAAAGATCCATGGTTGCCAGGGGTTAGCGAGGAGAGAGGGATGAAAGAGCAAAGCATAGAGGATTTTTAGGTCAGTGAAACTACTCTGCATTATACTATAATAGTGGATACATGTCATTATACATTTGTCCAAACTCATAGAATTTACAACACCAAGAGTGAGGCCTAATGTAAACTATGAACTTTGGGTGATTATGATGTGTCAGTGTAGGTTCATCGACTGTAATAACTGTATCACTTTAGTGGGGAATGTTGATAGTAGGGGAGGCTGTGCGTTTAAGGAAGCAGGGGGGTCCTATGGGAAAATTCCACCTTCCACTAAATTTTGTTGTGAATCTAAAATTGCTCTAAAAAATGGAGTCAGGCCAGGTATGGTGGTTCAAGCCTGTAATGCCAGTATTTTGGGAGGCTCAAGGCCAGCTGAGTAACATAGCGAGACCCCCATCTCTACAAAAATCAAGCAAAAAACTGGCTGAGCGTGATGGCACATGCCTTTAGTCCCAGCTACGTGGGAGGCTGAGGCAGGAGGATCGATTGAGCCCAGGAGGATGAGTCTGCAATGAGGCATGATCATGTTGCTGTATTCCAACCTGGGTGACAGATGAGACCCTGTCTCTTTAAAAAAAAAAAGAAAAAGAAAAAAAGAAAGAAGGAAGAAAGAAGAAAGAAGAGGAAGAAGAAGGAGAAGGAGGAGGAGGAGGAGGAGAAGAAGAAGAAGAAGAAGAAGAAGAAGAAGAAGAAGAAGAAGAAGAAGAAGAAGAAGAAGAAGAAGAAGAAGAAGAAGAGGAAGAAGAAGAAGGAAATGGAGTCTGTTTTAAAAGGGCAGGGAGGTGGATAGTGTAGGAAGAGCCTAAAGGAGATAGACAAGAATCCTCAATTTCATCATTAATGCAAGGACAAGCCATTGAAGGGCTTTGAGGAATGCAAGAATGACAAGCTCTGAATTACCTTTTAACATAATCACTTTGGCTGCTGTGTGAAGAACAGACTGGAGGGAATCATGGTGGGAGCTCGGAGAACAGAACAGAAAGCTGTTAATGCAGTTTAGATTAGCTAATAAGGACTTAGGCTACAAGAAAGGCAGTAAAGATGGAAAGACGTGCTAAATTAAAAGTAATCTTTGGGAGGGAAAATTGACAGGACGTGGCAATGGATCAAATGTGTGGGTTGAAAGAAAAGCAAGAATGATGTCAAAGTTTTGGGATAAGCAACTAGAAGCCATTTTCTAGATAAAGGGATGAACAAAGTTGAAGCTAGTTTGAAAAGCAGGATGAAGGTTCACCTTTGAGCACTTTAAGTCTGAAGCTCCTGGTAGTGCCCCACACTTAGCAGGTGGTCAGGTTGCTCATCTGCTGTTGTTACTATTGTTTTTGTTATGAGCAGAATAGGGTAGGTGAAATACTAGACACATTCATTATTTTTTAAAAATATTTTTCAGCTCTCCCTCTCCCTCCCCCTCCCCCTCACCCTCTCCCTCACCCTCTCCCTCTCCCCACGGTCTCCCTCTGATGCCAAGCCAAAGCTGGACTGTACTGCTGCCATCTCGGCTCACTGCAACCTCCCTGCCTCATTCTCCTGCCTCAGCCTGCCGAGTGCCTGCAATTTGCAGGCGCGCGCCGCCACGCCTGACTGGTTTTCGTATTTTTTTGGTGGAGACGGGGTTTCGCTGTGTTGGCCGGGCTGGTCTCCAGCTCCTAACCGCGAGTGATCCGCCAGCCTCCGCCTCCCGAGGTGCCGGGATTGCAGACGGAGTCTGCTTCACTCAGTGCTCAATGGTGCCCAGGCTGGAGTGCAGTGGCGTGATCTCGGCTCGCTACAACCTCCACCTCCCAGCCGCCTGCCTTGGCCTCCCAAAGTGCCGAGATTGCAGCCTCTGCCCGGCCGCCACCCCATCTGGGAAGTGAGGAGCGTCTCTGCCTGGCCGCCCATCGTCTGGGACGTGAGGAGCCCCTCTGCCTGGCTGCCCAGTCTGGAAAGTGAGGAGCGTCTCTGCCCGGCCGCCATCCCATCTAGGAAGTGAGGAGTGCCTCTTCCCGGCCACCATCCCATCTAGGAAGTGAGGAGCGTCTCTGCCCGGCCGCCCATCGTCTGAGATGTGGGGAGCGCCTCTGCCCCGCCGCCCCGTCTGGGATGTGAGGAGCGCCTCTACCCGGCCGCAACCCCGTCTGGGAGGTGAGGAGCGTCTCTGCCCGGCCGCCCCGTCTGAGAAGTGAGGAGACCCTCCGCCTGGCAACCGCCCCGTCTGAGAAGTGAGGAGACCCTCCGCCCGGCAACCGCCCCGTCTGAGAAGTGAGGAGACCCTCCGCCCGGCAGCCGCCCCGTCTGAGAAGTGAGGAGCCCCTCCGCCCGGCAGCCGCCCCGTCTGAGAAGTGAGGAGCCCCTCCGCCCGGCAGCCGCCCCGTCTGAGAAGTGAGGAGCCCCTCCGCCCAGCAGCCACCCCGTCTGGGAAGTGAGGAGCGTCTCCGCCCGGCAGCCACCCCGTCCGGGAGGGAGGTGGGGGTCAGCCCCCGCCAGGCCAGCCGCCCCGTCTGGGAGGGAGGTGGGGGGGTCAGCCCCCCGCCCGGCCAGGCGCCCCGTCCGGGAGGTGAGGGGTGCCTCTGCCCGGCCGCCCCTACTGGGAAGTGAGGAGCCCCTCTGCCCGGCCAGCCACCCCGTCCGGGAGGGAGGTGGGGGAGGTCAGCAACCCGCCCGGCCAGCAGCCCCGTCCGGGAGGTGAGGGGCGCCTCTGCCCGGCCGCCCCTACTGGGAAGTGAGGAGCCCCTCTGCCCGGCCAGCCGCCCCATCCGGGAGGGAGTTGGGGGGGTCAGCCCCCAGCCCGGCCAGCCGCCCCGTCCGGGAGGTGAGGGGCGCCTCTGCCCGGCCGCCCCTACTGGGAAGTGAGGAGCCCCTCTGCCCGGCCACCACCCCGTCTGGGAGGTGTACCCAACAGCTCATTGAGAACGGGCCATGACGACAACGGCGGTTTTGTGGAATAGAAAGTGGGGAAAGGTGGGGAAAAGATTGAGAAATCGGATGGTTGCCGTGTCTGTGTAGAAAGAGGTAGACATGGGAGACTTTTCATTTTGTTCTGTACTAAGAAAAATTCTTCTGCCTTGGGATCCTGTTGATCTGTGACCTTACCCCCAACCCTGTGCTCTCTGAAACATGTGCTGTGTCCACTCAGGGTTAAATGGATTAAGGGCGGTGCAAGACGTGCTTTGTTAAACAGATGCTTGAAGGCAGCATGCTCGTTAAGAGTCATCACCACTCCCTAATCTCAAGTACCCAGGGACACAAACACTGCGGAAGGCCGCAGGGTCCTCTGCCTAGGAAAACCAGAGACCTTTGTTCACTTGTTTATCTGCTGACCTTCCCTCCACTATTGTCCTATGACCCTGCCAAATCCCCCTCTGCGAGAAACACCCAAGAATGATCAATTAAAAAAAAAAAGAAACTCAGGGAGACAGACAGTAAGTGAAAGGAAAGAATAAAATAACCTCTGCTCACATTTGGAAAAAAAAAAATATTTTTCAGAAGTCAAAAGAATAGATGCAGAATCCTATAATTTCCCTGCCATCCCTGTCTCACAACCTGTCATAGTGTCTTTTTAATTTTTTTTTTTCTTTTTGAGACAGTCTCGCTCTGTCACTCAGACTGGAGTGCAGTGGCGTGATCTTGGCTCACTGCAATCTCCACCTCCTGGGTTCAAGTGATTCTCCCGCCTCAGCCTCCCTAGTAGCTGGAATTACAGGCACACACCATCACACCCAGTTAATTTTTGTATTTTTAGTGGAGATGGGGTTTCACCATGTTGCCAGGCTGGTCTTGATCTCCTGACCTCAAGTGATCCACCCACCTCGGCCTCCCAAAGTGCTGGGATTACAGGGTGAGCCTCCATACCCGGCCTAAAGTGTCTTGAATCCTTATACTCATTAAAAGCCACTGGGGTTTATGTCTCAGTCACATTTGTCACAGCTCTGCAGAGACCACTCTGAAAAATCTGCTGGAATGCATTCATGTTAGTTTTCAGTAAATAAATCATTGTGCCCAAAGATCCAAAACAATGAATTAATTTTAATAAGAAAGCTTAATTTAATAAGAGACTCTCTAGTATTACTCTTCCAAAACAGCGGTTCTCAAAGTGTATTCCCCAGACCCACAGCTTCAGTATCTCCAGAGAACTTGTTAGAAATGCAAATCTTTGGGCCCCATCCCTTTTACCTACTGAATCAGAAACTCCGGGGGATGAGCCCAACACTCTGTTATCACAAGCCCTCCAGGTGACTCTGATGCTTGTTCAAGTTAGAGAATCACTAATCGATGGCCCGGCGCGGTGGCTCATGCCTGTAATCCCAGCACTTTGAGAGGCTGAGGCAGGCGAATCACCTGAGATCAGGAGTTTGAGATCAGCCTGGCCAACATAATGAAACCTCATCTATACTAAAAATACAAAATTGGGATACAAATACAATTTGTATTTGTATTTGCTGTATAAAAATACAAAACTGGGATTATAGGTGTAAGCCACCGTACCTGGCCAATAGCAATATTTACATCTGCATGAACAAAAATACAGAAGAAAAGGGTTCTGTTTATTGACAGTAGGCGTGGCACATCCCCAAAGCAGGGGATTGGGAGGTAAGTGTGCTTACCTGACAGATGCCACTGATACACATGTCCAAGGAGTCCGTGTTGCAACGAGTTCCATCCAGTACCTTAGGTGCCAGCTCCACCACCAAGTTTTGTCCTTGTGCATGACACTTGAGTGCACACGGGGCAGCAGGATCATTATATCGTGGAAGCCATTCATAGTAATGCCCCTGATACTGGACATCATTGTAGGCTGAGCACTGCTGGGCTCTGAAATCTTCTGCATCTGGAGGGCAGTCCTGGGGGCAGAGGGAAAAGGCCACATGCACATCACCCAGTGAGAGAGGCCAAGAGAAGATGAAATAAGTTCACCAGAATCTCATGAGACCACACCTCACTTGCCTCTCTCTGGGAGTCACCTAATTCCCTCTTTTTTTTTTTTTTTTTTGATTCAACGTTGAATGTATGCTATGAAATTCCACAGAGATCACTGCAATAATTATTTATACAGGAGATTATCTCATTATTCTGATCATTCACCCACCCAGGTATTTTTTCCAGATAATTAGAGCCTACAAGACTTAGATGGCAAACTTTGCCCTATTTTAACCATCTTGAATATAAATTTTCAAATGCATTATCTAATCTCCTTCCTTTTAAAACAAGGGAAACCAAATGCTTTCAATTTTTCCAGGTGATTCAAGGATTCAAGGTCTTCATCAAAATTTAATTGTTATCCATGCCTTCAGGAGCCATTTCAATGTGAAGGATTATTAGCCCAAAACTGCTGTGCTCTGTGAGCACTTGTGGTTGTTTCTTTGTCATTGTTTTTTTTTTTTTTTTTTTGAGACGGAGTGTCACTCTGTCGCCAGGCTGGAGTGCAGTGGCTCGGCTCACTGCAACCTCCGCCTCCCAGGTTCAAGCGATTCTCCTGCTTCAGCCCCCCTGAGTAGCTGGGACTACAGGCGCCCGCCACCACGCCCAGCTTATTTTTGTATTTCTAGTAGAGACGGGGTTTCACCACGTTGGCCAGGATGGTCTGGCTCTCCCACCTCATGATCCACCTGTGTCGGCCTCCCAAAGTGCCAGGATTAAAGGCGTGAGCCACAGTGCCCGGCCTGTCGTTGTTTTTAATTCATCTGTCTTTCCTCCCGTCAGGCTCCCTCCCATCTCTTCACTGGTACCAAGTACCTGCCTTCAACTGGCTGTAGGATGGACGGCAGAAAACATAGCTTGTTCAAATTCTGTCTACAACAAAAGCAAATAAATTCTAAGTACATGCCTTCAGTTGCTCTCATAATAAAAAGTGTTTGTACAAATATTGATGACTCATCGGTCTTTTTACTAAATTACTGATTCCGCCCACCAGATATTTCCAAAGCAAGATACTAGTTGAGAAAAGTATTACTTTACTCATCAAAAATCTACTTTTGATATGCAAACTTCATAATTAAAGACAACAGGTAGAAAAAAGCAACATAGCCGCCAGGCGTGGTGGCTCACGTCTGTAATCCCAGCACTTTGGGTGGCTGAGGCGGGCCGATCACCTGAGGTCAGGAGCTCCAGACCAGCCTGGCCAAAATGGTGAAACCCCGTCTCTGTGAAAAATACAAGAATTAGCTGGGTGTGGTGGCGCATGCCTGTAGTCCCAGCTGTTCATGAGGCTGAGGCAGGAGAATTGCTTGAACCTGGGAGGTGGAGGCTGCAGTGAGCCAAGATTGTGCCACTGCACTCCAGCCTGAGTGACAGAGCGAGACTCTGTTGCCAAAAAAACAAAACAAAAAAACCACACCATAAAGTATTTTATTATTTTTTTGTATTATAAAGGTAATAAATATTCATTCTAAAAACTTTGGAAAATAGTTTCTACTCAACAAAAGAATAAATAACATAGATCTTTGTATCTAAATCTTCACACAAATCTTGATTATTTACCAAGGACTTCTTTCTGGAAATAAAATTTCTGAGTCCAAGGTTATGCACATTTTATAGACTATTCAAAATATTGCAAAATTGCCCTCCATTATAATTTTCTAGTTTTTTTTCCAATCAGAAGTATAAAATATAACTTCATTGTTTTCGTTTGCGTTTTCTTTTTGAAATAGAGTCTTGCTTTGTCACCTAGGCTGGACCTCCCAGGTTCAAGTGATTCTCCTGTCTCAGCCTCTCGAGTAGCTGGGATTACAGGTGCCCGCCACCATGCCCAGCTAATTTTTTTGTATTTTTATTAGAGATGGGGTTTCACCATGTTGGCCAGGCTGGTCTCAAACTTCTGACCTCAAGTGATTCACCCACCTCAGCCTCCCAAAGTGTTGGGATTACAGGTGTGAGCCACCGCGCCCAGCTTGCATTTTCTTTTTATTGTTTAATATATTTTCATGTGTATTTGCTTTTTGTATTAATTCTTCAAAAATGTCTTGTTTTATATCCTTTATCCATTGGCATTTTTGTCTTTTTATTATTTTCAGCAGATGAAACTATTAAACTTCATAGTGAAATTATCAACTCTTTGTCATTTCTGTTGGAAATATTTTCCCCATTTCATTTTGGTTTTGGTACTTTGTAAAGTCAAAAAGTTTTACATTTTCATGCAGTCAGCTCTATTAATATTTCCCGTTCAGGTTTCTTTCTTTTTTAATGGGCTTAGAAATGTTTTCCCACTCTGCTCTGAGAACAGATAAATACTTAAATGTATCTTCCTAGTTCCTTTACAGATTAGCAGTCATGTTTAACTATTTGTTATATTTGGAATTTATTTAGATGAATGGTTTAAGTTAGAAATCTAGCTTTTCTTTTTCCACAAATAGATATTGATAAATTATCAGCCAAGATTTTTAAATACAGTTTTCCTCTTTTTGCTACTTCACGTTTGTATTTTATTGTTTACACTTTTGGCCTTTATAAACTTCCTTAAATCCTTTTTGGAAGTAGATAGGGAATAGATAGAATATAATTAACAAACATTCTTCTGAGATTAGTTGTATTATTTTGCTGTGAAACATTCCAAAATCCTATATTGCATCCACATTTTTGTTGTCTTAGCAAAATTAAACCAGGTTACACTCCTAGAAGCAAGTCAAACTGAAGAAGACTAAAACTGGATGACTTTTTCTTTAGTCAGGGTCTTACTCTGTCACCCAGGATGGAGCGCAGTGGCATGATCATGGCTCACTGCAACCTCGACCTCCAGAGCTCAGGTTTTCCTCCCACCTCAGCCTCCCAGGTAGCTGGGGCTACAGGCACGAGCCACTACATCCAGCTAATTTTTTGTAGAGACAGTTTTGCCATGTTGCCCACGCTGGTCTCAAACTCCTGGGCTCAGGCAATCTGCCTGCCTTGGCCTCCCAAAGTGCTGGGATTACAGGCATGAACCACCGTGCCAGGCCAGATGACTTTCCTCTGTTGAAATGAGGACTGTATCCTCCATCTGGCCATAGGAAGGATCATCAGTTACAAAATTACATCACCTCCTCTTCCTCCAGCCACAGCTAGTTTTCTCTATATCTCACTCTTTGAAACCAACCAAAGGAAAGTGTCTAAGAGAGCAGGATGCAAGCAACTTCTTTGCATTAGGCTCAATGGCAAGCATTCTCTAGGGACTGAATGTGCCGGCTAGCTAACTCTCGACTCCCTTAAACATAAACCAATGAAGTTTCACAAAATTAACAAGAGTTAATTAGCGGAAGACACCTTAGGATGTCAGCCTCAGGGTGGCCAGATTTGTACATGTGACCAGCCCCCTTGGCCACAGCTGACTATCCAGAGGCAAACATCTGGTCCACACCAGGTCAATCTTTCCCAGAAATTTGCGATTGCAACAAAAGAGCTGGAGCTAAGAGAGCTAAGAACTCATATCAATCTGGGGTTGGACTGGCCATTTCTTTTATAAGATTCATGTTGAAGCAAAGCAAGCCAGTTCCCACAGCAAAGAAGAATGAATTCGGTAAGAAAGGAGGAGGAAAGACAGTAAACTATGCATTTAAATAGGAATAAGTAACCTGTGTTCCTCATTTTCTGATTTCTGGCTCCAGGCCCTCAAGGCCTGCTTATGCTTAAATTCTCTTAAAAACCCACATATCCATCCAGTGAATCCCCTTTGTCCTGAGCTAATCTAAGTGGACTTCTGTTCTTAGCATATGATGCTATCTGATTAAGGCAGCCTGATATCCGGATCATGCTTTTTAGTTTCCCAGGGGTAATCACTGACATTCTCTTTTTACCACCACCCTTTGAACTAGGTAGGTCAGGATTATTACCCTCACTCTATAAATGGAGAAAACTGTGACCTAGAAAGTTTTTAGCCACTAGTCCAAAGACACACACTAGGATATGACAAAGCCAAGACTGATTCTCAAAGTAACAAGCACTCTATTATAGAATACTGCTTTCTAGTAAATGTGGGGGACGCTGACTGCTTACAATAAATGCTTTCATTCACTTCACATTCTTCCAGTGTCAACGCTAAACTTGCCTAATCTGGCTCAGCTAGGTCCCATGTCCCAGCTCAAGACAAGCTAGGGATTCTTGTGTCTTAAACAGTCTATTTGACATTTAGGGAGCAAAATGCCAAACATTCTTCTGCTTTCCTTTCCCTAAGAAGCATTTTTTTCCTATCAGTTAAGTTGAAGACAACACTTATTTATGAAATATACTTGATGGGCTTTGCCCTAGGTCACGTGCTAGGGAGAACACACAAAAAAAAATATAATCCACCACTGTCATTCAATGAGCTTGTTATCTTATTGGAGATGTAGCTTCTATACGCATGAAACACACTGAACAAGTGTTATCACTGGTATTTGTAGACTTTAAGTAGGAATGCAATGAAGGGCACAGAATTGTTATCCAAGAGTTAAGTTGTACAATTGATTAGATGAAGTTAATAAGAATAGATTCCATATCAGCAAGACTTGACTCTAACCTGATAGAAGTAATAAAAAGGAAGTGTCAGTCAGTGCAGGTAGCCAGTCTGGGAAGCTCAGAAAAGAAGAAAGAGGAGGAGAAGGATAGGAGGAAGAGAAGAGGATGGAGAGGAGGAGAAGGGAAGAGAAAGGAAGAGGAGGCAGCTGCCACAGCCAACAAATGACAAAAGGCACCCATTTCCCAAACCATCTTGAAAACAAGGTCTCCTTCCCCTCCTAAAACCATGGGGATATGTAAAACCTGGGGGCAACTTATGTATAGAAGCCAGGAATGAAAGATTATCTAATAAACTGAGTACTTTTATGCAAGAGAGACAGGCCATTACCTGAGATTATTTATATAATAGGACTGGACCAAGCTTTCATGTAGATCAGACATTTAGGCAATCCCCCTCCCAATCCCCTCTCCCAATAACCAGCAAGTAGGGACTCAGGAGAAATAATATTGTTGCTACAAGCAAATTTTAAAATTTTATTTTAACTTCATATCCAAGTTGTACTATGAGCTAAATTTTGTGATTCTTTCATATAACAAATGACAACATTTCTAGCATAAAAATAAATTGTTGGTGGCCACTGTAAGCTAGAGTTGGCAAATAAGGAATTGTGGAAAAGTGAAATCTCAGATGGATTTAAAGGATGGTGTGATGTAAACAGGATAAGATTCGGGAAACGACGTAACAAAAGAGAAACAGCAGAAATAAATTCGTTATCCATAAGGAGCAGTGTGCAGCCTTGTCCAGAAAGGGTGGAAGTTGGGAGTTTAAATAAGAGATAAATCTTACCTGAAGATAAGAAGGTCCTTGAATGCAAGTGAGGAGATTTAAAAGCAATAAGGATCCACGGAGGGGACTAAAATATAAAAGATGGCATTTTAGGAACAGTATAATCGCAAGATGGCCTGGAAGTCTGGAGACAGACATGAGAGGGGGTGACTCTTGCCCAGAGTAGGACTAATGACAAGGAAAAGAAAAGAACACCTTCAAGAGAAATACTGAATGGAAAATTGTCAGATTCTAGCCATTCATAGGATCCAGGTATGAGGGATCCCGCAATGGTCACATCAAATGTCCCTTCTGTAAAGTCAAGAAGGAGCCCTGGGAGCCCCGTCTGCAAGTACACCAGGCCTCCCTCTGTGCTCATATAAAAATGTGTTCATGCCACAAAAACATCCTTACCAAATTATGATACACTTATCTTAAAATTATTTTCCCTTTGCCTCTTCCAGCATTGCCTTTAATCCTATAAACCCTGGTATAAAAACATGACTCATCAGTGAATTCAGGTATTAGACCTCCCTGCTGACATGCATGACTTCTCTTAGGAATTCTCCATTTGCTCCAAAATACCCCTGATAAGGATAATTCTTTATCTAGGGCTCAGGGGCCAGTCTCTGGCTATAAAGATATATGCTAAGTGCTGATCAGCAGGTTATGTCTGAAGACAGCAGTCACCCAGGAGCCATGGCACTGTACCCAGGCATGTTCTGTTCCATAATCTTTCAGGCCCAAAGCCCAAATCCCCATCTCCCCTGACAGAGTGAACCTGAGGAGAGCCACTGAACCAAAGTCTGAATTGTCAGGGAGAGTGGTGTGGTCCTCGTGGCCTGGATATGTCTTCCGCTCCTGCCATTTGAGGCATGATCTCCTGCACACCAGGAGTGGAATTTCTTCATCTTCATCTATGTGCTGTGAATGCATGTCCCTATTACAACTAGATTTCATAACAAAAGAACATTTGATCTTTTCTTGAGTGACTGAATTTTTTTTTCTTTAGTGTCTTCTGCTGAGGTGGGTAGAATTCTGAAATGCAACTGTCAGAGTCTGTCCTCGTTAAGTCAGATCCTCCCCTATGCTAGGGATCCACCCCAGGCTGCTGGAGTAGTGGAAAACGAATAGCCATGGAGGATTTCCTTTCTCTGACTCCCTTCAGTTGCGTCTCTTTCAGTTAATTCCCTGCTCTTCCCTGATCTCTGGCCCTTGCCAACTAAGATTATTTAGAAGGTCTGACCTACTGTTCCACAGTTAGATTTTCTACAATGGTATCTGGAAGTATAATGTGTCTCCAAAACCACAGCAATTCTTGTGCTCACGTGTTGCTAAAAGCTACCATGCTTTAGCTACTGCTGTCTGCACCATCATTTTATTATCTGACAAAGGTTACAGCCTTTCCATACTCTTGTACAGTGTAGTAGAGTGGTTAGGTGTGCACTCACCGAAACCTGACTGTCTGAGGTTAAATTCGGTTCTGTGACCTTGGGCAGGTTACTTAAATCTCCTCTGTAAATGTGGAAATAAAAATAGCACGTACTTCTCAGGGTTAGTGTGAGGATTACATTAATTTATACATGAAATGGCACTTAGAATAATGCCTAGCATTCAGGAAGTACTTAATAAGTATGAGCTACTATTATTATTACTATTTCAGTTAAGTGTGAGGAAGTCAACACGTATAGACAACAACCCATGGTCTTAAGGCTGACAGCCTGAGCCTTCAGGCATTCCCATGGAGAAACAGAACTTTTAGCAATCTCTGGAATATGATCCAGTGTTAGATCTCCAAGGCTCACTAACAGAAACACCTCCTTCTCCATACAGCAGACTACTCTGATAGAGACTGAGTTTGGCCATTGATGATGACATCTCTTGGATGGGACTGAAAAGACCCTGCCGTCCCTTAATACAGGGCTTTTACGGTCCTGGAAGTATAGGTGTAGGCATGTTTGAATCAGGGGGCAAGTATCCCTCAAAAGAACTCCTCATCTTAGAATCACTAAAGGCAACTTCCTTCAAAAGAGTGAATGACCATCCCCATTTCCAGGTAAAATGAACTCCACTAACCACTGAACTAGTGTGGCCAGTCTTCAGTAAGGCATTGAATGGCAGTGGGAAGGCAGTGAGAAGTAACAGCAGGGGGATGCTCATCAGAACTTGGTCCTCTCCCACTTGAGGTGGGGTGGGTTGCAGACTGGTCCCCACTCCTGCTATGGTGAGGTGGATATTTTGAGCCCCCAATTAATAAAGCAGGAAGCAGTTCAAGTAATTACATGGAAAAAAAGATACAACCATATTCATACTCCAAGTTCATTGTGGTTACATCCACTTATGGCACTCAACATGTTTGCAATGTTTCTATAGTATATTCAGGAATATACTTGCATAATCTCTCCTGTGCAGGAATGGACTCTTACAGATTATCAACACTGAAGCTGGGGCTGCATTTATGCACCTCTGGTTTGCAACACAGCTTGGGCGTGCACAGCTGCAGATACTGTGGCACGTGGAGACAAAGGGATGCTCTGGACACTTCCACTGCCACAACCTTCCCTTATTTTACAAATAAGGAATTTTGTTGGAAATTCTGAGTTTGCAATGACAAGCATAGCAACTGATGCTATATTCTTATGAAACCTCTCTTAGGACTCTCTAAGGATTCCAACTCTGAGAACTAAAAAGGGCAGCATTTGCTTCTCCACCTCCTTCCTACTCTACCCCAAGCATCTATTTCTTACCAACCTAGAAACATTTCTGCCGCATTCTCCCAGAGGGACCATAAATTAGAGACCACAGGTAACCCCCAAGGCCCAGAGAGCTTCAGGGGCATCATATCTTCACTCGAGTATACCAAAGTCCTAACCATTGCACCTCATGTGCATAATTTTAGCAGATTACATTTTATGTCTGTACTATGTGGCATAATACTCTAACACTTGTGTTGATAATAGGTTCCTTTTTGGAATTAGCTAGAGCAGAGTGATACACACACAGAGAAACTCTAGAATGAGATCCCAAAATGTAACACCTTGATCTGGGGTTTAAAATGAATTGTTTTAAATAGTTTCACAAATTATTGCTGGAAATCATACTGTTTTGAAATTTGTTCTTGAATGACTACAAGGAAATTGTCAGACCAAAGAAAACTTTAGCTATCCCATTGTGTTGGGCAAAATAATGCACCACCTTGGCCCACAAGATGTCCATGACCTAACCCCTGGAACCTGCGACTATGTTATCTTACATGGCAAAAGGATCTTTGCACATATAACTAAAGTTAGAGACCTCGAGACGGAGAAATTATCTAGGATTATCCAGGTGGGAGAACAATGCCCAGCTGTGGTCACAGGAAGATATGACTACAGAAAAATGTTCAGTCTGGGTGCGGTGGCTCATGCCTGTAATCCCAGCACTTTGGGAGGCCGAAGTGGGCGGATCACTTGAGGTCAGGAGTTCAAGACCAGCCTGGCCAATATGGTGAAACCCTGTTTCTACTAAAAATACAAAAATTAGCTGGGCATTCTGGTTAGCATCTGTAATCCCAGCTGCTCAGGAGGCTGAGGCAGGAGAATCGCTTGAACCCGGGAGGCAGAGGTTTCAGTGAGCTGAGATCGTGCCACTGTACCCCAGCCTGGGTGATAGAGTGAGACTCAGTCTCAAAAGAAAAATAAAAGAAAAAGAAAAATGTTCAAACAGATGCAGCATTGCTGGCTTTGAAGACTGAAGAAGGAATCACAAGCCAAGGAATATGGGTGGCCTCTAGAAGCTGGGAAAAAAAGGAAATTAATTTTTCCCTAGGCCTCCAGAATGATGTAGCCCTGCCTATATGTTAGTTTTAGCCCAGTAGGACCTGTGTCAGACTTCGGGCCTTCAGAACCGTAAGATAATACATTTGTCTTGTTTTAAGCCACTATATTTATAGTAATATGTTACCACAACAATAAAAACAACTAATGCACCCATGAAAAAGGTGGTAGAACTCTGAGGTTGCTAATGCACCCACATGCTTGTTTAAAAGGAAGGCTAGACTACGTTGGCACTGACATACTTGCCTTTGTGTTCAGTCTCTCTCTCTCCCTCCTACATGCCCCATCTG
This sequence comes from Homo sapiens, assembly GCF_000001405.40. Lineage (NCBI taxonomy): Eukaryota > Metazoa > Chordata > Mammalia > Primates > Hominidae > Homo > Homo sapiens. The sequence goes on along the minus strand of NC_000015.10, from coordinate 83,810,318 downwards.
GACTTCCAGCATTCACAATGAATGAATGTTAATTCAGCATTCACAAGCAGGTGTGTTGCTCAACATCAAGTGTGATTCAATTCAAATCACCAGAGATGTGAAGCATTTGCATCGTGCTCCAAAATCCCTCTGAGGACTCGGTTGATAAAAATCTGGTTACTTCTGGCTAAGTGATATTTGAGTTTGAGTGCCCCAGTAAATAGGCACCCATTTTTTCCCATTCAAGTTTGGAACCAGTGGAGAGATACAGATAGAAATGTCAGCTTCATCGTTGATAGAAATGGACTGCAAATATGGCTTGAGCTCTCAGTCAAAAGGTGTTGCTAAAGACTGCCAGCTTTCTACTCCCATAGAACTCGGGGGCCTACCCACCAAGAAAAAACTTGATCCACAGATTAGAAACCCTTACCCAGGACTGATGTCTCACACTGGCTTGGGACAGAGAAGGGAGAAAGACAGACAAAGCTCCAGTAATTGATCTTTTAAAATAAATTAGTTACAGCCAATTGAGAAAAGTGGATAAAAATAAATCAATCTCATTTGAAATGAGATCTCCTGATTTTCAGAATTTCCTTTTAATTCCTGTCATTTTGATTTGGGTCTATACCACCAATGAGGGAAATGTTTTTAAAACTTTTAATAAACACATAAAATGTCATGGTTAGTGATTGCCTGGGGCCGACACATAGTCAGTAAAGGAATTTACCAAGACAGTAACGAGTCTGGAAAGGCAGATCTATTTAAAGAAAAGGGGAGATACACTGCCAGTGAGCAATGGGCAATACAGCAGAGGGAAGGCTGTCTGCTGTCTGCAAAGAGGCAGGGACTGCAAGGGAGTTTTTTAGGTTGTGCTACTTGGGCTGAATGTTTGCAGACAGGATGCTTGGTGCAGGTGGGCTGTGATTTGGATGCTTGTAACAGGATGCTTGGGTGCTAGTGAGCCATTTGCAGTTGACCCTATTTCTCAGAACATTTGTTCCTCTCTACCCCCTATTTCTGTTTCTGCCAGCTAAGCCCATTTTTCAGTTTTCTTTCAACTCCTTAGGGCTCCACAAATTGCACATATTTATGGGGTACAACGTGATGTTTCAATACATGTATACATTATATAATGAACAAATTAGGGTCATTAGCATGTTCACCACCTCAAAAATTTATCATTTCTTTGTGGTGGGAACATTCGAGATCCTCTCTTCTGGCTAAATTGAGATATACAATGTCTTGCTGTTTACTATAGCTACTCCACTGTGCAACAGGACACCAAAAATCATCCTTCCTTCCTAGTTGTAACTTTCTTGACTAACCTCTCCCAATCTCTACCTGCCCCCTGTCCTCCCCAGTCTCTGGTAACCACTGGTTTATTGCCTACTTTTAAGATATCAAGTTGTTTTTTTTTTTTTTTTGGATTCCACGTATGAATGAGATTATGTGGTATTTGTCTTTCTGTGCCTGGATTATTTCACTTAACATAATATCCTCTAGATTCATCCATGTCACAAATGACAGCATTTCCTTCTTTTTACGGCTGCATAGTATTTCATTGTGTATATATACCACATTTTCTTTAACCATTCATTCACTGTTGGACATTTAAGTTGATTCCATACCTTGGCTATTGTGAATAGTGCTACAATAAACACGTGAGTGAGGATGTCTCTGTGATATACTGATTTCATTTCCTCTGAATATATAATCAGTAATGGGATTGCTGGATCATATTGTAGTTCTATTTTTTAAATTTTGAGGAACTCCATACTATTTTCCACAAACACTGAACTAATTTACATTCCCACTAATAGCAATAAGGGTTCCCTTTTCTCCACATCCTCAGGAACACTTGTGTCTTTTGTCTTTGTGATAATAATCATTTTAAGTGGAATGAGGTGATATAGTGGTTTTGATTTGTATTTCTCTGATGATTAGTGATGTTAAGCATTTTTTCATACACCTGGGTTGGTATTTATGTTTTCTATTGAGAAATGTCCATTAAGGCCTTTTGCCCATTTTTAAATCAAATTATTTGTTTTGGGTTTCTTTGCTATTGAGTTGTTTGAATTCCTTATATATTCTAAATATTTCCGTGTCCAGCTGTCTAGTTTGCAAATATTTTCTCCCATTCTTCAGGTTATCTCTTTACTCTTGTTTCCTTCGATGTACGTAAGCTTTGTAGTTTAATATAATCCCATTTGTCTATTTTTGCTTTTATTGTCTGTGCTTTTGAGGTCATATTTTAAAAATCCTTACCCAGTCCAACGTCATGAAGCATTTTCTCTGTTTTCTTCTATCAGTTTCTTATTTTCAAGTCTTACATTTAAGTCTTTACTTCATTTTTAGTGGATTTTGTACACGGTGAGAGATAGGGGTCCAGTTTTATTCTTCTGCATATAGATATCCAATTTTCCCAGCACAGTTTATTGAAGACACTGTCCTTTCCCCAGTGTGTATTCTTGGCACCCTTGTGAAAATCAGTTGGCTGTAGGTATGTGGACTTATTTCTGGACTCTCTAATCTGTGCCACTGATCTATGTGTATTTTTTCACCAATGTCATGCTGTTTTAGTTACTATCACTTTGTCATATATTTTGAAGTCAGGTAGTGTGATGCCTCCAGTTTTGTTTTTTGTGTGTTTGTTTGTTTTTAATCAAGATTGCTTTGGGTGTTCAGAGTCTTTTTGTGATTCTATACAAGTTTTAGGATTTCTTTTTTTCTGTGAAGAATGTCACTGGAATTTTAACAGGGATTGTATTAAATCTGTATATCACTTTGGATAGTAAGGACATTTTAACAATATGAATTTTTCCAATCCATGAACACCTCTTTTTGCACCCTCTTTATTTCATTACTGTTTTGATTTATTTATTTATTGAGACAGTCTCGCACTGTCACCTAGGCTGGAGTGCAATGGCACAACCTCAGCTCACTGCAACTCCCACCTCCCGGGTTCGAGTGATTCTCCTGCCTCAGCCTCCCAAGTAGCTGGGATTACGATTGCCCACCACCACACCCAGCTAATTTTTTGTATTTTTAGTAGAGATGGAGTTTCACTATGTTGGCCAGGCTAGTTTTTGAATTCCTGACCTCGTGATCCACCTGCCTCAGCCTCCCAAAGTGCTGGGATTACAGGCGTGAGCCACCATGCCCGGCCATTAATGCTTTATAATTTTTAATGCAAAGATCTTTTACCTTCTTGGTTAAATTTATTCCTGAATATCTTACTTTTTTGTAGCTCTTGTAAATATAGCTATTGTAAATTCAAATGATTTCATTAAATTTTTTATCTGTGTTCTTCTGTATCTCACAAGTTTCCCTAAGATCACTACTTTGAATTCTTTTTCTGGCATTTTGTAAGTTTCCTTTTCTTTGGAGTTTGTTACTCAAGAATTATATTCCTTTGAAGGTGTCATGTTTCTTTGCTTTCTAAAGTTTCTTGTGTATCTACTTTGTTTTGTTTTTTGCTTGCTTGTTTGAGATGGAATCTGGTTCTGTCACCCAGGCTGGAGTGCAGTGGTGTGATCTCAGCTCACTGCAACCTCCACCTCTCAGGTTCAAGCAATTCTCCTGCCTCACCTCCCAAGTAGCTGGGATTACAGGTGAGTGCCACCACACCTGGCTGATTTTTGTATTTTTCGTAGAGACAGAGTTTCACCATGTTGGCCAGGCTTGTCTTAAACTCCTGACTTCAAGTTACCTGCCCACCCCAGCCTCCCAAAGTGCTGGGATTACAGACATGAGCCACCACACCCAGCCTTGTGTATCTACTTTGATATCTGTGCATCTGCTGAATTCGTTTTTGCTTCCAATTTTACAGAGTAGCTTTTATAAGGAAAGACTTTTCCCTAAAGATGTGTCCTAGGGTGTCAGTTGAGTAGTGTGAATTCACATTGGTTCTGGGTGGACACAGTAGTTGGGTCTACACACAGTTTCATCAGCTGTAATCCATGTAGTAATATCTGTGAGTGCTTCAATAGCCTAGGCTGCAGGAGTTTAGGGCAGTAGTGGTGCACCTTTGCCAGAGAAAGGGCCACCAGGCTGGTTCTTAAGCTGGAGGTACATGCACAACTGTGCAGGACCTGTTCCTTGCAGGGAAGGGTGCCATGTGGACTTGGATGCAAGAGTCACCACCATTTCACCAGGCCTAGGGTCTAAATAGCTAGGGTTGTGGTGCTGCAGTCATCTGTGGGATGGAAAGATCAGTGGTTACTGTCCCCTAGAGTACAGCACACTCTAGCAGTGGCTCCAGTTTCAAGGTGGCACTGTGCCATAACAGCCTGGGTCATGGGAGGTGGGCAGTGCACAATGTGAGCTCCTACTGTGAAGCAATGCAGCTGTGGGAACTCCAGGCAGCTCCCCCAAACTGGGCTCAGGGCCTGTGAGGACTGCCGCGTTCTCCTGTAGCAAGGACTACATGTGTCTGCAGTGGTAATAGGGGCTACTAGGGGCTCCCTGCTTACCTTACAGGGGAGATGGAGTAGTAGAGGCAGAGTACTTCGCCCTCCTCCCTATGCTGCCATCTTGAGTTACTGTGTGCCACAGGCATTCTGCTATTCCCTTGCTATATTCCAGTGCTCTCCCTCAGACACTCTAGTCTAATTGTAGTTGTTTATTTGTTGTTTTGGTCTTTTTGTGTATGAAGAGGCAAGTGTCAAGTACCTCTAGTTAGCCTCTTACTGATAACCAGGAAATGTTTTGAATGGAAAATAGAATGGATTCCTTCTGGTGTTTATTTTTTATTTTCAATTTATTTATTTATTTTTTTTTTTTTGAGACAGAGTCTCACTCTGTTGCCCAGGCTGGAGTGCAGTGGCGCGATCTTGGCTCACTGCAAGCTTCACCTCCTGGGTTCAAGCAATTCTCCTTCCTCAGCCTCTAAAGTAGCTGGGACTACAGGCACACATCACCAAGCCCAGCTAAGTTTGTATTTTTAGTAGAGATGGGATTTCACCACATTGGCCAGGTTGGTCTCGAACTTTTAACCTAAAGTGATCTGCCTGCCTTGGCCTCCCAAAGTGCTAGGATTACAGGCATGAGCCAATGCGCCTGGCCTTATTTTCAAATTTCTAAAGCAAGATATTTGAATTTTTATTTTTAGTGTTGACTGATGTAAAATAAGGGTAGGGTTTTGTATATTTCTGTGTGATTTGCTGATGGGTCACCTATAGCATTCCATGACACTGAGGTAGAAATAACAACAGACCAGTTCAAGTAAGTCTACTCTTCCTATGTGACCTTCAAAAAATAATTTTACCTCGGTCAGCCTCAGTCCTCTCACTCGCAAAAGAGAAATAGCTGCACCTCACCTGCCCAGAGACAGTGTGAAGGTCAGGTAAGATAATGAACATAAAAGCATTCTGAACTTTGAAGGAGCTTGCAGATATTATATTGTTTCTATGACTTCAGAAATTATTAAATACTTACCAAATTAGATCATGAATGTGATATGGCCTTAAAAGGTAGTATAAATGGAAGATATTTGATATACAAAATCTGTTGTCAATTAAAGAAATACTTAAGTTTTCCACAAAGGGTATTAAGAGACCATCAGTTTTAGAGTACACATTGGAATATTGTAACTTAAAACAAGCACATATTGTATTGGATAAAATAATTTTATTTTATGACTTACATGATTGCTGCATGTCTTGTACCGAATGTTCTGCCCTTCACAATTCCTAAAGGAAAAAAGAAAGAAGAAAGAAGAAATAATGATTTCATAGAAGAGGCAAGCATTAAAAAAAAAAAAAAAAAGCAAATACAAGGCATTGGTTCCCTGTAAAACTTTTACTAGTGCACATTACCCCAAAGATTCAAAGTTTAATTCTAAGAAACTAATTTTCAAGGATCGGGAGCCAAAAAGTCTTGTGGAAGTGTCACATTAAATAAAGAATGAATTCTTTAGTTAATAGTAGTACTCACATGCAATTCTTACCCAAGGGTCCATATAACCACTACAATTAATGTACAATATGTGTGTGTCTCATGTGTGCATATGTGTATTCTTTTCTATAATGAAAAGGGAAATGCTACATGTAGAAGAATTTGTGTAGCACGTCTCCACTAGGACATTTCTCTTCCCTTACTGAAGCAACTCAAGTTAGCAGGGCACTCACTGTCTTCCTTTAATTAGTACAACAGTCTTTGTTAGAAATTTGCTTGAAGTAATGCTTCCTTTTTTTTTTGAGACAGAGTCTCACTCTGTCGCCCAGGCTGGAGTGCAATGGCTTGATCTCGGCTCACTGCAATCTCCATCTCCCAGGTTCAAGCAATTCTCCAGCCTCAGCCTCCAGAGTAGCTAGGATTGCAGGCGCACACCCCCGTGCCTGGCTAATTTTTGTATTTTTATTAGAGACGGGGTTACACCATGTTGGCTAGGCTGGTTTCACACTCCTGGCCTCAAGCAGTCCACCTGCCCCAGCCTCCCAAAGTGCTGGGATTACAGGCGTGAGCTACTGCAGCCGGTCTATTTTGTTTCAACCACTGACCTTACCAAATGGGATTCTACCAAGTCATGTTGGAACAGTATTTTTGGGATGCTAATACTGGTAAGTTTGAGAATTTTCCAGGGATGACCACCACATAACCTATCTTCCTCTACAGCCACTAGCTCTGCGACCCTGCCACTCATTTTCCAGGCAGAGTTTTCCTTTGGGAGACTGGAATTCCATCCAACGGGTACTCTCCTCAGTCCAGTGCTTGTCTGTCTATATTTTACATAAACTCCTTAAAAATATCTGATCTCTTCATGGCACTTTTCCTAATTTTTCAATGGAGTTACATATTTTTTCCCTTTATGTTTTCCTGGTGAATTCAATGGCAAATTTGGAGCCAGGAAAGCTAAACACAGGCTTAAATAATCATTTTGAATTAAAAGTCAACAGATACTATTTCAATTGTTATTAAAATATTTATTTCTATGGGAATAAAAATAATTTTAAAGTGGATAGGAGGTCATTTTTTTGCCAGTATGATTTAAATATGAGCCTATATGAAATGACTGATAGAGTCAGCAATGTAAAACTCATTGCATATGCTTTCTGATGCTTCCATTTTTCTTGATTACAAAAGGAGTAAGTGGAAACCAGTAATGTGCCAAGAAGTATAGAGGTAGTCACTCAAAATCCTATCACCAATAACTTTATTCTTTTGTCATTTAATCCTCCACTGTTTCTGCCATTTATAGGATTGAAAATCATACTGTTAATTCATCCTAATCTAATATGATAAGCATTTTCTCATTTCAATGATAATTCTTTGGAAAAATTATTTTAATGATTACATCATAGTCCATTATACAAGCATTATTTTGGTAGCTTTAAATTTAAAATTTTAAAAATTGTGACAAAATACACATAACATAAAATTTACCATCCTAACCACTTTTTAGTGTGTGGTTCAGTGTTTAAGTATGTTCACATTGCTATGCCGATATTACCTTTCCTGATTATGTTGCTTCTCCTTTTCCCTACTTAAAAACTGACATATATTAAAATTCTATTTGGGATGTATACAATTTTAAGAGTTTTGACAAACCCATACAATTGTGCAACCACTACCACAACCAATATTTGGAACAGTTCCATCACCCCAAAAATGCTCTCAGGTTGCCCCTGTATAGTCAACCTCTTCCCCCACCCTCAGCTCCTGGCAACCACTGGTTGGTTTTGTCCCTACAATTTGCCATTTCCAAAATGTTATATAAATGGAATCCCAGCATATGTAGCTTTTTGAGACTGACTCTTTTTAGCATAATATACTTGAAAATCATTCTTGTGGTTGCAGGTATCTATAGTTTGCACCTTTTTAATTGCCGGCTGGCATTCTATTGCACATATGTACAACTGTTTGTTTATTCATTCACCAGCTAGATATTTGTTTTTAGTTTTGGGTAAGTATGAAAAAATGCTATAAACATTCACATGCAGGTTTTATGGTAACAAAGTTTTTCATTTCTCTTGGGTAAATACCTAGAAGTGGGATTTCTGAGTCCATTATTTTTATATAATATAAAAATTATTCGGTAAACATCTTTAGGTTTTCATTTTTGTCCATACTTACAATACATATTTAGAAGTATTTTAAAACAAATCCCAGTCCTTTCATAATATGAATTTTTCACGTATGAGTTTTTAACTCTTGGCTGGTTAAGTATTATTTAATTAGTTGGATGCATGGCTGGCTTATGATTAAATCTTTGCATTTCATACAGGAAAGGCAATGCTGCATGATATGATGTTACTTCTTTTTCCTCAAAGCTGTAAACACACTTCATTGACCCTTGATATTGAGACTTGCAGAGGAGAAATCTGATTATTCCTTTGCTTGTGTGTTTTATGTTTCTTCCTGAAAGCTTATAGTACTTTTGTTTTGTTGTGTTAGTACTTGATATAAAAGTTAAGTTATAATCAGGATGTATCCAGTCGTGTGTTTCATCAGTCTTTACTGAAAATGGTGAGCCTTTTTGAATGGAATACTCAAGGTCTTTATTTACAATGCTGCTGATTATTTTCAGATTATGATTTTGATTACTGCTCTTGTGCCATAAATGCCTATAATTCTGAGGCTGGAGCTCCCTCTCTCTGCATCTATTAGTTCTTCATTGGTCCATCTATGATTTCCTCATACATACATATATATATATATATATATATATATATATATATATATATATATTTATATTTATATATTTATATATATAAAATTTCATTGACCTTTTCTTGTGCTTATGAGAAATATTCTACAGATATTCCTCCACACTACAGATTTTAGTTTTCTGTAGTGGTTATTTTGCATTTTATTGTGTCCAGTACATTTTTAATATTAACTTCCACTCTTTTTCCTTTGCAGTTTTTCTCAAACTCTCCCTCCTCCATTTCCATTTCATGCCATCTTCACCTTAAACTTTCTGTTCCAACTGCAACTTGTACCCCTTGTCTCCTCACAGCTTGTGTTTTTGAGGTGGTACAATCCCTAATTAGATTTAGAAGGCTTTGGGAGAAGGACATTTTGGAGTGAAAAGAACAGCATTATAGCTGCCTCCAAAAGCGTTACCTAATTTGTAGTTAAATCGTATTTAGGTAGATGCGCTTTCTTGATTTGTGGTTCAGAACATCTTCCCAGATTATCACAATGGGTTGGCCATGTCTTAATATTTTGTAACACTGCATATTTCTGTTTTTAAAATTTTGTTATAGGTATTTGATTCTTAAATTTATTAAAATCTTGCTAAGAGTACGTCAAATTTTAAACATTCAAGCAGCACCAAACTGGGAGGATGGTAGAAAAAAATGTACTGGTGTGGAGAAGTCTTTCTCTTGGTCAAGGGGAAATGACTCCATTCTACTGGGAAACAACAGCTATGCCTATTGAAAAGGTCATTCACTTACATGGCCTACTTCATTTTGCTTTTTACGTATGAACAAAAGAAGAAAATAAATAATAGGAAAAGTGAAGAAGTAATTGAAATTACTCTCTTATTTTGGAAAAGCCCCAGTTGAGGGAAGTTGCTAACAGATTAGGGAAGTGATAACCAAAAAGCTTTTTGTACCATGCTGACTTGCAGCTGTAAAAAGCTTTTGATGCTAATTTCAAGGGAACAAGCAAATTAGAGAGTCACAGGTTAAAAAAAATATTTGAATTGATGGCAATACTGGAATACAAAACTTGTTGAAACTTAATAAAAATGGCATTTTCTTTAAACATTTTCAGAAATAATTTTTCAGATGCATTTTTAGTAGTTGCTTAATTTTAGCTATTTATATTAAAAACTGTTCTTGTAAAAAGAAACTTAAAACTAAAAGGTAAGAAAAGAATATATCAAAGGTATCTTATGGCTGTGTCTCAGGCCTTCAGTGTAGACCATGTGTAGAGCAATGGTCTACACTCCATTGCCACCTGCTGTGTCCTAATTGTAAGCTGAGTTTCCAGGAGTCACTGATTTGCATCTTGAGTGTTGAGCCTGAAAATATAAACCTAAAAAGTATGTACAACTCTCCTACAAATCCCACTACAATTGCAGCATGGTGATATGAAAAAGAGAGCATTTTATGTCACGAATTTTCAAAACATAATGCACCATTTTGGACTCATTCTTCCTTCAACAATGTCTTATGGTGAACCTACTATGTACCAGGATATGGATATAAAGATTCAGGGAGATTACTTCTCAGTTTCCTTTATAAGTCAGTAGCAACGTTTTTATTTTTAAACCCAACCACCTGGCGACCATTTTTAACATTCTATTTTACTTTGTCCAACCTAATACACAGTAAATCCAGTGACTGGCCTCTATTGATGTGGCTTGCTTTGGTTACAATTTAGTATGAAAATGAAAGACTACTTTATGAAACAGACATAAAATGAAATGCAAGTTATTTTAAAGTTAAGGACATTGGAATCCTAATTCCCCAAGCAGGAACCTGCCAGCTTATTCTGGAATAATTCCTTTGGGCCAAAGCAACTAAGCTGCAGAAATATTACTTACAAGTTTTTAATTTCAGTGTAATTAGTATATGCAAGAGCTAATGGTTATCAGGAGTATTTGAAAATTCAAGAACATCATTTCACAATTATGTATTTTCTATCCATTACAACATTCGTAACACCCTGTATTGAAGAGTTTTGAAGTCATAAATTTATGAATATATAAAAAACATATGTTGATTCCACATGAGGATATATTAAAAACATTAATAAAATTTCCCTGGAGTTCATAGCACTATAATTTATTATATTCATTTGATGATATATTGACTCAAATAATGGTGTCATAAAGCCTGAGAAGTATGTGTTTTGAAGAATAAAAATATATTAATTTTTAAAATAGTAGTTAACTTAAACCTGTGTTTCCCATGATTGGCACTTAACTAGAATATCAAGTTACACACTTCTGCAAGAGAAAGGGACATTCTGGCTGGCATATGGTTTGCAGTGCAAAAGAACTGACTATTTAAAGTAATCAAATTCTGAAATAACTTTATCCACAAGAAATATATGAGGAAAATAGCTACATTTGCTATTTTCCTAAATCATGAATGCCCTAAATCATGAATTTGAAGGAGTACACTGATAAAAAGGGAAGGCACTGAAATGCTTTCTAAAGCTTTGGGATGGCTTTCAGTTTGGTTTTATATGTAATCACCTCCATATTCCTCTTCCAAGAAAAACTGACCACAAGCATTCAATATTTATGAAGACTTAATAAGTCTCTAAGGCAGTTCAAGGATAAAGAGACCTGATAAGCATTCCAAGGGAAGTAGGTTTCCTTCTTAAAAATCTCAGAGTACTTCCAAAATGACAGTGAAAGTTCTTAATATGGGAATGGGTGAGGAATGATTAAGGTTTACAGCTGCCTAAAATGTGGGGAGCAGGAATGAGTGAATTATTAAAGAACCTGCTACCATGCTTCCGAAATAATCTTATTAAAGAACCTGCTACCATGCTTTTGAATTAATCTAATTTCATTATAGCCAAAAAGTGGTGTTATTGTCCTTTTTTTTTGTTTTTTTTTTTTTTTTTTGAGACGGAGTCCCACTCTGTCGCTCAGGCTGGAGTGCAATGGCGCGATCTCAGCTCCCTGCAACCTCTGCCTCCCAGTTTCAAGCGATTCCCCTGCCTCAGCCTCCTGAGTAGCTGGGATTACAGGCATGCACTGACCACGCCTGGCTAATTTTTGTATTTTTAGTAGAGACGGGGTTTCACCATGTTGGTCAGGCTGGTCTTGAACTCCTGACCTCGTGATCCGCCCGCCTCGGCCTCCCAAAGTGCTGGGATTACAGGCGTGAGCCACCACACCCAGCCTGTCCCTGTTTCTTAGACATGGAAAAAGTGGGTGTGCCACAGGCCTGACCCCATGCCAGGAACCAAGCTGGGAGAGCACATGCAATGACATGCACTTGTCTTACTTCTGAAACACCACAGAAACTATTATTCTCTCAATTTATGCACATATATGCACAAATACATATATACACATTTGATTTAGGATGTTTTCTACCCTCAGATACCTGTTTAAATTAGATGAGCTCAGGGAGCAGGCAAATTTGGAGATTCTCAGGCCTACAAGCAAATTTCAGAATGTAGGCTAAGGTTTGTGTAGAAATAGACTAAAGAATGCTATATTAGTCCTAAGAAATGAAAAAGTTAAGCAAATACTACATCAGAAATAGGAGAGGTAACTGAGTACATGGAATCATATTGTGCCAAAAACCTTCTGCAGTTTTTTTTTCTCTGAAAACTGTTTTTGAGAATATCCACGTTAACAGATGTAACTCTAATTCATTCACTTTTAGAGATCTGTAGGAATCCCATTTATAAATATACCAAAATTTATTGATCAATTCTCTTTATTCTTCATTGATCAATTTTCCTAAATGTTGATGAAAATTGTTCCAAATCTTCATTTGGCAGTTGGTTTCAAATTTTAAACTGCACCCACAGTTCTGCAATGAGCAATCTTAAACCACCATGTTAGGCATATTTACGCATTTCTCTGGGATATATACCTGAGCGGGGTTGTTCTCTTCTGGGTGTTTACAGCATCACTATTACCAGATATTGACAAATTGCTCTCTAACATGGACATACCAGTTTTCACCCTCATTACCAGTGCAGGAAGGTTCTTATTTTTATACATCTAGGTCAATATTTGACATTTTAAAACTTTTTTTTCCCAATATGAAGAATGTGAAATATGTCATTTCATATTCTTTTTTTCTTTTTGGGGTAGACAGAGTTTTGCTCTCTCACATAGGCTGGAGTGCAGTGGTGCAATCTTGGCTCACTGCAACCTCCGCCTCCTGGGCTCAAGCGATTCTTGTGTCTCAGCCTTCCGAGTAGCTGGGATTACAGGCATGTGCTACCACACCAGGCTAATTTTTGTATTTTTAGAAATGGGGTTTCGTCTTGCTGGTCTCAAACTCCTGACCGCAAGTGATCCGCGCATCGTGGCCTCCCAAAGTGCTGGGATTACAGGTGTAAGCCACCACACCCAGCCTCATTTCATATGCTTTTTCAGTTTTTTGTCAGTGAAATTATAATTCTCATTTGTTTTTTACTATGCAGATTCACCTTCTATGAATTTCCTGTTCATATTCTTTGCCCACTTTTCTACTAGCCTCTTTTTGCTTCTATTTTATTGGTAAGTAAAAGTTACTTAATATTTCAAATACTAGTCCTTTATTGGTTATATTCATTGTCAAGATTTTATTCCACTCTATGGCTTTTCTTTAGGTTTATATTTTTGTGATACAGATGTGTATTTTTTATTGTGCTTGAATTTATCCGTATTTTCCTTTGTAACTCAAACTTTTTGTATCTTAGTTAGCGAATATTTCACTCTCTAGAAATCACAAAGATATTCTTCTATATTTCTTTCTAAATGTTTCCAGACATTGTTTTTTACAAGTAGAGATTAATGCACTTGGAATTTATTCTTTACATGAATTGATATGTTCTAATGTTTTCCTCTGACTATCGATAATCATATCTGAGCACCATGTATTGACTATCCCTCTTTCCTGCACTGATTTACAGGGCCACTTTCAATATATACCAAACTTCCACATACGCATATATCTGTTTCTGGGCTCTCAATTTTGCCACACTTGCTACTCCCGCCTATGCCACTAGTATAGTTAAAAGAAACATTTTAATTGTCCAGGCAAGTCCCCTATTTTGTTCTTTTTCAAAATTATTTTCATTTCTTTGCACTCCTATATGATACTTAGAATTGAAATTATGCTTATAGATTAACATAGGGGAAAATTGGTATGTTTATGATGTTGAGATTTCCTATATATGAACATATTATAGCTCTCCTTTTATTTAGGTAAGCATCTAAATCTTCCATAAAGGTCTTACACATTTTTTATTGAACTTATTACAACATACCATATATTTTACTAGTACTGCCTTTTGAAATTTTGCTTTCTATTTAGTTTTTGGTACTGTGTAAGAGCACAGTCATTTGTGCATTAATTTGCTTCCAGCAATCTTTACTGAATTATTTTATTAGTTTTATTATTTTATGTACAAGTACTCTTGGATTTTTCTATCTGCACAATTTAGTAGTCTCTGAATAATGAGAGTTATCCTTCTATTTCATTTTTTTTCTAGCCTTACTACACTGACTAGGACCTCAAATACAATAATGAATACAAGCAATGACAGTGGGCATTCTTATCTCACACCTAATGTTAAGGTGAATGTGGTAACATTTTTACTATCAAGATTATCTACTGTACATTGAGAGTATACCTTTATTCCTAGTTTGCTAATATTTTTCAATTGAGAGTAAGTATTCATTTTATTAACTGCTACTTTTGCATCAATATAGATAACTGTATGGCTTTTCTCTCTTATATCATCAATGTTGTGCCTGCTGGTGCTTACTCCTCGCAAGTATTTCCTTGTGTGTTACATATTTTAGGATTGCAAGTTTGTCATTAGCAGGGCTCTATCGACAGGAATCCTATGCAGCCGGTTGGTGGCCTGACTCTCAAATCTTTCATTGCTGCCATACCTTAAGGATATCACAGGCTACAAGATCAATTTTCATATTAATTTCCCACGTAAATGTTTCCACAATCATATAGGATATATGTATTCAATGTAATATATATAATATGTATAGGCCAATATACATGCACTTCCAAATTTTGAGAGAACAGGTCCACTGTTCCAACGTGGAATTTTTTTTTCATATGGAATTAAGACTAAGATACTTAAATTCCCTATGCTGGTGTGTGGACATTTTCCCCCTAGTCCTTCTGTTAAGTGTCTGGACCTCAAGGGTCTTGCCTTTATCTTAGGGTTGCAGTTCCCATGGTGTGAACTCGCATACACTCAAGACTTGATCTGTGATTATGAAGGAATTAAAACTCAACAGCCTGAGTTTTTGAGATGATCAAATCCCATCTCCATCACTAGGGCAGGCACAGAATCAGTTATGCACTTACTAGTCTGGCATTCAGTTTACTCTTTGCTTTTTGGCCCCATGGATTTCCCTTAATTTCTTGTAGGTTCAACTTTAGTTCTGTTGTTGTTGTTGTTGTTGTTGTTGCTGCTGCTGTTGTTGTTGTTGTTGTTGTTTTAAATGTGTGTCCTATTTTGCCTGGCATTTCTAGTTTTTTAAAATTAAATTAAATCTTCTATTTAAAATAAATGTAGATCGGCTGGGCACGGTGGTTCACACCTGTAATCCCAGCACTTTGGGAGGACAAGGCAGGTGGATCACTTGAGGTCAGGAGTTCGAGACCAGCCTGGCCAGCATGGTGACACGCTGTCTCCACTAAAAATACAAAAAATTAGCCGGGCATGGTGGCGTGCACCTGTAATCCCAGCTACTTGGGAGGCTGAGGTGGGAGAATTGCTTGAATACAGGAGGCAGAGGTTGCAGTGAGCCGAGATTGTGCCGCTGTACTCAAGCCTGGACAACGGAGTGAGACTCCATCTCAAATAATAATAATAATAATTGTAAATCACATGCATTTGTAGGAAAATAATAAAAAGAGACCCCATGGATCCCTCAAAGGTATCATCTTGCAAAACTCTGCTACAAGAATACAACTAGGAGACTGATATTAATACAGGTAATGTACAGAACATTTCTATCATCACAAGAATCCTGCAAGTTGCCTTTTATAGCTGCATCTCCTCCCCCCCACCCTATCCTCTTCCTTAACACCTAGCAACTACTGTTCTCCATTTCTATAATTTCTGTCATTTCAAGAATATTACATAAGTGAAATACAGTATGTAAGCTTTAGAGATTGGATTTTTATAACTTCATTGTAATTTTCTGGAGATTCATCCAGATTGTTGTGTTTATCAATGGTTCATTTCCATTTACGGCTGTGTAGCACTCCCTGGTATGGATGTAACACCATTTGTTTAATGATTCACCCACTAAAGGGCATTGGGATTGTTTCCACCTTTTGGCCACTGTGAGTAAAACTGGCATAAACATTCATGTACAGGTTTTATTGTGAACCTAAGTCTTCATTTATCTGAGAAAAATGCCCAGGAGTGCAATTGCTGAGTTGTATGGTAGTTGCATGTTTATTTTTTTAAAAGAAACTGCCTATTTTCCAGAATGGCTGTATCATTTTACATTCTCAGAACCAATGTATGAGTAACACTCTTCCTCTGCATCCTTGCCAGTATTTCTTGTTGTGAACCTTTTGAAAGCTATTCTGATAGGTAGGTAATGATATCTTATTGCAGTTTTAATTTGCATTTCCTTAATAGCCAGTAGTGTTGAACATACTTTTGTGTGCTTATTTGCCATCTATGTATTCTCTTGGGTAAAATATCCATTCGTGTCCTTTGTTCATTTTCTAATTAGAATGTTTGATTTTTAATTGTTGATATTTGAGAGTTCTTAATAGAGATACTAGTCCTTTGTTAGGTGATTTTCAAATATTTTCTCCCGTTGATCTCATTTGTTTATTCCTCTGCCAATACCACTGCTCTCATTACTGCAGCCATATAGTAAATCTTGATATTAAGTAAGCTGATTCCTCCCACTCTATTCTTTTAAAATATCTTTTAAAAATCAACAGATACATACCCATAATCCCAGCACTTTGGGAGGCTGAGGCAGGCAGATCACTTGAGGTCAGGAATTCAAGACTAGCCTCTCCAACATGGTGAAACCCCATCTCTACCAAAAGTACAAAAATTAGCCAGGCATAGTGGCGCATGCCTGTAATCCCAGCTACTCGGGAGGTAGAGGAAGGAGAATCGCTTGAACCTGGGAGGCGGAGGCTGCAGTGAGCAGAGATCGCACCACTGCACTCCAGCCTGGGCAACAAAGCGAGACTTCATCTCAAACAACAACAACAACAACAACAACAACAACAACACACCAACAGATAAAATTGTATGTATTTATCGTGTACAATATGTGATGTTTTCAAGTATCTATACACTGTGGAATGACTAAATCAAACTAACATATCCATTATCTCACAGTTATTTTTGTGGTGATAATACTTAACATCCGGTCTCAGCAATTTTCAATAATACAATATATTAACTACAATGACACTGTTGCACAATAGTTCTGTTAAACTTATTCCTCTTACCTAACTGAAATTTTGTATCCTTCCACCAACATGTCCTCAACTCCCCTCCTCAACCATCTTAACCCCTAGCAACTGCCTTTTTACTCTCTTTTTCTACGAGATCAACTTTTTTAGCGTCTACATATGAGTGAGATTATGTGGTATTTGCCTTCCTGTGCCTGACTTACGTCACTTAAATACTGTCTTCCATGTTCATCCACATTGTCACAAATAATAGGATTTCCTTCATTTTTCATGGCTGAATAGTATTATATTGTGTATATATACCATTTTCTTTAACCATTCATTCACTGATAGACACTTAGTTGTTTCCACACCTTGGCTATTTTGAAAACACTGCAACAAACATGGAAGTGCAGATATCTCTTTGATATCTTGATTTCATTTCCTTTGGATATATATCCAATAGTGAGACTGCTGGATCATATGATTTTTTTTTTTTTTTTGAGACAGAGTCTCACTCTGTTGCCCAGGCTGGTGTGCATGGTGTGCAGTGGCACAATCTCGACTCACTGCAACCTCTGTCTCCCAGGTTCAAGCGATTCTCCTGCCTCAGCCTCCTGAGTAGCTGGGATTACAGGCATGTGCCACCATGCCTGGCTAATTTTGTATCTTTAGTAGAGACAGGGTTTTGCCATGTTGGCCAGGCTGGTCTCTAACTCCTGACCTCAGTTGCTCCACCCGCCTCAGCCTCCCAAAGTGCTGGGATTACAGGCATAAGCCCAACTGATATCTCTAGTTTTAATATCTTGAGGAACGCTTATACTGTTTTTCATAGTAGCTGTACCAATTTACATTCTCGCCAACAGGGTGCAAGGGTTCCCTTTTCTCTGCATCCTTGCCAATACTTGTTGTCTTTTGTTTTTTTAATAGCCATCCTAACAGGTGTGAGATGATACCTCATTGTGGTTTAGGTTGCATTTCCCTGATAATTACTGATGTTGAGCATTTGTTCATATATCTTTTGGCTTACATCACTTAAATACTGTCTTCCATGTTCATCCTATGTATATCTTTTAAGAAATGTCTATTTGGGTCCTTTGCCCATTTTTTAATCAGGTTATTTTTTTCTTGCTACTGAGTTTGTCATATATTTTGGATATTAACCCCATGGCAGATGCATAGCTTGCAAATACTTTCTCCCATTCTGTAGGTTATCTCTTCTCTCTGTTGATTGTTTCCTTTGTTGTACAGAAGCATTTTGGTTTGATGTAATCCCATTTGTCCATATTTTTCTGGCTTTTGGGGTCATGTGTAAAATAATCATTTCCCAGACAAATGTCATAGAGCTTTTCTTCTGTTTCTTCCGGATGCTAAATTTCTTACATTTTAATTTTTAATCTATTTTTAGTTGATTTTTCTTTTTCTTTTTTTTTTTTGAGACAGAGTCTCACTCTGTCGCCCAGGCTGGAGTGCAGTGGCGCATCTCAGCTCATAGTAAGCTCAGCCTCCTGGGTTCACGCCATTCTCCTGCCTCAGCCTCCCGAGTAGCTGGGACTACAGGCGCCCGCTACCATGCCCGGCAATTTTTTTGTATTCTTTTAGCAGAGATGGGGTTTCACCATGTTAGCCAGGATGGTCTCGATCTCCTGACCTCGTGATCTGCCCGCCTCGGCCTCCCAAAGTGTTGGGATTACAGGCGTGAGCCACTGCGCCTGGCGTTAGTTGATTTTTCTATATGGTATGAAATAATTTCATTCTTCTTCATGTGGATATCTAGTTTTCCCAACACCATTTATTGAAGAGACAATTGTCTTTTCCCTGTGTTCTTGAC
Organism: Homo sapiens; assembly: GCF_000001405.40. NCBI lineage: Eukaryota > Metazoa > Chordata > Mammalia > Primates > Hominidae > Homo > Homo sapiens. Next base: position 83,791,463 of record NC_000015.10, on the reverse strand, counting down.
ACCTTTGTAAAAAATCAGTTGGCTGTAAATGTGTGGACTTATTTCAGAGCTCTGTATACTGTTCCATCGGACAACCTGTCTGTTTTTATGCCATTGCCATTGTGTTTTGCTTACTACAGCTTTGTAGCACATTTTGAAGTCAGGTAGTATAACGCCTCCGGATTTGTTCTTTTTGATCAAGATTGCTTAATTTATTTGAGGTCTTTTATGGTTCCATACAAATTTTAAGATTGTTTTTTTCTATTTCTGTGAAGAATGTGACAGATTTTGACAGAGATTACACTGAATCTGTAGATCACTTTGGGTAGTATCAACATTTTAATATTATTTTTTCCAATCTATGAATGTGGAATATTGTTCCATTTATTTGTGTCTTCTTCCATTTCTTTCATCGGTGTTTTACAGTTTTCATTGTAGAGATCTTTCACCTCCTTGGCTAAATGTATTCCTAGGTATTTTATTAGGGTTCCTCTTTCATTAGCACATTGCAGTATTAGGCGTACAAGTCCTATACATGTTCTGTTAGATTTACACCTTAGCATTTAACTTTTCTGAATGATTATTAATGGCACTGTATTTTTAAATTTTGTTATCTATGTGCTCATCACTAGTAAGAGAAATACAATTGATTTCTGTATTTTTATTTTGTATCCAGGACCTTGCCAGACTCACTTGTTAGTTTTAGAAGTTACCTTGTAGATTTCTTGGGATTTTCTACGTAGACAAAAATGTCATCTGCAAATAAAGACAGTTGTATTTTTCTTCTCCTATGGTAAGAGTGGTGAGACAGACAACCCTACCTTATTCTATACCTTAGGGGGAAAGTGTTCAGTCTTTCACCATCAATTATAATATACAATATTAGTTAAAGGTTCTTAAATTTTTTATCAAGCTGATATCTGTTTCTATTTTTCTGAGAGTTCTTCATGAATTGGTGACTTTGTCAAATATTTTTTCTGTATCAATTGATAAGATCCTATACATTTTTTCTTCCTTAGTCTATTAATTAGCTAGATTACATTGATTGACTTTCAAATACTGAAACAGCCTTACATTCCTCTAATAAACCCCATTTGGTTATGGTCTATAATTCCTTTTATATCTTTCTTAATACTTTTGACAGGATTGTATTAATAATTTTTACTTCTATATTCATGAGATATATTGGTTTGTTGTTTTCTTCTTTATATAGTCTTTGTATGGTTTGGTATCAAAGTCATACTAGATCCATAAAATGAATTGGAAAGTATTCCTTCTCTTCTGTTTTCTGGAAGAAATTATATGGAATTGTTGTAAATTCTCCTTTAAATGCTTGGTAGAATTTGCCAGTGAAACCATCTAGGCCTTAAGATTGAGGAGAGAGAGTTTTTATACTATAAATTCAATTTTCTGTAATAATTATGGTGTTATTTAAATTACTTATTTCATATTAAGGATATCTTTTGATTTCTCAGCCCCAGAAAAAGGTAAATCCTAAGATGGCAGTGGGGAATTCCTAGAAGCAACTCAATTAGCTCTGCAGAACTCACAAAAGACTTCAGAAGTGGTAAATCAGATACTTTTGAAAGCAGGATAAAGTTGGGGTCAAAACAGTATGACTGATTGAAAGTCTGTTTAAAAAGAGATTAAATTTCCAGCTGACCTCCCTTACTTTGGCATGACTGTATGTTATTATCTAAAGAGGGTAAAACAGTAATTTTCTGGACCAAGAGATAACTGGGTACAACTAAGGGCAAGAGTACTATACTGAAAACAGGGATTAAATACAAATTAATGTATTTAATGCTGAGATCCCAGCTTTCTGCCTCACTTGGTTCCTAAAATATTGGACTCAGAAGGGCCTTCACTGGGAAATCAAAGCATTTCAAAATAGAACACCTAAAGACATCATCAGGCAATGAGATGTACTGGCCACATCTCCCTCCAGTTAAGCTCATAGCTCCTTTCCTTAAACTTGAATAAACAAACAAGGATCACCAGAAATCTCAGAAAGACCTCTAACCTTAAATACAGTGACAAAAAAAAAATTTAAAAGAAAACAGCAATTTGGGAGGAACTGAGACTATGCAAGGTGAAAAAAATTTTCCTCCCAAATGTCTATTCATACTCTCAGAGATGAAACAGAAGATACTGCATCTGGGAATCAGGGACAGAATTCTATTCCTAAAAATTCAAGGAACAAAAAATAACTCAGGAAAAAATATATGTATAGAAAGAGATAAAATACTTAGTAAAGAGAGTGAAAAAATAAATTTAGATAAATCTCCTGGAAGGCAGGGCAAATGAACAAAGAGAAAACTGGAAGATCTAATATCTGAATAATGGGAGTTTCAACAAGAAAACAGAGGAACACGGCTGGGTGTGGTGGCTCATGCCTGTAATCCCAACACTTTGGGAGGCTGAGGCTGGCAGATCACCTGAGGTCAGGAGTTTGAGACCAACCTGGCCAACATGGTGAAACCCCATCTCTACTAAAAAATACAAAAATTAGCCAGGCATGGTGGCACGTGCCTGTAGTCACAGCTACTTGGCTGGCTGAGGCAGGAGAGTTGCTTCAACCCAGGAGGCGGAGGCTGCAGTGAGCCAAGATCAAGCCACTGCACTCCAGCGTGGGTGACAAGAGCAAGACTCTGTCTCAAAAAAACAAAAAGAAAAAAAGAAAAGAAAATAGAGGAAAATGAATAGAAGAAATCATCAAGGAAATATTTCAGGACTGAAGAGAATGAGTTTTTATAGTGAAGGACTCTCTGAGTGTCCAATACAACAAATGAACATAGACCCACACCAAGGCATAACGTTAGGAAATTTCAGAACACTGGGGGAAAATGTATGTTTCTACATGCATCCAGAGAGGAGGAAAAAAGAGCAGGCAATCCAGATGCCTTTAGATTTCTCAGTAACATTACTTGATGTTAGAATATGGAGCAAAGCCTTCAAATTTCTGAGGGAAAATCATTTCTACATAACTATATATATGGAAAAATCATCATTCAAGTTTGAGAAGAAAATAAAGATCTTTTCAGATAAGCAGGAAGCTTCTGGAGAATGTATCCATAAAAATGAGGAGGAAAAAGGAAGGTGATTAGGAAACAGGAGATCTAACACAGGAAAGAAGTAAATGACCCTCCCAGGATGACAGAAAAATGAGATTCCAAGATGCCTCCTGAATTTCTTGTTAGACAGCAAGTAGCTCAGCTAAAGGTTAAGAATTCTCCAGAAGAAGGGTCTAAAAGAAAATTAAAGTGAATGAAAATTAGAAAAGTGAATGAAATTAGTGAAGTGAAAATTAGAATGATGACATTTTTCTGAATTAGTGATAAGCATGTAAAAACTAAGAAAACAAGCAAATAAAAAAGCAAGGTAATTATTGACTCTAGTGGAAAAAAAACTCAGGAAAGGGAAAATAATTGCTGTATATTACATGACATAGCTGTGAATAGTATAGAGGCATAATTTAATAACATGTCTTTATAATAATAATATACCTTCATAATAGTTTAATGAAGGCATTAATAATAATATGCCTTCATAATAATTTAAAAACTGCATATTGGCCCAGTCAAAGTTATATAAAACTCTGGGGTATGGGACTGGAAGACAGACTGGAGGGAGAGGTTGAGAAAGGAGAAAGAGGAGGGGGAGGGGGAGAGAGAAAGGAAGAGAAAGGAGCAGGAGGTGTGAAAAATTGTTAAATCTTCATCTATAGTATGACTCTAATGCGTAGTGCCTACAACTGAAAGATCAAGAAGCAGCAATATAAACATGTTATTTAGAAATGTGGATAAAACACCAAGAGAATCAGATAGAATTGTTAACAGTAGTTGCCCCTGGTGGGTGAGGAAATGGGAGGAAGGGAATCAAGAGGCTGTTGTTTTTCACCTCAAGCCTACATGAGTCATTTGGCTCTTTAAACTATATACATGTACATTGTTGAAAAAAATGATGTTTTTAAATATTTGTTAAAAGTCCATACTCCCCAACATAGTTTTCAATATTCTTCATAGAATTACCCATCCTTACCTATCCCACAGACCCATACTATAGTCATGGAGTTTTTTTATCAACCCAGAAATACATTACTTCATTTCTCTATTAATTTATGGAATAAAATGTATTAAATTTATACCATACATCAATAATCATGTGGGCACAGCATAAAGAGATGAATTACACCATCTATGCCACCTAAAATTTTGTCTCAATTGTGGAAACAGAAAAATAAAACAATACAGCGGAATAAACACTCTCACAACGGTATTCATGAGATCCTACGGAAACACTAGAAGAGTCGCCCCTGTCCTAGTAAAGAGTGAGAATTGCCAATGAATGCAAAAGGAAGAAATGAGGACTCAAAAGGCATTTTTATGATCAACCATGTGTCAACCAGAACAAGGAGAAAAGGATGATTTAGGCGGAAAGAAGAGCATTGGCAAAAGATGCAAGGCGATAGTGAGCACACACTCATTTATTTACTCCTTCAATAAATGCTATTTGGGTCCTCATCACATGTAAGAAACTATGTCAGATCTCGGAATGATGAAGTCATTATCCCTTCTCAAAAACAGGTCCTAATTTGCCAACAATTTTAGTACTATAATGGATGCAAGTACTATATTCCATTTAGTACTATATTCCATTTAGTACTATAATGGAAGCACAACACAGGAAGACCAAAGTTTAACCAGTCAAGATAGGCTTCCTAAAAGAGCATGACCTTGAAGAATAAGTAAGAATTAGCCAGATATCACACTAAAAATAGACAAAAAAATACAGGATAAGACGCAGGTGGTTAAAACAACAGACACATAAAAGCGGCAGGTTTGAAGCGAAGGAAAGAATATTAGGTAATAAATAATGCCATAGCAGTATTTAAAACGTCACTAGGTTGGGTACAAAAACATAGTTCAATAGAATGAATAAGATCTAGTATTTGATTGCACAATAGGGTGATTACAGTCAACAACCATTTATTGTACATTTTAAAATACCTAAAAGAGTATAATTAGAATGTATATAACACAAAGAAATGATAAATCCTTAAAGGGACGAATACCCCATTTACTTTGCTGTGATTATTATGCATTGTATTACTGCATCAAAATATCTCACATAAATATATACACCTATGTACCCATAAAAATAAACAAAGAACTCCACTAGAAGTTAACAGATCAGAAAAAAAGTTCAAACCAGGCGTGGTGGCTAACGCTTGTAATCCCAACACTTTGGAAGTCTGAGGACTGTGGATCACTTGAGGTCAGGAATTTGAGACCAGCCTGGTCAACATGGTGAAACTCCATCTCTGCTAAAAACACAAAAATTAGGTGGATGTGGTGGTGCACACCTGTAATCCCAGCACTCTGGGAGGCTGAGGCGGGCAGATCACTTGAGGTCAGGAGTTTGAGACCAACCTGGCCAACATGGTGAAACCCCATCTCTACTAAAAACAAAAATCAGCCAGGTGTGGTGGCACACGTCTGTAACTGCAGTTACGTGGGAGGCTGAGGCAGAAGAATCACTTGAATCTAGGAGGCAGAGGTTGCAGTGAGCTGAGATCGCACCACTGTACTCAAGCCTGGGTGACAGAGTGAGACTGTCTCAAAAAAAGAAAAAAAGTTCATATGACAGCTTGAAAATCACCCCTACGTGCACAGAAAAAGAAAAAAAAAAGAGGAAAGTAATTAAAGAGAACATGATAAATGTGAAAGACAGACAGAAATTACTGGTATTCATGAAGAAAAAGCCAAAACAAATGGGTAAGAACCAACAGTGAATAATATAATAGAAGAAAAATCTTCCTACCATAGAGAAGGATCTAAATCTGTACCAAAAAGTTGGTCACCATGTGCCAGGGTAAAATAAATATTATGACACTGACAGCTAGACATGGCCTTGTAAAACTCTTGAACTTAAGGGAAAAAATAAAGACTCCTATGGGCAGACAGGTTATCTAAAAAATAGGTTATCTACAAAAAAACCAGCTGGCCTGGGAGGTCTATAAGCAACACCGTACACCAAGCTTTATGGGAAAGGAACTACCAAGTCTTAAAAGGAAAAGGTTGTATCTTAGGAATTTTATACTCAAATAAGCCATTCACTGTTTATGTGTGAAAGCAAGAAAAAGTCATTTTCAGATATATAAGAACTCATAAAGTATAAGACCTACAACTTTTTCCTGAAATTAAAAAGTCTATAAAATTTTGCTGCTTGAAGTGTGGTCCATGGACAGGCAGCACTGACATCACCTGGGAATCTGTTAGAAATGAAAGCTCTTGGGCCTCATTCCAGATCTACTGAATCAAAGTTTGTATTTTAACAAGATGCCTAGGTGATTCATATGCACACTAAAATTCCAGAAGCACAGCTCAAAATGTATCTCTGCCAACAAAGCTATCATTCAACCTGAAGAACTGAATGCTCAAAGGAAGAAATGGGGACTCAAAGCAGCAATTGACAATCAGCATTGAAATAATGCTGCTTGTGTGCACACACACACAATTAAGATAGACAATGAGTGTTGAAATAATGTATACACACACACAATTAAGTTTCAACCATGCTTTGACTACCATGAAAGAAAAGATATAAAGAAAAAAACTGCCAATAAACTGAAGATAAAATCCCAAATTCTAATAATAAACTCAAGAAATGGGAATAAAGAAAAAAAAGCCTAAGTAATCATCATTTTACATAAGGAGAAATCAAAAGAAATTACTAATGACAGAGATAGTTATAAAATAATTATTAAAATGTGGTTTTTAAGTATATATTTAATATCAGTAAAATAAAAACAAGATATGTGTATAATTTCCAAATTAGCAGAGGTAAAATTTCAGGGAAAAATTTAAGGAAAATGGAGAGAGGAGGAAAGATTTTAAATAGAGATTGTAATCTGAGCGTATATATTGAACTTCCCCCTTACAAATTCCCATTGAAATGATAGTATGTTAATAAGTGAATAACTCTGTATCGTACCTGGAAATTCACAGAAGTTATACACAAGGCAGAAACTTTAGGTGATTATTGCTATACATAGGGTAAGCAAGACTGAATTAAAAGAGAGTACATAAACTATTCACTGTACATAAAGGAGAAGTCTGCCTTTGAAGTAAAGAAGAGATCCACAGGAGAATCCACAAATTCCCACTACATTAGAGTGGCAGATGATATAGCCAATTCCTGCCAATCAGTGGCATAGGGGCAGTTAGTCTAAGACAAAAGTGTAAGGGCACATAAGGTCTCACTCAATGAGGGTCCCTGTAAAACACTCAGTGCCTACGTGGGACAGGGTATTCTGGAGAGATGAAATAAAATGCAGACACTCCAGAAACTATCTCCAAATGAAGGAAAGCCACAAAATAATAAAAAACGAGATTCACTGACACAAAGGCAATGTTTTTTCTTGTGAATGCCTTCAACTGCAGCTTCCTATTCAGTCCCCATAATAACATAAAGCTGCAATAGGTCTAAAGCAGCAACTCTTTAGGCAGAAGAAGGGTATTTTTCCCACAGGCAGCCATAACTGAATTTGCAAGGGACTTGATCAAACTTTGACTCTAATCCAGATCCCTGATATTTGAAGTAAAGGAATGTGGAGACACACACACACACACACACACACACACAGAGTATATATGCAGATACTTTTAAAATTTGCTCTTCCTTTTTTTTTAACTTCTTAAATGGCAGCTTGCACCACTTTTTTTTTTCAACCAATTTTTCTTTTCTAATATGTGTATTCAGGGCTATTAAACTTCCGTATATGGGTGAATTTAGATGTATCCCCATGTTTTAATATATTTTCATGATTCCTCTATTTCTGCTAATGCTTCTTCCTTTAAATTCTACTTTGTCTGATATTAGTATAGGTATACCAATTTTCTTTTCATTTTGGTTCACATTATAGCTTTTTTCCATGCTTTTATTTTCAGTCTTTCGGTATCCTTGTATTTAAGGTTTGACTCTAGTAAACCACATAAATTTTGTTTTATAGCCTAACAATCTTTTGTCTTTTAACCAAAGTAATTAGTCCATTTACATCTAATGTAAAATATATATATTCTGGGGTTCAAATCTACTGTTTTAGAATTTGTCACAATTGCACTATGTTCTTTTTTCTCTCCTTTCTTGAACCCTTTTGGATCAATCAAGTATTTTAGCATGATTCTATTTGCCCTTGTGATATCTGAATAGTTATACATTGTTTTATTTTGCTTTTAATGGTAACCTTAGAAATTGAACGTGCATCCCAGACTTTTAAAAGTTGAAGGTAAATTGTCTATTTTACATTTTTCTGAACAATTCAAGGACATTTGAACACTTTAAATTAATTTTACTCTCTTCTGAATTTTATATTATTGTTTCTATGTTTTTAAAGTTCTACATACATTTAAACTCCAGAAAACATATTGCGCTAAACAGTATATATATATAATATATACGTATATATGTATATATAATATATATGTGTATATATAATATGTATATATATAATATATGTATATATAATATATATGTGTGTATATATACATATAATATATATATATATATACGCTATCCATTGCTCTTTCTTTTATAATTTAACCTTTATTTTAAGTTCAGAGGTACATGTGCAGGCTTGTTATATAGGTAAACTTTTCCCATGGGGGTTTGTTGGACAGATTATTTTGTCACCCAAGTATTAAGTCTAGTACTCATTAGTTATTTTTCCTGATCCTCTACCTCCTCTCACCTTCCACCCTCCAATATGTCCCAGTGAATGTTGTTCCCCTGTATGTGTCCATGTGTTCTCATAGTTTAGCTTCCACTTTTAAGTGATGACATGTGGTATTTGGTTTTCTGTTCCTGCATTGGTTTGCTAAAGATAATGGCCTCCAGCTTCATCCATGTTCCTGCACAAGACATGATCTCATTTTTTTATGGCTGCATAGTATTCCAGGGCATATGTACCACATTTTCTTTATCCAGTTTACAATTTGTTTTTTGAGGAGGAGGAGTCTCACTCTGTCACCAAGGCTGGAATACAGTGACATGATCTCTACTCACTGCAACATCCACCTCCCATGTTCAAGAGATTCTCCTGCTTGAGCCTCCTGAGTAGCTGGAATTACAGGCACCCGTCACCATGCCCGGCTAATTTTTGTATTTTTAGTAGAGATGTGGTTTCACCATGTTTGCCGGGCTGGTCTGGAACTCCTGACCTCAAGTGATCCACCCACCTCAGCCTCCCAAAGTGCTGGGATTACAGGCATGAGCCAGCACACCTGACCCCAGTCTTTAAGTGATGGGAATTTAGGTTGATTCCATGTCTTTGCTATTGTGAATAGTGCTGCAGTGAACACATACATGCAAGTGTCTTTATAATTAAATGATTTATATTACTTTGCATATATACCCAGTAATGGGATTTTTGGGTCTAACGGTTATTTCTGTTTTTAGGTCTCTGAGCAGTCACTACACTGTCTTCCACAAAGGTTGAACTAATTTACACTCCCACCAACAGCGTATAAATGTTCCCTTTTCTCCACAATCTCACCAGCATCTGTTACTTATTGACTTTTTAGTAACAGCCAGTCTGAATGGTGTGACATGTTATCGCATTGTGGTTTTGATTTTTATTTCTCTAATGATCAATTATGAGCTTTTTTCTCGTATGACTTTTGGCCACGTCTTCTCTTGAAAAATGTCTGTTCATGTCCTTTGCCCACTTTTTAATGGAGTTGTTTGTTTTTTTCTTGTAAATTTAAGTTCCTTTGTCAGATACATAGTTTGCAAAATTTTTCTCCCATTCTATAGGCTGTCTGTTCACTCTATTGATAGTTTCCTTTGCTATGCAGAAACTTACTAGTTTAATTAGATGTCATTTTTCAATTTTTGCTTTTATTGCAACTGCTTTTGGTGTCTTCCTCATGTAATCTTTGCCCATTCCAATGTCCATAATGGTATCGTCTTCCAGGGTTTGTATAGTATTGGGTTTTACATTTAAGTATTTAATCCATCTTGAGTTAATTTTTGTATATGATGTATAGAATTGATCCAGTTTCAATCTTCTGCATATGACTACCCATTTATCCCAGCACCAATTATTGAATAGGAAATCCTTTCTCCATTGCTTGTTTTTTTGTCAGGTTTGTCAAGATCAGAAGTTGTAGGTGTGTGGCCTTATTTCTAGGTTTTCTATTTTGTTCCATTAGTCTATGTGTCCATCTTTGCACCAGTATCATGATGTTTTGATTACTGTAGCCCTGAAGTATAGCTGTAAGTCAGGCGGCATGATGCCTCCAGCTTTGTTCTTTTTGTTTAGGACTGCCTTGGCTATTCAGGCTGTTTTTTGGTTCCATATGGATGTTAAAATAGTTTTTTTTTTCTAGTTCTGTAAATAATTTCAATGTTACTTGAATAGAAATAGCATTGAATCTATAAATTGCTTTGGGCAGTATGGCCATTTTAACAATATTGATTCTTTCTATCCATGAGCATAGGATGTTGTTCCATTTGCTTGTGTCATCTCTGATTTCTTCAAGTGGTGTTTTGTAGTTATCCTTGTAGAAATATTCTACCTCCCTGGTTAGCTGTATTCCTAGGTATTTTATTTTGTGTGTATGACAACTGTCAATGGGATTGTGTTCCTGATTTGGCTCCTGGCTTGACTGTTGGTGTATAAGAATGTTAATGATTTTTGCACATTGATTTTGTATCCTGAGACTTTGCTGAAGTTATCAGCTTAGGGAGCCTTTGGCCTGAGACTATGGGGTTTTCCAGATATAGGATATGTCATCTGCCAACAGGGATAGTTTAACTTCTTCTCTTCCTATTTAAATGATCTTTATTTCTTTCTCTTGTCTGATTGCCTCATCCAAAATTTCCAGCACTATGTTGAATAGGAGTAGTGAGAGAGGGCATCTTTGTCTTGTGCTGGTATTCAAGGGGAATGCTTCCAGCTTTCACCCACTTGGTATGATGTTGACTGTGGGTTTGTCATAGATGGCTCTTATTATTTTGATGTATATTCCTTGAATACCTACTTTATTGAGAAGTTTGTTTTTTTTTTTTTTTAATGGAGTTTCACTCTTGTCGCCCAGGCTGCAGTGCAATGGCAGGATCTTGGCTCACTGCAACCTCTGCCTCCTGGATTCAAGTGATTCTCCTGCCTCAGCCTCCCAAGTAGCTGGCATTACAGGTGCCCGCCACCATGCCCAGCTAATTTTTGTATTTTTAATAGAGACAGGGTTTCACCATGTTGGTCAGGCTGGTCTTGAATTCCTGACCTCAGGGGATCCACCCGCCTCAGCCTCCCAAAGCTCTAGGATTACAGGCGTGAGCCACTACACCCGGCTCATTGATCTTTCGAATGGTTTTTTTGTCTCTCAATCTCCTTCAGTTCAGCTCTGATTTATTTCTTGTCTCTGCTAGCTTTGGGATTGGTTTGCTCTTGGTTCTCTAGTTCTTTTAGTTGTGATGTTATGTTGTTAAATTGAGATCTTTCTAACTTTTTGATGTGGGCATTTAGTGCTACAAATTTCCCTCTTAACATTGCCTTAGCTGTGTCCCAGAAATTCTGGCATGTTGTATCTTTGTTCTCATTAGTTTCAAATAACTTCTTGATTTCTGCCCTAAATTCATTATTTACCCCAAAGTCATTCAGAAGCAAGTTATTCAATTTCCATGTGATTGTATGGTTTTAAGTGATTTTTTTAGTCTTGTTTTCTAATTTGATTGTGCTGTGGTCTGAGAGATTGTTTTTCCTTTTTTTTTTTTTTTTTTTTTGAGATGGAGTCTTGCTCTGTTGCCCAGGCTGGAGTGCAGTGTTGCGATCTCGGCTCACTGCAAGCTCTGCCTCCCAGGTTCACACCATTCTCCTGCCTCAGCCTCCAGAGTAGCTGGGACTACAGGCACCTGCCACCACGCCCGGCTAATTTTTTGTATTTTTAGTAGAGACGGGGTTTCATTGTGTTAGCCAGGATGGTCTCGATCTCCTGACCTTGTGATCCTCCCACCTCGGCCTCCCAAAGTGCTGGGATTACAGGCATGAGCCACTGCACCCAGCCGAGATTGTTTTTTATGATTTCAGTTCTTTTGCCTTTGCTGAGGAGTGTTTTACTTTCAATTGTGTGATCAATTTTAGAGTAAGTGCCATGTGGTGATGAGAAGAATGTATATTCTGTTGTTTTGGGGTAGAGAGTTCTGTAGATGTCTATCAGGTTCATTTGATCCAGTGCTGAGTTCAGGTCCTGAATATCTTTGTTAATTTTCTGTCTTGATGATCTGTCTAGTATTGTCAGTGGGGTGTTAAAGTCTTTTATTATTACTGTGAGGGAGTCTAAATCTCTTTGAAGGTCTCTAAGAATTTGCTTTATGAATTTGGGTGCTGCTGTGTTGGGTGCATATATATTTAGGATAGTTCGGTCTTCTTGTGAATTGAACCCTTTACCATTAAGTAATACCCTTCGTCTTTTTAAATTTTTCTGGTTTAAAGTCTGTTTTGTGTGAAACCAGGATTGCAACCTCTGCTTTTTTTCTGTTTTCCATTTTTTTGGTAGATTTTTCTCCATCCCTTTATTTGAGCCTATGTGTGTCACTGCATGTGAGATGGGTCTCTTGAAGACAAGCATACCAATGGGTCTTGGTTCTTTATCCAGCTTGCTACTCTGTGTCTTTTAATTGGGGCATTTAGCCCACTTACATTCAAGGTTAGTATTGATATGTACGGATTTGATCCTGTCATTATGATGTTAGCTGGTTATTTTGCAGACTTGTTTATGTGGTTGCTTTATAGTGTCACTGGTCTGTATTCTTCAGTATGTTTTTGTAGTGGCTGGTAATGGTCTTTCCTTTCCATATTTAGTGCTTCCTTCAGGAGCTCTTATAAGGCAGATCTGATGGTAATAAATTATCTCAGCATTTGCTTGTCTAAAAAGGATCATATTCATCATTCACTTATGAAGCTTAATTTGGCTGGATATGAAATTCTGGGTTGGAATTTATTTTAAGAATGTTGAATACTGGCCCAGAATCTCTTCTTGCTTGTAAGGTTTCAGCTGAGAAGTCTGCTGTTAGTCAATGGACTTCCCTTTGTAGGTGACCTGACCTTTCTCTCTGTCTTTAACATTTTTTCTCATTTCAGCCTTGGAGGATCTAATGGCTATGTCTCTTGGGATGATCTTCTTGGGAAGTATTTTACTGGGGTTCTCTGCATTTCCTGAATTTGAATGTTGGCCTGTCTAGCTAGTTGGGTTCATCCATGAAGTTCTCATGGATGATATCCTGAAACATGTTTTCCAAGTTGGTTCCATTATCCCCCTCTTTTTCAGGGACACCAGTAAGTCATGGATTTGGTCTCTTTACATAATCTCATATTTCTCAAAGGTTTTGTTCATTCCTTTCATTCTTTTTTCTCTATTCTTGTCTGACTGTCTTATTTCAGAAAGCCAGTCTTCAAGCTCTTAGATTCTTTCCTCCACTTGGTCTATTCTGCTATTAATACTTGTGATTGCATTACGAAATTCTTGTATGGTGTTTTTCAGCTCTCTCAGTTCAGTTACACACTCCTATACTAGTTATTTGGTCTGCCAGTTCCAGTATTGTTTTATAATGGTTTTTAGCTTCCTTGGACTGGGTTTCAACATACTGCTATAGCTCAAGGATCTTCATTTCTGTCCATATTCTGAACTCTGTTTCTGTCACTTCATCCATCTCAACCTGGTTCAGAACACTTGCTGGAGAGGCAAGGTGGTCATCTGTTGGAAAGAAGGTGCTCTGGCTTTTTGAGTTGTTAGGGTTCTTGTGCTGATTCTTTCTCATCTTTGTGGGCTTATCTTCCTTTAATCCTCGAGGTTGCTGACTTTTTGCATAATTTTGTTTCTTTTATCCTATTTTTTTAATGACCTTGAGGGCTTGATTCTAGTATAAGGTGGATTCAGCCAACTGGCTTCATTTATGAAAGATTTTAGGGGGCCAACACTCAGCTCCCAATACCTGGACTGGATGTTCTAATTCTGGGGTACTTGTATTGGGCCCCAACTTTGTTCTCTGGCTCCTTGATGTTAGGAATCCACTGCACTGCAGGGGCCAAAATGTTTTTGGACTGCCGGTCATTACACTCTGATGGCTGATGTCAGCCAAAGCATTTCACAGCTTGATGACAGTGGGATCCATACTCATTTGCACATATCAGCAGCAGTGGTAGTGGCAGCTACGGTGGAGTGCTACCAGGTGCCGGGGGTCCTGCCTCTCTGTAGGCATTCACCACAATGGCAGAGGCAGTGCAGCTAGGGGTGGGCAGGAGGCCCCTGTTGGTGACTGTGTGTTCAGTCATGCTGGAGGTGGTGTTGGCTCAGGGGCGGGGCACTGGCAGATGCAGGTCTGAGTGCCTTCTGTGTGCCCCACAAGTAGGAGTGGTTGCTCAGGGTGGGGTAGGATCCACTGTTCTCTGCACAGTGTTAGCCCAGGGTGGGATGCTGGCTGACTCTGTGCCCACCAAGGCTCTGTCTGCAGTGGCAGTCAGCAGGGGACTGCCATTCTGCTCACTCTCATCTAATTGTTCTGCAGGCATAAAAGGCTGTTTTCATTTCCTGCTTCAGGATACTTACATATGCTGCTCCCACTATCTGAACTTTTTTGGTCTCATAACCCTTCCCATCACATAACTGATTTCTTCTTAGCAGTAATATCTCAGCATAAACATGCCCCAGCACAGAGGGCTTCCCTGACCATTTTATGGATTTTCTTAACACAATTTTTTTTTTTTGAGACGGAGTTTCGCCCTTATTGCCCAGGCTGGAGTGCAATGGCGCAATCTCAGCTCACTGAAACCTCCACCTCCCGAGTTCAAGCAATTCTCCTGCCTTAGCCTCCTCAGTAGCTGGAATTACAGGCATGTGCCACCATGCCCAGCTAATTTTGTATTTTTAGTAGAGATGGGCTTTCTCCATGTTGGTCAGGCTGGTCTCAAACTCCTGATCTCAGGTGATCCACCCGCCTCGGCCTCCCAAAGTGCTGGGATTACAGGCGTGAGCCACTGTGCCTGGCCAGTGACATAATTTTTAATTATATATAATTTGATTGTTTGTTTATTGTTTGTCTCCTTAGATATAAGAACCTTGAAGGCAGGATATGTGTTAGTTTAATTCACTGGAGTTAAACTCCTTACCCACATCAAGGGAATTAAAAGGTTCTGGAGCCAGAGACTTACAGGAAGAACTTCTGAGGATTTCATTGAGAAAGGTGTGCTGTGAGCCTACCTCTCATTCTGCACCATCAAGGAGAAGGGATGAGGGCTTCAGTCTGCTAACCCCAAATCAAGAGGAAGAAATTTTAAGGATACCACTTGAAGAGTTCAATATGTGTCACCAACAGTTGCTTGGTGTTTAATTCACACCTGAGAAATTTAAGGGCTGAGAGAACAGCTGCAGCAGCCCATGTAAGCAGAGTAGGTGTTGCAGCACTGGCTCCCTGGACTTGAAGAGTTTGTTTAGCAAAGTTTACGTGAGGGTTTCCTGTGAACCAGATGTGGGCACGTGCATGAGTGCCAGCATGTGGTTGTCTTAGGAACTTACCAAGATGGCCACAGAGGGGTTAGCACATGTAAATAGGGAGAAGCTGGGGGCATGTCTAGCAGTCTCAGAGCTGAGGAAAGAGCAATATTACCAAGCCAAAGTGTTGTGAATAGCACATTTCAAGGGAATTGGACGCAAGAAATCCCAAGGAATTTGGGAGGGCAAAGGCAATTTCTCAGAAAATCCATCAAAGTGCTCACAACAGTCAGCTTAAGACACTTGCCAAACAGAGAACACCAATACCTGCTCTCAACAATAAAGCCAAGAACTCTCCTGCCTCCCTTTCCTCTCCTTTTGCCCAAGTCTCCCCTTCTGAGTACGAGTAGAAAAGATGGAAGAAGTTGAACAACTGCCCTTCCCTACCTTCAGCCTTCTGGAGATATATCACTTGGCAAAATTATGTTCCAAGCAAAATCAAAGAAATTTTAAAAATGAACCAAATAATAAATAAATATGCGAACATTTTAGTTGTATGACAATAGGATGAAAGTGGTTATTCATGGTCCTTAATATATTCCTCTAAATTCTCTTTAACAAACGCAAGTACGTACTAGAAAAAAAAAAAAGACCAATGCAAATAAATCCCACACCTTTCCCACTCTAACCCTACCACTAATTGCAAATTATTCAGACTTCTGAGACTTGAGGTTTAGAAAGAGATGTCAAAGTTCTCCCTTCCCCACTCATTCCCAGGCTGGAAACTTCTCCCCCATGTGGCTGGCCAGCAGTGGGAAAGAACTCACCCTTGACATAAGAAGCCCCCTGGCTGGGCATGGTGGCTCAAGCCTGTAATCCCAGCACTTTGGGAGGCCGAGGCAGATGGATCATTCAGGTCAGGAGTTCAAGACCAGCCTGGCCAATATGGTGAAACCCCATCTCTATTAAAAATACAAAAATTAGCCAGGCATGGTGGCAGGCACCTGTAATCCCAGCTACTTGGGAGGCTGAGGCAGAAGAATTGTGTGAACCTGGGAGACAGAGGTTTCAGTGAGCCCAGATCCCACCACTGCACTCCAGTCTGGGCAAGAGTGAGACTCCATCTCCAAAAAAAAAAAAAAGCCTCCTCCCCTTGCCCACAGGGTGTAGCTCTCCTATTGCAGCCTCCTTGGCAGAATAAATATATCCCAAAACAACATGATACCCCATCATTCTTCTACACAGCATGACACAGAATACCAGGGCCTATATCTGCTCACCAAGGTGGAAATATGGGGAAGCAGGCATAACACATTCTCTTTGCAAGAATAATCCCTGGATTTAGTTCTCCAATGCTTTACTGAAGCTTCCATGCTCTGAGTTAGAACTCGCCCTGGGGGAATGCTACCACAGTACCTCCAGCAACCTTCCCAGGCCTTCCTGGAGCAGACCGGTGAGTCTTTCTTCTCAAAGGCCACATGTACAATCTCTCATCTGCCCTGCTCTGCAATGTCTCAAGGAAACTGGAGGACATACTTGGTCACTGTTTAATGTATGGTAGAACAGTGACCTCAACAAAATCCAAACTCCAGCCAAAATATGCTCTCCCTGCATTTCTACTCTGTATCTTGAAGCTAATCGGCAAAGGCCAATTTACTCTTTTGCCTAACAATATCCCAAATCTGAAGATGACTGACATAATCTTGGAATCTTCTTTTGTACAAGACTAGCACATCAGATTCCATCAATCTGGGGCTCTCTCTTACCTAAGAGCTGATGCAAAATCCTTGACTGGGAATTAAACTGTCCCATAAAGCATTACCTTGAAGTGTCTCAAAAACAATGATAAGCACAGGCTTATTACAAATTTACAGATTTTTAAAAATAAGCTGATTTTACATTTTTGCAAACATTATTTAACATAAACATATCTAAAATGTGAAAACAGAACTTGCATCATGTTCCTAATCGACGGGTTGCTCAGAATAGATGAACAAGAACTGGACTAAGTTGCAGCAACCCAAGGGCAGAACTCAGAAGACTTGACCTCTTGCTCCAACTCTTGACAACTTTAAACCAGTGACTTAAAGTGCCAGGATTTCCTTTCCTCAAAGCCCAAAGTGTCCAGTGCTCCTGGGTCCTGTGCGCAACATGGCCACACCCACGAAAACGGGACCATGGCTGCTTAAATATGTTAACCTAGGTTGACTAATATTTAGACAAAGCAAACGTTACACCATCATCACAGTACATTCCAAAGCCATATAAAGTTATCTCTCCTCTCCACCCATCCAGAGGCACTGGCACATTCCACATGCAGGAGCAAGTGAAGCCACCACTAACCTTCCAGTCAAACATCTCCGCAGAGAATATGATGCTCCTCCCCCACAGGTCCGGGAGCAGTCACTCCAGTCGCCCCAAGCATCCCAGTTGCCATCTTTGTCTTCATCTGAACGAGTGTTTCTTGAGGTCTAGATGTTAAAAAGCAAACAAACAAAAAAAAAACCACACAATAAAGTATAGGCAAATGTGGTAGAAATATCCCAAATCTTCCCCAGTTATTCCAGAGTCACCTTTTTTTTTTTAATTGAGACAGAGCTTCGATCTTATTGCCCAGGAGTGCAATGGCACAATCTCGGCTCGCTGCAACCTCCACCTCCTGGGTTCAAGCAATTCTCCTGCCTCAGCCTCCTGAGTAGCTGGGATTACAGGCGCCCACCACCACACCTAACTTTTGTATTTTTAGTAGAGACAGGGTTTTGCCATGTTGGCCAGGTTGGTCTTGAACTCCTAACCTCAGGTGATCTGCCCGCCTCAGCCTCCCAAATCCAGAGTCATCTTCTAAGCTCTTCACAAAGACCAATGTTACCCAAAAATGCTTAGCTTTGGAATGACTGCATGAAAAAAAAAGACAGGTTTATATGAAAAGCAGTTGACACATGCATGCCTTTCCACCTTAAGGTTTTGTCGAGATAGCTTTTAAGCTCAGTATTATATCTGAAATTTTATCATTGCTAAATTTAAATAAATTGGCTAAATATCAATTATATTATTCTGTTTTCTAACTTACATAGCAGGGACCCTGCTTGAGCCTAAACCACGTCTACCAAAAATACAAAAATCAGCTGAGTGTGATGGTGCGTGCCTGTAATCCCAGCTACTCGGGAGGCCAAAGCAGGAGAATCACTTGAACCAGGGAGGCGGAGGTTGAAGTAAGCCAAGATTGTGCCACTGCACTCCAGCCTGGGCAGCAGAGCAAGACTCTATCTCAGAAAAAAAAAAAAAAAGAAGTGCTCATGAGTGAAATTCTGACTTGCTTGTGTGTCAGGCAGACTGGCGGTAACTCCCAAGAAACCTTGCATAAGGATTTGTGGAACCTCCTGAGAGAATCTCCATTCCTAGAAAACAAAGTCATATGAACATAGTTGGCCAAGTTATAAAGGTTTTGAATCCAAGAAAATAGGGAAGAGTCAATTATGAGTACAGTTTGGTTTAATTGGTCTCCTAGACTTTCCACCATTGACTTAATTCAGAATACTACAGAGAAGAAGGGAAATTACAAGTAAAAAGTACATAGATGTAGGTATAGACCTGAAAAGAAATAAAGCTCATTATTAAGTTACAAAACTTTACTAAGGGGTCTAAAATATACTTGAATAAATGAAGAAACAACCATAGTCCTGAATGAGTAGACTCAATACTGTAAAATGCTACTTCTCTCCAAGTTTATCTATAAGTTTACAGCAAGTCCCATCAAAATCCCCAAAGAAAAATTTTTGAAACATAACAAATGTTTCTAAAGTTCATCTAGTGGCATAAATACCTATAAGAGCCAAAGGAGGCCGGGCGTGGTGGCTCATGTCTATAATCCTAGCACTTTGGGAGGCCAAGGTGGGTAGATTTCCTGAGCTCAGGAGTTCAAGACCAGCCTGGGCAACATGGCAAAACCCCATCTCTACTAAAATACAAAAAAACTAGCTGGACGTGGTGTCACATGCCTGTGGTCCCAGGTACTCGGGAGGCTGAGGCACCAGTATTGCTTGAACCCGGGAGGCAGAGGTGACAGCTGAGATCGTGCCACTGCACTCCAGGCTGGGTGACAGAGCGAGATTCTGTCTCAGAAAAAAAAAAGAAAAAAAGCTAAAAAATTGTGAAGGAAGATAGAATTACTATAGAATTACTATATGATCCAGCAATCCAACTTCTTGGTATTTATCCAAAAGAACTGAAATCAGGATCTCAAAGAGATATCTGCACACTCATTGTTTGCAATAGCCAAGACATGGAAGCAACCCAATGTCCATCAACAGATGAATGGATAAACAACATGTGGTATACACACAACGAAATGCTATGGAGCCATTAAAAAGAAGGAAAGCCTATCACATGCCACAATATGGATGAATCTTGAGGACATTAGGTTATGTGAAACAAGCCAGTCACAAAAGACAAATACTGCATGGTTCCATTTATATGAGGTATCTAACATAGACCGACTCATTGAAGCAGAAAGTACAATAGTGGTTGCCAGGGACTGGGGTGATAAGGAAATGAAGAGTTACTGTCCAATGGGTATAAAGTTTCAACCATGCAAAATTAAAAAGTTCTAGAGATCTGCTTTTCAACATTGTACTTATAATTACCAATACTGTACTATACGCTTCTAAATTTATTAAAAGGGTAGATCTCATGTTACAAGTTTTTTTAAACACAATTAAAAGAACTCTAAAAGAAGTAAAATGAGAGGAAAATTGTCTCAATTAAGAGTAGAGAATTGGCACAGCAATAAACAAATGGACCTATTAAAATAAAAAAAAAAAAAAAAAGAGTCCAGAAACAGATCAAGTATAAGGACACAGTATAGCACCACAAATCAATGTGACAAATGTTTTGTGGGCTTTTTGTTTGTTTTGTTTTGTTTTTGACATAGAGGCTCACTTTGTCACCCAGGCTGGAGTGCAGTGATGTGATCTCAGCTCACTACCACCTCCACCTCCTGGGTGGGTTCAAGCAGTTCTCCTGGCCCAGCCTCCTGAGTAGCTGGGACTACAGGTGCCTGCCACCACACCCGGCTAATTTTTTGTATTTTTAGTAGAGATGGGGTTTCACCGTGTTAGCCAGGACAGTCTCGAACCTGATCTCATAATCCGCCCGCCTCAGCCTCCCAAAGTCCTCGGATTACAGGCATGAGCCACCATGCCCGGCGTGTTTTGTGTTTTTAAAAATCATAGATAACTTCTTCATAGAATATACCAAAATAAATTCCAGATCTATTAGAAATGTATGTTAAAATACTGAAACCATAAAATATTAGAAATATTATAGATTAATAGATTAATCTTGGATATACCTACACCAATAGTTGTATAGGAAAGACTATCTTAGATATAGCAATAAAAGTAGAAATTATAAGGGAAAAGACTGATAGGTTTAATTACATTAAAATAAAAACACATATATCATTTTCTATCTCTTCTCTACAGATAAAGCTATAGGCATAGGCGTATATACGCAAAATGTACCAGTAAAAGAACGCGTATGTAGGCTGGAGGTATATAGGCTGGAAACATACCAAATTAGCTCTAAGAATGGAGTAAGTAGGACTAGGAACGAATGTTGTTGGGAAAAGACAGGAAATGAACTTCAACTGAATGTTTAATTTTCCCTAGTCCCACCCAGAATATGATAAATTGTTAAATGCCAGTTTTATTACTATTTGAACTTTCATGGTTTTTGAAATTTCTATTTTAAAAATATTGGGGTGGGGAAAAAGACAATCATTAGATAATCATATTAAATCCATATCATTTTTCATGCATGTATACTTTGTACATGCATAGGGAGAGGAGTGAGAGGTTAATTAAAATATTACCATTGCTACCTCTATGTGTGAGGGATTTGGGTGACTTTAACGTATTTTTGTTGTTGTTGCTGTTTCTCTGCATTTTGTAGACTTTTCTTAATAAAACACATCATACCTTAATTAAAAACAAGGAAGCAAACAAACAAAAACCACATATTCTTGGTGTACAGAAAAGTTCAAGTCAGACAGAATTTAATAGGTAAGTTCTAAGCTGGAGAACAGCAAAGTTTATGAAAGAAACTGTGACATACTAATAAACTGCAGCATGTGACTGAACTAGATACTGCAAAGGTTTCCTTAAGCCCTTAGGCAAGTTACCTCATCTAACCAAAAAAAAAAAAAAAGAAAAATTAAATTAAAAGAGGGACCTGTGGAAAGGACCTTCAAAAGTGAAATGAAGAAATAATGACTGGAAGCAAAGAGGGGGTTTTCCAATAATTTTCACTCAAGTCTCACTGGTCAATGGGCTTTATGGCTTCTTGCCAAGCTACCTATTTATAGCACAGTAAGCAGTCCTGCTAGAGGCAATATTTCAGTAACAGTCAAGTGAAAGGAAAGGATAAATATCTGGTGACTGATCAAATCTGTCATCAGGAATAGGGGCTAATTAAACCCATACTATTTACTGTTCTAATTAGACCACTGTTCAGTTCAATTTTCTATAGTAAACGTCACCAAACATAACTGTGCCCTGTCTATAACATAATAAAAAATAAAGTTTTAATTCACAAAAGATACAATAAGCAGTTTAATACATTCATCTGGACTTTTAGGTTGGGTAAGTCCAAATCATTTAGGTAAATGTTTAAAATATACACAGCTGAAATTGATTTTTCATTTTGTCACTCGATATACCAAAAGGTTGAATGTGAAAAGTTGAAAAACATCATCATATATATTTTTAAATGAAAGTTGAGAGTTTTTGCAATACTGTTTTAATTTGTTTTTATTCCCACTATTCCATCTGTTCAGTTCATAGTTAGAATCAGGTTTCTTTCCATAACTTCTCTACCTTAACTTACAAAAAAAAAAAAGAATCTTGATTCTAAAATAACTAAAATAGGCATGTTATAAGTGCAAGCATTTGGCTTCTCTGATTGGATAGGTAAGATATTTTCCCTCTAAGAAAGTAGAGCACGAATGGCACCTCAAGAGGGGTCCTTGAGTGTTTCTCCTCTCCTCAGCCAGGAAGACGCTTGGATTTTGTTTTGAAACCCCAATGCCGTCTCCAGCAGCCAGCCCTTCTGCCTTTTTAATGTATTATTTCTCTGGAGAGTAATAGCAATAATATCCCAGATTTCCACCCAGTTCTGCTCTCTTCCCTTTCATCCTAGCAGCATAATGATAACACAGACATTCAGAAATAACTCCACTGAAGCAGAATGAAGCGCCACTTGGGCCATTGCTGAAAATGTATGTTTGCGTCGTCTTCCTTGCAGTGAAACAGAACCTGCTTCCCTGGAGCTTCCATGCCTCTAGAGCAGTGGACAGAGCCTTGATCCTCTTCTACAGAAGAGTCCTTCTCAAGCTTTCTGAAGGCCTCCTAGTTCCTTCTACGTTCCCAGATCCTTTGCAACTATGCTCTCTCTTGGCGCACATCGAAATTTGCACATTTTAAGTCTTAAAATGTAGGGTCCAGAATACAACACTGAATCTAAGAACACAGACTATACATTGCACCTATGATCCAGGTTTCTTCAGATAAAACCTAAGTTTCCTTCTTCTCTCCCTCCCTCCATTCCTTCGTTTTTCAGCCAGCCCATTTGTTGGAATCTGCTCTGGAGACAGCATCACATAATAGTTAAAAGCTGTTTGACTCTGAGTTTCTTAAACTTTCTAAAACTCATCTATGAAATGGAGATGATAATCTTTACCCAAACAAGATTTAAATAAAATAACACATATAAAGTACAGGCAGCATCTCCACGCATGCAGTTGGTGAGTATCTCAATAAGGGTAAGCAATTGTTTTTCCTCTTCAAAAATAATGTGTCTTTTTCAAAACAATGATGGGAGAACCAGCTCTCTCCCATTTGTACTTATGCAAGACTTAACATTCATCACTACTGAATTTCCTCTTGTTGGTTTTGGCCCAGAATACCAGCCTGTTGAGATCTGTTTGAACCCTGATCCTGTCACCCTATCTACGAGCCACTGTGCTCAGCTCTGCAGCTTCCGTGTCTTCACTCAAGTCCCTGATAAATGTGTGGGACATAGCTCTCTAATCTTACAGCATTCCATTAATGCATATTTCTGCTTTTTAAACTAGTAAGCCGACCATAATGCCAAGTAAGCAGCCAACTAATCAGACTTGGAGTCTGTGAACACAGTTTAATGTTACAATAAAAATATGAAATAATACCAATTACCGTCATCAAATGTCAGGAGGCAGAAAGGTTTGTGGGGAGGGAAGAAATCAGCCATCAGAAGGAACTGGATCCGGCAGGGTGGAACCTGTATTCTTGGGCTGCATGGTGGTGGTAAACCTCCTGAGAGAAGCGGTATGTAGCAGCTCCACATTGGTTAGCCCCAGCTCTGAAGGTTAATGACAATAAAATACAGCTGACTGATATCAGCTGGCTCTTTGGCCTGATTGTAACCCAGGTGAATGTCTGTGTTTGTCAGTTGAGTATAGCTGCTCCCAATTCCCCCTGTTCAAACATCTCTTTAGGTTGTCTCAAGTAATTATTTAAATTCCATGTTGTTATTATTTTATATGGTAAGTTGTTATTTGGACCCAATCCAAGTGTGCTTCAATCAATATCATGTCACTCTGTGACCCTGTCTGGGGCCAGAATCTGAGGCAGAGCATGGAAGAAGACCTGAACAAGCTTGTCCTACATAACGCAAGCACTGTTAACCATTATTAATGCACAGCGTGAGTACTGCCTGCCAGTACTTTTCCCACCTTCTCTCTAACCTTCTCAGCAAGCCCTTTAAGATAGATATCACCATCCCCATTTTGCAGGTGAACAACTGTGGCTTTGAGAACCATGTGTGTCCAAGGCTCATCGATAATTTCTTTTATTTTTCTTTTTGAGACGAAGTCTTACTCTGTCACCCAGGCTGGAGTGCGGTGGCACAATCTTGGCTCACTGCAACCTCTGCCTCCCCGGTTCAAGCGATTCTCCCACCTCAGCCTCTCAAGTAGCTGGGATTACAGGCACTCGCCACCACGTCCGGCCTGTTTTTGTATTTTCGTAGAGACAGGGTTTCACCATGTTGGCCATGCTGGTCTTGAACTCCTGACCTCAGGTGATCCGCCCGCCTAGGCCTCCCAAAGTGCTGCGATTACAGGCATGAACCACTACGCCCAGCCATCATCTATAATTTCTAATGTCATACAATGAACGTGTATAATTTTACAATAAAACATCCAATAAAAGTTATTTTCTTCTTAAAGAAGGGGCCTAGGCAGAAGCGCTTTCTGTCTTACCCCAGACAAAGCCTGCATTTTCTTTATGGACATCTGTGTGTTTTCCCCACTGATGCTCCACTTCCTTTCACGACCAGGAATCCAGTCAAATACAGCAGCCCAGCTATCATCACTCACAGTTAGCATTTCGCCTCTTGGATCAAATACATCTGCTGCTGTGATCTGCTTGACCACAACATTCTTTCGATATCTCTATGAAGTCTTTTACTTTTTTCCCCCTCTATATTGCAAGTAGAGCTACACTTCTGCTTTTCAAAAGTATTTCATTTTATCTAGCTTCTTTCATGAGGAATTCGCATTTCTGACTGATGTTCATGAACTCACATGCATTCGTTCATTTTCTCACACAAACTATACCAAGAGCTTGCTAAGTTCAAGGCTCTGTGCTCAGTGCCCTGTGAATACAATGTGGATCTGGCCCTCAAGTAGCTCACAAATCAATGAGCATCAGGTGAGAGGGACAAGGGCTGTGGTGAGGCAATGGCAACCTTTGGTTGTCAAGAGCAACAGACACAAGGGGCCCAGGGGAAGGAGACCCTGAAACAGGAGCAATTTGTACCTTGGTTAGGAGAGCTGGGATAGACTTTCCACTGAACATACCAACCCTGCTGGAAGCTGGAAGCACCTCATGTATCCCTATCACCTTCTTCCGTATGATAGGTTACATGTGAGTCCTTATTTTGTGCTCACCTCTGTTTTCTAATTGTGATGGAATTACAAACACTTTTTACTTTCTTCTTTTATGATCATCTATAATTTCTAATGTTATATGACAAACATGTATAGTTTGCACAATAAAACACCCAATAAAAGTTCTTTTTTTTTAAAGGGAAAAGGAAAACACTAAAAGGAAAGCTATGAAAACACTTCCAAAGAAGCAGTATGCACTTTGTGTTGTTTGGTTCAAATTATCAGGCTTAAGGATCTCTTAGGAAATCATATTTTCCTAAGTAAAGCTCTAGCTAGGGAATATTTTGGATGAAAAATTCCAAAAAAGATATTGTTTACTCATTATATAATAGGGTTGGTAAAAGCCAAAAATATTGTAGGAATAAGTATGTTCACCATCTCATAAAGACTCAAGTACTGCTTGCCTTTCTTGGATCCCCAGGCATAAATCAAATCATAAAATATTTTCCTGACAAGTTCTTAAATCTGTGACTTATAATGAATAGTACAGTTCTACTAGTCTTGCTAAAACATTAGTAATTAAACACAGATTTCACATATAAGGTCACTTATTGGAAATGCTATATTAACAGCTCCATATTAAAAACAACCCAAAATAAAATGAGTTCCACTGGGATATTACTTCCCAGACATCAAATAAATGTTCATTCCAATGTTACCACAAAGGTTATTTAAGGGGATCTCAAACGACCCAGATTTAGTTAACAGTAAATACATTCTTTCAGGTTAATACTACCTTAAGGTCTTTAACAAAAGAAATTTTAAAATATGAATTGGGTGAACGGCATAAAAATGTCACTCAAGCTGTCACACAGACTCAACAATTCAGTCTGACCAGGATATATTCAACACCCATATATCTAAAGCTGTGTGCTAGGTACTGTTGAGAAATGCTCCGTACCTCTGTGTTTTACTTCTCTCTTCTTCAGTCCATTCTACCCTCTGCTGCTCCAAAACTCATTACCCTGACAGTTGATGGCCTCTAGGATTTGGTTGACACTTTCCTAGTCAATGTGCTCCTAATTATTTTACCACCTTTAAAGCCCTTCACTAATTCCTCAGGACACACATTCTGCTCCTCTAGGCTGTTTGTGCCCTATCCTACCCTTTGTTCAGCTTCATCTCTGGTGGCTCCTGCTAGCACCACATATCCCATATGCTGAGCACACAACATTTTTCATTATTTCAGACACTAACACACTTGCCATCCTGCTTGGGAAGCATTTTTAAAACACGCTATTTACCAAGGTAGTGGACAGGGTACAGGGAAACCATGAAGCCTGGTGCAGCACCCTGGGGCTGGTGCCAGCCAGATTCTGTGGATTTGACGATTCTCATTATCTGCCTTGGCCCTGCACGCTAGATGGGGCAAGGGCAGGCAGGGGCTGTGTATACAGGGCTGCCTGAGAGGAACTAAGGCCTTCGGTTGAGAATCAGAGCCCACAGCAACCCACAAAGAGAGAGCTGGGGAAGTAAACAAACACACTTCTGTCCTCCCTCTCTCCAGTCGCCCTGCAGTGCTCGTTATTTGCCAAACCCAACCAGAAGCCAGAGGGCAAGGGAGACCATTGATGCTGTCCATGCAGGTCAGCTTCCCATTGGGTGGAGCGCGGGGCAGGGAAGGGTGGAGAGTGGATCTGGAGGGCAAAGAGAAGCTTTCCAGCACAGTAATTTATTGACTCACTGGACTATTTTTAAGCAGAGGAGTGACTTAGGCAGACTGTATTTTGGAAAACTTACTCTGGCAGGAGTGTGGGTAAGGACTGAGGGAGCAAAGCCTCACATCAGAGAGCATAGCTAGAAGGCCACTGACATGCAAGAGACAAGAGCCTAGACTAGATTTACCAGTGTCTGGAGGAGGAGAGCATAGATGCAAAGTTCAAAGGTGCTGGAATCAATAGGAGCTGGCAGCTGACCAGATGCAGGAAGAAAGGAGATGTTAGGATGACTCCCAGGCTTCTGTATTAAATGATTTGTGGCAAATGCCAATATCATTCAGGCTTCCCAAGCATCCTCAAGCCCACCCTTGAGGTAGGATTCTCAGCACCTGTGTGTACAGAATGAGAGCAGTTTACCTGATAATGGTTAAGATAAAGGGGGCAAGCTGTTGGTCTCTGGGAGGAATCTGGCCTGCAGGTCTGAGTTATTTAACAATGATTGTATATTCTGCCAAACGAGCCCCTAAAAAGAATTATTTCTTAGGCCGGGTGCGGTGGCTCACGCCTGTAATCCCAGCACTTTGGGAGGCCAAGGCGGGCGGATCACGAGGTCAGGAGATTGAGATCATCCTGGCTAACAGGGTGAAACCTCGTCTCTACTAAATATACAAAAAAATTAGCCAGGCATGGTGGTGGGCGCCTGTAGTCCCAGCTACTCAGGAGGCTGAGGCCGGAGAATGGCGTGAACCCGGGAGGCAGAGCTTGCAGTGAGCCGAGATCGTGCCATTGCACTCCTGCCTGGGTGACAGAGCGAGACTCTGTCTCAAAAAAAAAAAAAAAAGAATTATTTGTTAAGGTTTAAATATACGAAGATTTCACATAAAAATATAGATTTCTGAGGCCTAGAGTGAGACCCTGTCTCAAAAAAAAAAAAAATCTAGATTTCTGACTTCTCAGGAAAATAAAATAAAATTCACATCACAGCATGGCAATAATTAAAACTGAGTGTGGCCATCCGATTTTTAAAGGGCATGTGACCTCTAATATGCCCAGTCCCCATCCAGCCACTGTGAGGATTCGTATTATTTTCCTGGCCTCTGTAGATCAAACTGGGAGCTTGTTGGTGACAAATGACTGTCAGCTTGAAAGTAAATCAAGTCCAGGTGTGGTGGCTCATGCCTGTAATCCCAACACTTCAGGGGGCTGAGGTGGGGGGAATCACTTGAGGTTCAAGAGTTCGAGACCAGCCTGGCCAACACGGTGAAACCCCGTCTCTACTAAAAAAATACAAAAATTAGTCAAGTGTAATGGTGTGCACTTGTAGTCCCAGTTACTCAGGAGGCTGAGGCACGAGAATTGCTTGAACCTGGGAGACAGAGGCTGCAGTGAGCCGAGACTGCATCACTGCACTCCAGCCTGGGTGACAGAGTGAGACTCTATCTCAAAAAAAAAAAAAGAAGTAAATCAAAAGACATGTATATTTATAACTGATATAAGATTCTTCACAGTATTGCTATAGAACGGCATTATTTTCCAGAAGTAAGAAGCATACATACAACATGTAGCTGAAAAATAAAACAAAGGGCATTTGGTTTTTGCTATGGTCTGAATGTGTCCCTGGAAATTTATATGTTGCAAGTTGATCACCAATGTGATAGTATTAAGAAGTGTGGCCTTTAGGAGGTAATTAAGTTATGAGGGTGGAGCCTTTAGGGCCCTTATAAGGAGCTTGAGAGAGTTAGTTCCCTCTCTTCTGCCCTCCCACCGCGTGAGGACATAGCGTTCGTGCCCTCTAGAGGACATGGCAACAAGGCACCATCTTGGAAGCAGAGAGAAGAGCCCTCACCAGACACCAAACCTGCCGGTGCCTTGAACTCAGACTTCCCAGCCTCCAGAACATGAGAGAATACATTTTTGTTCTTTACAAATTACCCAGTCTCAGGTATTTCATTATAGCAGCACAAATTGACTAAGATAGTTGTCTTTACTGCACGCTAAGATCAGAGTGTGTCCACAGAAGCAGAATATATGTCATTCCATGAGGCCCAGTGTCTAAACTCTACTCCCTTTCCACATGTGAACTTTGCAGTATTTCAGACATAAGATATTAGTGTATTTAGGAATCATATTCTGGCTAAGCGCAGTGGCTCACACCAGTAGCCCCAGCTGCTCAGGAGGCTGAGGCAGGAGAATCACTTGAACCCAGGAGGTGGAGGTTGCAGTGAGCTGAGATCACGCCACCGCACTCCAGCCTGGTGATAGAGCGAGACTCCATCTCAAAAAAAAAAAAATCATATTCTGGGATGTACCTATGCAAGCACTAACACAAAAGAAACCACGGGCCCTGCAGGAGACCATCTGAGGAATCACATGTGCCACATCTCCAGTGACAATCCCCATACAAACCAATATCATGCCTGACAATATCTAGGTTATTTTTCCCTATTAATGCAATCAGTGTTTATACCTACTAGACAAGTAGCTTGTTCTTTTCTAAGAATCATAACCAGGTCCTCTCAGATTGTAGCAAGAGACAACATTCAAATACAATGACAGCTTTGTTTCATACTGACTTTATTTTTGTTAAAAATAAATTCTTAAACATAAAGATACTTTACATGAGGGAAGATTTAATAGGATATTATCTATGCTCTTGGGTTAGTCATCATGAAGCATATATAACACAACATCAGGTAAGATTAAAAAGAGAGAACTGCAGGTTGCCAAATTTAAAAGTCTGATGGAGAGGAATGGTGGGCTAGATAATACAGATCAACCATGCCATTGAGGACAACTACAAAAGCAAAAATGTCCTCCAGGAAATTAAAGTAAAAGAAAGAGATTGTCAGACAAAAGAGAATTCATCTTCAGCAGACCAGTCTTAAAGAAAATATTAAATGGTGTTTTTAAGATTAAAGGAAGCTTGGAGATGATGAAAGAAATGAAGAGCAAAAATAAGAATGGTAAACGTAGGTAAATTAAAAGAAAAGCAACTGTGTAAAACAGCAATTATAATGGATTGTGGAGTTTTAAATATTTATATGGAATTAACATACCTGACAATGACAGCCTATGAGTCAGAAGAGAGATAAATGGCCTTAAAGTATCCTAAGGTCCTTGTATCATCCATGAAGAAGATAAAAGAACCAATTAATATTCGACTTTGATAAGTCAAGGATAGATGTTTTAAGCTCTAGAGTTACCACTAAAAAAAACAGAAAAGAGTGTATGACTTCCAAATTAATGTATATGGGAAAAGATATAATAAGAAAACACATTTAATCAATCCAAAAGAAGGCAAAAATGGAGAGAAAAAGGAATGTAGGCAGATGGATAAATTTTAAAAGCTCAGAGTAAAATGGAAGATTTAAATGCACATATATCAATTACATTAAACCCAAATAGAATAAATCACCAATTAAAAGACAGATTGTCAGGATAAAATTTAAAAATTCAGTTATATTCTGTTTAAAAGAGACATTCCTTAAATATAATGGCCAGAAAGATTAAAAATAAAAGATTGAAAAAAATACTTACCATAAGCCTACTAACCAAAATAAATCTGGCTTAGTCACACTAATTAGACAAAGTAGACTTTAAGACAGAGAGATGCTACATACTGTTGGAAGTTTGATTTCACTAGGATGGAACAAATTCTAAAAGTGAAAGTACCTAACAACATAACCACAAAATATATAAAGCAAAAACTGACAGAACTGTAAGAAGAAATAGAAAAATCCATAATGATGGTGGGAGGTTTTAACACAACTATCATTAACTTATCAAGCAGGTGAAAAAAATAAGTAACGATACAGAATATGGAAACAATTAAATTACAAATTGAAACTATGTAACTGTATAGAAAGCTACAACTAACCATCTCAGAATATATATTTTTTGTATTTATGAAATGTTTATAAACATTTATCATGATCTGAGCCATATAGAAAAGTCTCAAAAATTCAAAGATTGAAATAATACAAGTTTTTTCTCTGACAACAAAGCAAAAAAGCAAGTTTAAAACTAGAAAATGTCCAAACACATTCCATAGGTTAAAAATTAATCACAATGAAAATTAGAAAATACTCTTAATGAATGAAGATGAATATATTACATACCAAAACGTGAGTAAAGCAGCTAAAGCTATGCTTGGAAGGGGATCTGTAGTTTTAAATGCACATATTTGAAAAGAAGAAAGATGAAAAAATCAATGATCTTAAACTATTTCAAGACAGAAAAATGACAACACATACAACCCAAAGAAAGTAGAATAATAAGGATGACAACAGCAATTATGAAATGGAAAACAAAAATATAAGCAAGAGGATCAACAAATTAAAAAAGACTAATAAAATTAAATTCCTTGGCAAGACTATGAAAGAATAAGAGAGAAAAGTCACTAAAAATCAATTTTAGGAATGAAATGTGGAATATCACTGCAGATTCTGTAGGCCCTAAAATGGTAAGAGGATGAAAAACATCTTTATGTTAATATATTTCATATTATGAAATATATTATGTTTCTTTATGTTAATATATTTCAAAATTTAGATGTAGGCCAAGCTGCCCTAAGGCAGGACAAACTCTTCTGAGTAATTTACCCTCCAGAGCTGCCACAGGATAGGCAATGGCTGAGATTCACCCTAAATCCCATCTTTGCTGTGCTCCTTCCTGTCTTCCACTTCTCTCACTTCCTTTTTGGGTTCCACTGGAATAAATCACTTGGATACGAATCTTCATCTCAGGTCTTCTTCTTAGAACCCAACCCAAGAAACTTATTAAACTATGTGCATGTCAAAACATTGATTTAAAAAAATACTGCTGGCCAGGCCCAGTGGCTCACGCCTGTAATTCCAGCACTTTGGGAGGCCAAGGCAGGCGGATCATGAGGTCAGGAGATCAAGACCATCCCGGCTAACATGGTGAAACCCCGTCTCTACTAAAAATACAAAAAATTAGCTGGGCATGGTGGCGGGCACCTGTAGTCCCAGCTACTCGGGAGGCTGAGGCAGGAGAATGGCGTGAACCCGGGAAGCAGAGCTTGCAGTGAGCGGAGGTCGAGTCACTGCACTCCAGCCTGGGCGACAGAGCGAGACTCCATCTCAAAAAAAAAAAAAATGTCATTCAAAAATGATAAAGTATTAACATGAGTTACTTCTGGGTATGGGTACACATGAGTTTATTATACTAGTCTCTTAACTTTTCTATTTCTCTATTTTTCTAATTAAAACAAAAAAAGGAAAGATGTGGATCAGAAGAATTTCTGAGATGTTCGAGCAGTGAAAGCAAGTGACCTGCAAGGGGAAAGGTCTGCCTTCTCCACAGCAACATCTAATGCCAGAACACAAGGAAGCAGTGCCTACAAAATCCCACAAGAAAAAAATCACCCAAGAATATTACAACTGCCTAAGCCCTATTCAAGAATAAAAGCACCTCATCAATATTAAAACCTTTGTGCATAAGAGGACACTATTAACAGAGTGAAAAGGTAATCCACAGAATGGGAAAAATATTTGAAAATAATATATCTGACAAGGGGTTAATATCCAGAATATATAATGAATTCTTACAATTCAGCAACAAAAAAAAGAAATAGCCCAGTTAAAAATTGGGCAAAAGACATGAATAGATATTTATCCAAAGAAGATATATAAATGGTCAATAAGCAGATGAAAAGGTGTTCAATATCACTAATCATTAGGGAAATGCAAATGAAATACCACTTTATACCCATTAGGGAAATGTAAAGGAGATACCACTTCATACCCATTAGGATGACTATTATAAAACAAACAAACAGGAAAAAAGTTAACTGTTAGTGAGTGATATGGTTTGGCTGTGTCCCCATCCAAATCTTGAATTGTAGCTCCCATAATTCCCATGTGTTGTGGGAGGGAACTGGTGGAAGGTAATTTAATCATGAGGGCAGGTCTTTCTTGGGCTGTTCTCATGACAGTGAATAAGTCTCACAACATCCGACAGTTTTATAAAGGGGATTTTCCCCGCACACATTCTCTCTTTGCCTGCCACCATGTAAGATGTCCCTTTGCTCTTCCTTCCTCTTCCACCAGGATTGTAAGGCCTCCTCAGCCATGTAGAACTGTGAGTCAATTAAACCTTTTTTACTTATAAATTACCCAGTCTCAGGTATGTCTTTATCAGCAGCATGAAAACGGACTAATACAGTAAATTGGTACTGGTAGAGTGGGGTGCTGCTGTAAAGATACCTGAAAATGTGGATGCAACTTTGGAACTGGGTAATGGGCAGAGGATGGAACAGTTTGGAGGGCTCAGAAGAAGACAGGAAAGTTTGGAACTTCCTAGAGACTTGTTGAATGGCTTTGACCAAAATGCCGATAATGATATGGACAATGAAATCTAGGCTGATGTGGTCTCAGATAGAGATGAGGAACTTGTTGGGAACTAGAGCAAAGTGACTTTTGCTATGCTTTAGCAAAGAGACTGGCATCATTTTGTACCTGCCCTAGAGATATGTGGAACTTTGAACTTGAGGGAGATGATTCAGGGTATCTGGTGGAAGAAATTTCTAAGCAGCAAAGCATTCAAGAGGTTACTTGGGTGCTGTTAAAAGCATTCATAATGAAATGAAAACAGAGCATAAAAGTTCAGAAAATTTGCAACCTGAGATGTGATAGAAAAGAAAAACCCATTTTCTGAGGAAAAATTCAAGCCAGCTGCAGAAATTTGCATAAGTAACAAGGAGCCAAATGTTAATCACCAAGACAATGGAGAAAATGTCTTCAGGGCATGTCAGAGACCTTTGCAGCAGCACCTCCCATCACAGGCCCAGAGGCGTAGGAGGAACAAATGGTTTCATGGGCCAGGGCCCAGGGCCCCCCTGCTGTGTGCAGCCTAGGGACTTGGTGCCCTGCATCTCAGCCACTCAGCCACTCAGCCACTCAGCTAAAAGGGGCCAAGGTACAACTCAGGCCATGGCTTCAGAGAGTGAAAGCCCCAAGCCTTGGCAACTACCATGTGGTGTTGAGCCTGTGGGTGCAGAGAAGTCAAGAATTGAGCTTTGGGAACCTCCACCTAGATTTCAGAGGATGTATGGAAATACCTGGATGTCCATGCAAAAGTTTGCAGCAGGGGCAAGCCCTCATGGAGAACCTCTGCTAGGGCAGTGAAGAAGGGAAATTTGGGGTGCGGGCCCCACACAGAGTCACCACTGGGGCAC
The DNA here is from genome assembly GCF_000001405.40 of Homo sapiens. NCBI lineage: Eukaryota > Metazoa > Chordata > Mammalia > Primates > Hominidae > Homo > Homo sapiens. The sequence continues at coordinate 83,757,149 of NC_000015.10, read as the reverse complement.
TGCCTAGTAGAGCTGTGAGAAGAGGGCCACCTTCTTCCAGACCCCAGAATGGTAGATCCACTGACCGCCTGCACCGTGTGCCTGGAAAAGCTGCAAACACTCAATACCAGCCTGTGAAAGCAGCCAGGAGAGGGGCTATACCCTGCAAAGCCACAGGGACAGAGCTGCCCGAGGCCATGGGAGCCCACCTCTTGCATCAGCGTGACCTGGATGTGAGAGATGGAGTCAAAGGAGATCATTTTGGAGCTTTAAGATTTGACTGCCCCACTGGATTTCAGACTTGTATGGGCCCTGTAGCCCCTTTGTTTGGGCCAATTCCTCCTATTTGGAATGGTGTATTTACCCAATTCCTGTTCCCCCATTGTATCTTGAGAGTAACTAACTTGCTTTTGATTTTACAGGCTCATAGGCAGAAGTGACTTGCCTTGTCTCAGATAAGACTTTAGACTGTAGACTTTTGAGTTAATGCTGAAATGAGTTAAGACTTGGGGGACTGTTGGGAAGGCACGATTGATTTTGAAATGTTAGGACATGAGATTTGGGGGGGGGGCAGGGGTGAAATGATATGGTTTGGCTGTGTCCCCACCCAAATCTCAAATTGCAGCTCCCATAATTCCCATCTGTCATTGGAGGGACCCCGTGGAGGTAATTTAATCATGAGGGCGAGTCTTTCTTTTGCTGTTCTCATTATAGCGAATAAGTCTCACAACATCTGATGGTTTTATAAAAGGGAGTACCCCTGCACAAATAATCTCTTTGCCAGCCACCATATTAAGATGTCCCTTTGCTCTTCCTTTGTCTTCTGCCATGAGTATGAGGCCTCCCCAGACATGTGGAACTGTGAGCCAATTACACCTCTTTCCTTTATAAATTACCCAGTTTTGGGTATGTCTTTTTCAGCAGTGTGAAAACAGACTAATACAGTGAGGATGTGAAGAAATTAGAACATGTGTTCATTGCTGGTGGGAATGTAAAATGGTACAGCCACTGTGGAAAACATTACGGTAGTTCCTCAAAAAGTCTGATGTATTATCATATGATCCAGCAATTCCACTGCTGTGTATATACCCAAAAGTATTGAAAGCAGGGGGCCAGATGCAGTGGCTCATGCCTGTAATCCCAGCACTTTGGGAGGCCAAGGCAGGTGAATCACCTCAGGTCAGGAGTTCGAGAGCAGCCTGGCCAACATGGCAAAACCCTGTCTCCACTAGAAATACAAAAATTAGCCAGATGTGGTGGCAGGCGCCTGTAGTCCCAGCTACTCAGGAGGCTGAGGCACAAGAATCACTTGAACCTGGAAGGCGGAAGGTGGAAGTTGTAGTGAGCTGAGATCATGCCACTGCACTCCAGCCTGGGCGACAGAGTAAGAATGTCTCAAAAAAAAAAAAAATTGAAAGCAGGGACTCAAACAAATGTTTGTACCACTCTGTTATAACAGCAGTATTCATAAAACCCTAAAGGAGAAGACAACCCAAATGTCCACTGACAAATAAGTAGAGAAGCAAAATATAGTGTACACATGCAGTGGAATATTATTTAGCTTCAGAAAAGAATGAAATTCGGGCACAGGCTACAACATGGATGAACTTTAAAGACATTATGCTAAGTGAAATAAGCCAGACACAAAAGGATAAATATTGTATGATTCCACTTATGAAGTGCCTAGGGTAGTCAAATTCACAGAGACAGAAAGTAGAATGGTGGTTGTCAGGGACTGGGGGAGGAGAGAATAGGGGGTTATTATTTAATGGGTACAGTAGGTTCAGTTTTGCAAGAGGAAATAAAGTTCTAAAGATGGATGGTGGTGATGGTTGCACAACAATGTGAATGTACATGATGCCACTAAACTGTACACTTAAAAATGGTTACAATGGTAAATGTTAAACAATATATATTTTACCACAATAATTTTTTAAAAGAGTACAGGCAACACCAAGGTGTTCAAATGTTAAAAAAAAATGGAAAAACTCAGTAAATACAGCCTTTCTTTCAAAAGTTGATGATGAAATCCAACCAGCTAGGAAATGATTCAAAATTTTTACAACAGGATTATAAAAGTCATATAAAAGGAATGGTGGTGAGCATTTAATCCATTTAAACATTAAACTTTGAATAAATAACAGGAAAATTAGGGTGTGGAACATATACGATATTAAATTAGCATATATAATAACATAACCAATATAAATCTGGAAGGTGAATGGAAGAAAGTTGTAGGGAAATTAAGTACCATTGACTAAAATTTAAATATGAAATTTTAAAACATAGTAACGCCAATCTCCTCACCTTTTGTGATACACTTAGAGGTATCTTTAAGGAAATAATTTATTCTGCTGTGATCAAACATTCATCTCAATTTAGCAAATCCTTCAGTTTTATTTCATTTCCTTATCATCTATTAAATTCACATAAAATTAAATATTTTTAATTTAAAATGGCATGCATCATGTAATGGCATTTCTATAGCCCTATGTCTATGTATTTACCTTATCCAAAACCCTGTTTGTGTATGTGTATGAAAATGCTTAGAATGCTATTTACCACATATGAACACTAGTTATTTCTAGAAAGTAGGATGTAGGGTGCTTTGTAGTTTTCTTTGTACCTCTTCCAAACTGCTGGATTTTTAAAACAACATCTAACATTTTTAAAATGTTAATTATTCTGACAAATAAATCAATCCAACCTGGGTGTAAAGAAGTCATCTCACTGTGCCTTCAAAACCTAAGGCCCAAATTCAGCTCTCTCCGGTGAACGCTTGCCAAGAAGCCTGTCTTGGTGGCTGGCATTCCTGCGAGCAATATTTATGGAAACTGCCTCAGGACATCCCAAGGCAGATCGAACAAGGCCTGCAGTCAGATGCTACAGATTATTAACTTCCAGCCTCACATATTTCAACAAACATTCTAGAATGGTGCTTTTCTGTCACACAGTTTTGCCCCCCAGGGAACATTTTGAGATGCCTGGAGACATTTATGGTTGTTGCAACTGAGGAGAGGGAGGTGCTACTGGCATTAATGGGTGGAGGCCTGACATACAGTGCCCAGGACAGTCCCCACCACAAAGAATTATCTGACCTAAAATGTCAACAGTGGTGAGGTGGAGAAACCTGTTCTTTCTAGAGGATGTGTGTCCACACAACCAAACCTCTTTACTCTCATGATGACTTATGAAGATAAAAATCCTTTCTAAATCATTATGACAACCACATGTTATTAAAATCTTCAACCTTCAGATAAAGTTATAACAACGCAAACTGCTTCACTTTCGTTTATCACATTAGAGCAAAATAGTACTCTACATGGATGTAATGTTTTTCATCCCTTCCAAGCAGGTTCCTATAGATCACTTTATATATTTTCTTGCTCTCCATTTACAACCACAAGATAACCATAGAAAGCTCTTAATTTCAACATACCCCAAACCATAATCAAAGCATTTATATTTGACAATCTACAGTAGGCTTCTCTTTCCAAGAAAAAAAAAAAGCACAGTTTTTCAAGTTTAATGATATCAAGTTTTCAAAAAAATTCTTTTTCGACTTTTCTTAGTGATTTACTTCCATCCATGGTTAGCCATTTCACATAGAAAAACACAGGGTTGTGCCAACGACTCATCAAGAATATTACCCAGACCACATTTTAGGGGCACAGGCTTTAAATAAACTCCCACAAGAAATATTATTTGACAGCTACCAAAGTAAGTAATGAAAGAAGCCAGTGCATTGTTTCTATCTCATACCTCTCCTTCTGGGATTGGTTGGTGGTCTGCATGCTCTGGACCACCTGCAGGGGTTGTGCTGCCCTAGGTGAAAAGAGAAAACTGGGACAGAGAATTCTGCACACCTGAGATCAGTAGCACAAAAAAATTGAAAAGCTGAGAGCAAAATCCCAATTCCTTGACTAAAAATGGTAGGTGAGTGTCCCTGGTTAGGTTAATAATGGCCTCATGTAGATGACTGCTGCATGGTTCAGAACCCTAACCATTCAGACCATCAAGTCTTCAGAAAGGTAGCCAGGGTTTTGCAGGTCAAGCAAAGTTAGAAGTCACTTACTGACTCAACAGCATTCACCAAGCCCCATTTAGTAGCTGCCCTCAAAAAGGTTAATCTCACTGGAAGATAAACGAAAACTCATGATTGCAAGCAGGCAATACACACTGAAAGAACAAGGAAGGACAATGACTCCTCAGCCTGTGAAGTCAGGGCATAATTCTCAGGGAAGGTGTCAATTGAGCTGAATCTTGATGGATGAGAGAGTTGAACAAACCTAAAGGCGAGCATATGAGCAAACGGTCTCTATAATTTTGGCAGAGGAAAAGAGAAGAAATGTTTGTGTAAACTTCAGTGGGTTGTAAATAGAGTTATCAAAGAAATATAGTAACTTCTACAGAGCTGTGTCATCTAAGTTATATTGTTATCTGTTTTCTTAACATGACCTTAAATTTACACTAGCCACATTTCAAGCACTTGTTATGCACATGTGACTACTGGCTACTATATTAGATATTGCAAATATAGGAAATTTCCATAATTACAGAAAGTTATAATAGACATTAGAAAGATATAAGTAATTTGGAAATAAGGTCACAAAGTTGAAAGTAAAGCCAAAGACTTTCTTGGGAAAGAAAATTTGTGCGTGTATGTATGTGTGTGTGTGTGTATGCATAAGCATACATGAACATTCACTTCACATATGGATGTAAAATAGAACTACACATTAAATTAATCATTTATTAGATTTAATCATATATTTTATAAATTTTAGTAATATCCAGTATGGGATTTTTTTAAATAGAATTCAAACTTTCAAAATCACCATAGAGAATAAATTTAAGCAATTTTGGTCTATTACAGCAAAGTATCAAAAGTAAAGAAAATGCTAAGGCTATACCAAAAAATGTGAAAACGATAAAGGAATAAACTAAAAATAACAGAAGAAGGAATATAAACCAAACAGAGCATCTTCTCTTTTTAGCACTTTTGTCTTCTATACCACTGATTTGATTTTCCACAAAGCCAATTTTGCTCTTCATTCTCTTTTCATTTTGTTGTTTTCATAACACTTAATATTTTCTTCAATTGCATCAGTAGCCAAAGCAAATGGTATTTAAAATGTATTGTTTCTCATAATAAATTGCATTCTGTAAATTCTCTCTTTACCTCTTTAGGGCATAGGTTGTTGTTATGATGCAGAATCTTTTCACATTTCTCACGCTACTATTGATGATTTTTACTCCTTGTCAAACAGCAATCTATTCTAGGCTGGTATTTGCCCCCAAACTATTGTTGGTGGATTCTCGTTGGGTGGAAAACTTTTTACTCCTCACTTGAACACTGTGGGAAATTTTTTCACACCTGGGGTTAGGGGATGAATGAGGAGCAAGTAGTGAATCAAGATGAAAGTAACTCCATAAAGAGGATGTCACCTCTGCAGTATCTCCTCTGCATTTATTAAAGATGCTGCATCAAAGGGTTAAGGCTTCTATATACAGTTTTCTGTTCATTCCAGTCACCACATCTCCATACCATATACATCGAATTTCCTGGCACAGCTGCCCACCTTCTTGGAAAGGACACAAACACACTGGAAAAAATTTACATCAGAAAAAAAGCACCAACACCCACAGATTTATATTTGGTGTTGCACCTCTTACGCTTGACTTACTTGGACCACAAGCTTCCAAATATTATTGACCCAGAGCAGCCAACAAGGCTCTAGGAAGAATTATGTCCATCCCCCTATCATTTGAGACTTAATTTCCAGGTCACTATTAATTTGGGCTCTGCTTCTAACCTAGAAAATGACCTCCAACACTTGGTTAAGTCAGTATATTGGTTTTTCTTTTTGTCCATAATAATATAAAATGCCAAAATTTTAATAACGTTGAAATTATATTCATCATTGACTCAAAGCTACAATTCATCCTCACATTGTTAACTTAGTCCACTGAGTTTTCATTCTTCAAATTTCAGCTCAATTTTCCTCAAAGAAGCCTTACCTGACTTCAGTCTGTAATTACAGAACAAACCATGTGACTAATGGATTAATGTCCATCTCGAACTAGACTACAAGCTCCATAAAATTTGGGATTTGATCTTGTTTTACCTACCAGTGTGTCTCTGGCAATTAGCATTGTACCTGACATACAAGAGGGACTTAATAATATATACTAAATTAATGCATGAATTAATAATTTAGTTAATGGACGAACAAATGCATAGAGTTAATACTTTCAGTAATAAATGAAGGAAAAGTCATGTTTTGAGTCAATGAATCAACGAATTAAAATGTCTCCCCCAGCCGGGCGCAGTGGCTCATGCCTGTAATCCCAGCACTTTGGGAGGCTGAAGCAGGCAGATCACGAGGTCAAGAGATCGAGACCATCCTAGCCAACATGGTGAAACCCCGTCTCTACTAAAAATACAAAAATTAGCTGGGTGTGGTGGCACGTGCCTGTAGTCCCAGCTATTCGGGAGGCTGAGGCAGGAGAATCACTTGAACCCAGGAGGCGGAGGTTGCAGTGAGCCGAGATCATGCCACTGCATTCTAGCCTGGCGACAGAGCAACACTCTGTCTCAAAAAAAAGTCTCCCCCATGCAAAAATCTGTCTGTGAACCATTTTGAAAAAGAAGGGGACCAGAGTTCTGATCAGTGAATTTATCTTTGTCATTTGTTATCTTTTGTTTTTCCCTAAATTATCTGCTGATTATGGGCATGACACCAAGCTATGATGCAAAACTTACAAGGGAAAAAGAAATATAATTTACTTAAGTCCTCAACAAGTATGGGCTCAAACTGGTTCATTTCTTTACTGCCAGGGTTAATCCCGTTTTCATTATTATTTAAGTAGAAACTTAGGTGAAGACAATCCATCCCTGTGCAATACGGAAAGCTAATTCTGTATTCCAGGTAGCTGTGTTGAGTTACCAGATATACTGTAATTGATTAAGAAACAAAACCCTTAGGCTTGTAATAGCTGATACGTGACTCTGGTTCAGCTTGAATCCATAATTCATTGGCTTCAAATTTTGTGTGTAAATACAAAGATTTGCAAGGCCATAGAGTGGAGGAATCAGTTAATAAACAAATATCCAAAATAAAGTTTCCAGAAGTCTGGTTTCACACTACACTAGTCTTCAACATCTTTCAATGAGCACGCAGTTGAAGGAACACAAACGAACAGATCACTTTAAGGTAGAACCACAAAGTGTTACATCTGGAAAGGGACTTCTGAGCTTATCATTTTTACAGATGGCAAAATTGAGGTCCAAGAGGAAGACCTACACAGTCAAGTCAATGACAAAGAGCTTGAATGAGAACTCAGTTATTTCACCTTGCAACCCAGGACTCTTTTCGAGACCCACCCTATTCGCTTTCATGAATTACTAGTCTATGGCCATCTTCCTGCCTTGGACCTCCTGCCACTACTATTCATCCTCTACATCTAGGCCAGATGTATCCCTTTAAAACACAATTTCACACCTTAGTAACACCTCCCCACTGCTCAGACCATCTAGTGTTTTCTTAATGTCCACAGGACAAAGTTCAGAGTCCTTAGCTGGGCAGTTAGAACCTTCCACCTGCGTCCTACTAACACTCTAACATCACCTCCTACTGCACTTCCAAATGTAACAGCCACTGCAGTCCAATTGTTCTGTCCATCACAGCTCATCAGAACTGTTCTGCATGCATTTGCTTATGCCATTCTTCCTATGGTGACATGTTGACAGCTGCCCAGAATCCCCATCAATAAAGCTCTCGTTGCCTTAGCTGCAAGAGTGTACTATCAAACAGCCTTTAGCCATCAGTCTTTTCGGTGGTTGACTTAGTTGCAGGAAGGCATCTCTCTGAGGGTCACATCCCTGGCCAGGGGAAAATTAAAAGCTAACCTTGGAGAATGTCCTTCAGCCAGAGTCATTTCCACTACTGCCCTGCAACTGTGAGAGAGGCACAGCATCCAGCCCTTCTCTCACACCTGTGGACACATTCAGTGACTCAGCAAAGCAGGGGTCTAACTTAGGACAGCTCAGTCCAACTTAGGACAACTCTAAATGCTATTCTTGTTCCAGAGTTTCTTGTGGGCTGTGCCAAGGCTTTCTTTGGGGCTGCATTTCAGTTTGACACCTCCCACTGCTCATCCTGCTTCATTCTCTTCCTTCCATGAGTGTCAATCCCAAGAAACTCCCAAGTAACCATCTTGCATGTTAAACTCCTCTCAGGGTCTGCTCCCTGGAAAACCCAGCATGCAACACTCCCAGCCCCCAAATACCGGCTCCCACTGTCTTTCAAGGTCTACTCCCCAGGCCACTCCTCTTTACAAGTCCTGTAGCAAATATAGATCAGTTCACTTATTTTACATTAATATGAACCACCTCATACCAATAATTCCTTCTTAGGTATGTGAAGTCACAAATGCATGCTGTGTTTCTTTCTTCTTTCTTTTCTTTCCTTCCTTGCTTCTTTGTGTGTGTGGTATTTTTTTTTTTTTTTTTTTTTTTGAGACAGGGTCTTGCTCTGTCACCCAGGCTGTTGTGCATTGGCACAATCTCAGTTCATTGCAGCCCTGACCACCCAGAGTAAAGTGATTCTCCCACTTCAGCCTCCAACTGGCTGGGACTACAAGTGCATACCACCATGCCTGGCTACTTTTTGTGTATTTTTTTGTAAAGACAGGGTTTCGCCATGTTGCCCAGGCTAGTCTCAAACTCCTGAGCTCAAGGAATCCTCCCACCTTGGCCTCCCAGAGTATAGGGATTACAGGCATGAGCCACCATGCCCAGCCTGCCTACTCTGTATCCCTAAGAACTAGCATCATGACATTGCTACACAGTGAGTGATCAATGAAGGATGACAATCTTGATAATGAAGATGTAACCAATCTTGAACTGACGATCCACTTCAACTAATATGTCATTCTTCTTTCCCTGCTAGACTATAGTTCCCTAAGGGCAGAGTGCTGCTATCCCCACAGGCTCCTTGTAAGAGGCACTGAAGAAAGGAGCAGTGTACTTTTGATGTGCTACTCCCTTTAGAATGAACGAGAATAAGTTTGATTTGTATTCTCAAACATGGGATTGGAGGTGAAGACAGAAAGGAGAAGAAATGTTTTCTTTAAGGGGAATGACATATGAGGAATGTTGTACAAGGTCTCTCTTCCATGCCAACAAGACTCCAGGAGACGCCAAGCAGACACTTGCTGAGAGCTGCCATTCTGGTGCCAGGGAGTCTGGACCTGCCAGATCTCATGGCTGCTCCACCCTGAGCTGCCCTCGTCCATCTAGGATGACCCATGTTCTGAAATAAGATCCGCTTCTCCATCCTTAAACAGCCAAGCAAAACTGTTCCTTTTGTTTCTTTCTCACAGAGAGCAATGGATGTTTGGGAGACATCGGTTTGTCTTAATTAAAACAAAACTGCACCACAGCCATTCTTACGAAGTAGACAAAAAGTAAACAAGGACCTATGATGAACAGTTAGGGCCAAATTTTGAATTTCATGACATGTGAACATGGTCTGAAAAGGAAAGATAAATCCTCTCGTCCTCCAGGGGAACACTTAAAAGCTGACCTTGGAGAATGTCCTTCAGCCAGGGCACAGGGTCACTTCCACTACTGCTCTGAAATGGTGAGAGGAACAGCGTCCAAGCCTTCTCTCACACTTGTGGACAGATCTGGATGGGTACCTGAGAGGAAGTCTAACAAATAGGAAATGGAAAAACTTACTGAAACCATTTCTCCTGCCAGAGCAGAAACTGACCAAAGTGGGGACACTACTACTGCCTTGCAGTGCCAAATAATGAAATGTTGTTTCAACACTCTTCCCAAGTGAGGAAAGAGAAAGTGAAAGACGAGCAGCAGAGGAAAGCAAAACAGGAACAGGATGCAAGTGTGGGATTAGGGAGGCAGCAAACCTCAGAAATGGCCAGAACTGGCTCTCAGCTAACTAGGATTTCAGACACTTGCAGCAAGAGGGCAGCCCAACACTTCCTTATCTAACCTAACTTCCAAGTGACACCTAACACCATATCATCTGGGCAGCCTTCTCTTAAACCCCATCTAACCCATCACTTCTATTAGTCTTGGCATTTTTCTCGATGTCCACACAGAGGTAAAGTATATGAAAGTTCTAAGTTCTAATCCTTTTATTCGCACTCCCCATAGAAAATCCATAGCAAAGCTTTGCCTTATATTATTGCCATATATTACATTATTGCCTTACATTAGTACAAACTGAAAAGTATTTATTCCATCAGTTTAATAAGTAAGAAAATTTCATTTTTTTTAAGAGGCAAGGTCACACTTTGTCACTCAGGCTGGAGTGCAGTGGTACAATCATGGCTCACTGCAGCCTCAACTCCTGGGCTCAAGCAATCCTCTCACTTCAGCCTCCTAAAGCACTGGGATTACAGGTGTGAGCCACAATGCCTGGCTGACTTCACTTTTTAAAAAATCAGAAACTACTTCCAACCCGAAGTATACTGTTTTCACAAGAGACTAGCTTCATCATGTAACTATCATTGTAAATATCATTCACATTACCCAAAAGGTTCCCAGTTAACTGCAAACAGGAACATGAGCAATAGACCGCAGTTGATGTATTAACTCTGTCATTCAAGAGCTGGTGATTTTGATCCAGTTATGTATTTAAATACGAACATTTTCATGGGTAAAGCAAACAGAGGATTTGTGACAGACACTGATAGTTAACACCCAATATCCACACCCTCCTTTCTTTTTTGCTAACAGAACCCCAGGTGGTGAATCATAAGTCAACAAGACTATAGTGTTCACACTTTCCCAGCCTCCCTTGCACTCTGAGTGGCCATGTGAACCAGTTACGTGTCATTGACCAGAACTGGTTCACATGGCCACTCAGACTGCAAGGGAGGATGGGAAAACTGGTCATTTTCTGTCGGTGCTTCTGGGCAAACATCACATTCTTGATTAATAAGACAAAGGGACATAGGCAATTCTATACCTCTTCTCTCCTTTCTTCCTTGGAATTCAATGTGGTGCTTGAAGCTGCAGTGCCATTTTGCAACCATAAGAGGAACGGCCAACCCACTGAGTACAAAGAACAGAGGGAAAGGAGCCTGGATTTTGAGAGCATCACTGAGCCACTGTCCCAGGCCTATTTGTTAGAACAGCCTTTGGCATGGCATTATGTTCCCTGCAGCTGACAACACTAATAACTGATAGAGGGTTGTTGTGGAATTAAAGAAGAGATTATGTGAAAGTCATTTGATAATGTACCTGACACAGCTTTGTCTGGTTCCAAAGACAGCCTCTTTCCATGACAACAGGCACTTATGAGATTGCATTTATTCATAACACATTTTGCCCAATGGCACCAGATAAACCAAGTGTCACTCTATGTACTTTTCACTTCATTGAATTAATGTAGATAGCTTCATCTTGAAACAGAAAATGTTTCCTTGACCCCCTTCTCGACTGGGAACTGGAGTGCATGGGTGCTAGAACTAGCCAGTCGCTTGGGTGCTGGCAGGGGTGGACTGCACTCTCTGGAACCTATTGCACTCAACCCCTCATGGAAGGAAGCACACAGGTGAGCAGGTGCAGGAGCCGGGGCAAGTGCTTTTGGGTGCTGGCAGGAGCAAAACTCCATTCAGACTCCACAGCAGTGTCTAGGAGGAAGTACCTATGACCCCTGAAGCCCCAGAAGGACTGTTACAGTCAGTGCTCTTTTAGCTTTGCCAGCTTAAGTGTTATGCCACTCAGTGGGCTCTCTGCCTTTTCATGTGAGGTGGTTGCTCTCCGCTAATGAGGACAGAGGGTCAGCATGACAGCCTTTAGCATCCACACAAATGGCACCCAAGCTCTTGTCCAGCGTCCAGGAAAAATCAGGTTGCATGAATGAATTGAAGAGTGGAGGATTTTATTGCCGACGAAAGTGTCTCTCATCAGGAAAGGGAGCTGGAAAGGGGATGGACCAGGAAGGTGATACTCCCCATGTGGACTCCTCTCTGAAGCAACGTTGTCAAGCCGCCCAGCCGAAGTCAAGCCGCTTCTCTCTGATGTCCAGTTGCTTCTCCTCTTCTCTGCTCTCTGCCAGCTGAGCCTGGGGTTTTTAGGGGTCCAGGATGTGGGGCAGGGCAGGCCATGGGTGGTTTTGGAAAAGGCAAACATTCGAGGAGGAAAACAGGAATGCATGTTCTCACTTTGGGCTGGGGTTCCAGGCTTGAGGGTGGGGCCTTTGCCAGGGACCCGCCCTCTTATGCCCAGAGTTTCCCTGCTTCCTGTCCCCATCGATATAATAAACAAACACACTCTTTTGACATTACACAAATGGCTTCTCTAGGAAGGCATATGTAAGACACCCCAAACACGACAGTCCTGCTGACAAACCACTGACTGAAAATTAATGCTCATTTGTGGGGAGGGTAGTAGGGAGATTTGGCCAAAGGATACAAAATTTAAGTTAGATAGGTAAAATAAATTCAAGAGCTCTACGGTACAACACAGGTGACTATACTTAATAATGATGTATTGGATTCTTGAAAATTGATAAGAGATTTTAAGTGTTCCCACCATAAAAACAATGATAAGTATGTGAAGTAATACATGTTAATTAGCTTTGCCAGTCCACAATGTATGCATATTTCAAAACATCATGTTGTACATCATGAATATATACAATTTTTGCCAATTAAAATTAATTAATTTTTTAAAAGAAAATTAATGCTCAGAGACAACATGTACTTGAGTGTCCATATGGCAATTCTTGCTCATTTTAGCTAATGGAGATAGAAAATTCTACTTTACACAGAGTGAGAATGAGAAAATCATGGAATCTGAAGTATGTAAATTAGAAAAAAATATTTTTTGGTGTCTTTGGCAAATATTAAGTCACGTGTGTGGTTTTATCTTCCTCTATATAGCAAAGCCCTGCTTTTTCTGGAACTATTAGAATTAAGTATGCTATATAAATGAACTTCCCACATGAAGAAAATTTGCCTTTTTTTAAAATAAAAAAGATATGGCCGGGCGCAGTGGCTCACGCCTATAATCCCAGCACTTTGAGAGGCCGAGGCAGGCAGATCACGAGGTCAGGAGATCGAGACCAGCCTGGCTAGCACGGTGAAACCCCGTCTCTACTAAAAATACAAAAAATTAGCCGGGAGTGGTGGCACGCACCTGTAGTCCCAGCTACTCAGGAGGCTGAGGCAGGAGAATGGTGTGAACCTGAGAGGCAGAGCTTGCAGTGAACCGAGATCACACCACTGCACTCCGCCTGGGCAACAGACGCCATATCAAAAAAAAAAATTAAAAAGATATATGAGTTAAGGAAATCTTTTCTTGTTGACTCCATTATTGGTATAAACATCCATTATTACACTAGATTGAAATACAGCCCTTTAAATATCTTCATCCAATCTCCTCATACAACTGCTGTCTATTCTCATATCTTCGGGCACAGTGTTAGACTCTGGTTACTCTTCTACCCTGTGGCTACTTGCCTCCCCTCCCCAGCCACGGCTGACAGAGAAATCAGACAGTCAAAAATGTCAAACTTGTAACAAACCTTGATGCTTTTGTGCAGGGAAAACAAAATGGTATACTCCTCAAAAGGCAAGGGAAAGCACACTTTTTTTTTTTTTTTTTTTTTTTGAGACGGAGTCTCGCTCTGTCTCCCAGGCCGGACTGCGGACTGCAGTGGCGCAATCTCGGCTCACTGCAAGCTCCGCTTCCCGGGTTCACGCCATTCTCCTGCCTCAGCCTCCCGAGTAGCTGGGACTACAGGCGCCCGCCACCGCGCCCGGCTAATTTTTTGTATTTTTAGTAGAGACGGGGTTTCACCTTGTTAGCCAGGATGGTCTCGATCTCCTGACCTCATGATCCACCCGCCTCGGCCTCCCAAAGTGCTGGAAAGCACACTTTTTAAAGCATTTATTCAAATCAGAAAAAGTAAATGTTAGACAGGTTCCTGATTTTGCTCTTTTAAATGCAAGGCAAATGGACAGAATGATAGAAGGGATAAAAATGGGATGATGAGGTCACAGACTCTTGCTAAGAGGGAGCTAGTGTAGTAAAGTTAGGAGGTAAGCGCAGTTACAATAACACAGGAATGTAAGTACTAGATATAAGCAATAACAGAACAGAAAATTCAAAAATCTGAATCACACAGAAACAGGCAAATATTAAAGCTTCTCTGCAAATGCTGATGGAAAGTATAATGAAATTAAAACAATGAGAGAGAAAATAACAGATGTGGAGATCAAAGAACAGTTTTCATTATAATATATAGACAGTGTTTCCAATTGTAATAGTGAGAAACTTTTCCAAGCTGAAGTCAGATCTACAAACACAGACCGAAGAAGGTGACCCCATTTTAGGCAAAATCATTGGAAAGGAACTCTCCCATAAACACAGCCAGTCAAAATTTCTGAAACAGAAAGATTTAGAACTAATCTTACTAGCTTCCAGACAAGAAAAGCACAAATGATTACAAACTACAAAATCATGCTGTCCAAAAATTACTTTATTATTTTTATCTTTTATTCCACTTGGTTATTCCTAATTTTGTGAACCTGTATTTCCTCATTTCTTTCTTGGTAGAACTAATTAGAAGTCTATCCATTTTGTTACTGTTGTTCCCAAATGACTAGGTTTAAATTTAGCCTTTTGAAAGCTTTAACTCTTCTAATTAACTGAATTTCTGCTTTTGTTTATATTAATTTTTTTCTTCTGAATTCCTTTAGGTATATTTTGTTTTTCTACTGTCATAAGTTGGAAGTTTAGTTTATTTCTATTCATTCTTTAATAGGAAGTTTTCTCTAATTAAAGCTTAGGCTGTAAGCCTAAGGTTAACATAAGGCTGTTTGAAAATTTTTCATTTTCATGGTTTTCTGAATAACTTAGAATCACACATTTTATTTTTCCTTTGATTCAATACTGCTGGCTTAGGAGAGAGGTTTATTTCAATTTACAAGTGGCTAGATTTATTTAATTGCTACTTTGGTTACATATTTCTAATTTTTGCATTAAGATAAAATTGTATATATCTCTTATATGAGAAATTTACTGACTTTTCCTTGTGAATTAATATATAGTAATTTTTTTCGAACTTTCCCAAGGGTTTTTTAAAAGAAGACATATTTTCTACTTAGAAAGCAGAAGGTTCGATATACATTTATTATAGTAACTCTATTGAATATATACATATTTTGAGACAGGGTCTCACCCTGTCATCCAAGCTGAATGCAGTGGCATGATCATGGCTCACTGCAGCCTCAAACTCAAGCGATCCTCCCACGTCAGCCTCCCAAGTAGTCTAGCTAATTTTTGATTTTGTTTGTAGATAAGGGGTCTAGCTATGTTGCCTATGCTGGTCTCAAACTCCTAGATGGAAGTGATCCTCTCGCTTCAGCCTCCCAAAGTGCTGGGATTACAGGGATGAGCCACCATACCCAGCCAAATATATTCTGATCTATATCCACCTTGCTGATCTCACCTTATAGTTCCAATGGTTTTTGAGTTGGTTTTCTTAAATGTTTAGATTGATTATAATTTCTTCAAATAATTACAGTTTTGTATCCTCCTTTACAGTCTTAATACCACTTATTTCTTATAATTTCACATGTCTTTCCTCATTTCAATGAAATGTTTCAATACTAAGTATGGTGCTAGTGGATGATATTCATTAGGAAACTTTTTCCTTATAGTCCTCAAGCATTAAAAAAATTTAGTAGTGTTCTATGTTGAATTTCATCACGTGCCTTCATGACAGCTGTTGAGATAATTCCACAATCTGTTAATGACTGACTTTTTAATGTTAATGACTGAAGTTTAAACCATCCTTTCATTCCTAGGAAAAAACCACACTTGGTGAAGATGCAGTAACCTAAAAAGAAAAAACACCCTGTGGGATTCCATCTATTAATATTTATTAATATAATATTTAGTGTATTATAATTAATATAATATTAACTAATTGCTATCTATTAATATATATTTAGAGTTTTAGTATTTGGTCCATGAGATTGGAGTATAATTTTATTTTTCTGTGCTATCTTTGATGTTTCAGTATCTGTATTATACCAGTCTTCTGGAAAGCTTTCTATCTCTTTCTACATTCCAGAAAAGCTAATATTACATAGGAAATACATGTCCTCTTGAATGCTTGTTACAATTCACATAGAAAAATATGTTGGCCTGGTGTCTTTCTAAGGAATAAACAGCTGGCTGCCTTTTCAATTTTTTCTACATATATTGGTTTACCCAGTTTTTCTGTATTTTTTAGGAATTTGGATTTTAAAGTATTCATTCTATCTAAATATTCAATTGTTATAAATTCATACAAAGTAACTGCTCATAATTTATAATCCTTTCTATATCATGTGAATCTATAGAATTTGTCTGATATTTATTTGTGTCTTTTTATTATTTGTGTCAGACTTGTCAAAAGATGTTATACTGTATTGGTCTTCTCAAAGGAAGAGCTTTTTGCTATACTGATGAGGTATACTGTGGTTTTGTGGCCGTTACTCTATTGCATCTTTTTTATTCTTATCTTTATGTCCGTTTGTGTTATTTTGCTGTCTTTTATACTTTTTAGTTGAATGTGGTTATTTTTATTTTCAATTTTCCCTGTCTTTAAGGTCATAAAGTTTTCTCTTAATACTGCTTTAGCAAAATCCAATGAGTTTTGATATGCAGTTCTCTTACATCTTTCATTTCCAAATAATTAGTAATTTTAATTTGGATTCTTCATCAACCCATAAAAAGGTATTTTTAAATTCCAAATGGATAGATTTGGTGTGATTTGAGTACTTTTTGGTGGTAAATGTATAATTTTATTGCACTAAGGTTGGAGAAAATAAACCATATGATTTCTGCTTTTTGAGATTTACTGAGTTTTTTGTGTACTAATACCCAATCAATATTTGTAAGTGTTCCATGAGTGTCTAAAATGAGCATGTATTATCTGTGGAAAATCAAGAAACCCTAAAGCCCTGTGCACTGGTCAGCCAGCTTGCAAATTTAGTCCAAGACGAGGTCAATGATCTCCTTGCCAATGGTGTAAGTGGCCACCGGCACAGTTACTGGCATAGGTATTCCTTACCTGTGATGCAATGCTCAGGGTTCAAGAGCTGACAATAGGTGTCAGTGTGAACTCTGTCAACAGCCATGGGTTCCAGGTCTACAAACACTGCCCTGGTCACATGCTTGCCAGTACCCATCTCACTGAAGAAGGTGTTGAAGGATGCGTCTTCTCTCCCACTGGTCTTGTCACTGGCATCTGGTCGTCAGGCAGGATGCTGTGTTCCAGGCAGTAGAACTCCCAGCAGGCATTGCCAATCTGGACACCAGCCCAGCAAATGTGGATGGAGATGTACTCATGCATGATGGGGACTTCTAGGGCTCCTTGGCACTGGAGGAGGTGAAGGGCTGGTGACAAGGATCTCCCACTAACAGACTACCAAGAAGTGCAGGGGAGACGCAATCCATGACTATTTTTTAATAGTACAGGTTGAGTATCCCTTATCCAGAATGCTTGGGACCAGAACTATTTTGGATTTCAGATTTTTTTTTGGATTTTGAAATAGTTTCATATACGTAAAAAGATATCTTGGGGATGGCACCCAATTCTAAACATGAAATTCATTTATGTTTCATGTATATCTTATAAACATAGGCTGAATGTAATTTTTTACACTATTTTAAATTATTTTGTGAATAAAACAAAGTTTTGACTGTGTTTTAACTGTGACCGTTCACATGACATCAGGTATGGAATTTTCCATTGTGGCATCATGTCAATGTACAAAAAGTTTCAGGGTGCTCAACCTGTATGAAATGCAAGAATCTTTTATCCAGATTAATATCTTTGGCCCTAAATTCTATTTTTCTAATACTAATATTGCTATATAATCTTTATTTTAGTTTACACTTGCATGATCCATGTTTTACCATCCATTTATTTTCCATCCTTCTGCATGATTTTATGTATCCCCTTATAAAAAGCATTTAGCTATTGTTTTTAAACATATCTCAGAGTCTACATGTTTATGAAGACATTTAACTCATATACATTTACTGTAATTTGGGGTATTTAGATTTTTCTGCTATTTTATTTTGTTTTCCTTTGACCACATTTTTTGTCTGGTTTCTTGTTTTTTTAATCCTGCATTTTGTTGAAATGATCATATTTTCTTTATTTTATTTTATTTTATTTTTTTTCTTGTGGACTGGAAATAATAACTAATTTCATTCTTCATTTTTTTTGGTTTTTGATATGGAGTCTTGCTCCATCACCCAGGCTGGAATGCAGTGGCAGAATCTCGGCTCAATGCAACCTCCACCTCCTGGGTTCAAGAGATTCTCTTGCCTCGGCCTCCCAAGTAGCTGGGATTACAAGTGCCTGCCACCATGCCTGGCTAATTTTTTTGTATTTTTAATAGAGATAGGGTTTCACCATGTTGGCCAGGCTGGTCTCAAACACCTGACCTCAAGTGATCCACCCACCTCAGCCTCCCAAAGTGCTGGGATTAAAGGTATGAGCCACCATGCCTGGCCTCTTATTTCATTCTTCTAACATACATATTTAATAAAATTTAACAACTTTATAATTAAATAAATTAAACAAATTTCTTCTCTGTGTCTAGGGTAATAAGTATCTATATCCTTGCCACAAACAAACAAAAGAAACAGAGCCTTGACAAATCTTCACAGAATTTTAGAAGGTTCAAAATATGGTATACTGCCATCTAATTTAAAAAGTGTAAGTGACATACATACATATAGATGCTAAATTGCTTATATACACATAAAATATCTCTAAAAGGAGACCCAAGAATTAATAACATTGGCTTCCTCTGAGGAGAAACCTACTGATTGGGGAAAGTGGGTGAGAAAGATTTATAAATACTCCTTTATACATTCTGAATTTTGAACTATCTGACATACTACCTGGTCCATTTTTTTCTAAATTTAAAATTGAACTTAACTCCAAGCTTTACCAGTTTCTTTGTTCATCCATCTTTCTTGCACCTCATGTTTTCCTCTTGTTAGATTCTTGTTTTTGTTGTTATTATTGCTTTGCTAGGTATACTCTGGATTAATTATTTCGGAGACAGTCTTGGGTAATCATCTTGTAGTACTTGAACAGATATTTTTATTTTACTCTCATAGTTGAAACACAGCCAGTGTAGGTGAGTTCAGTATTATAAATTAAAATTCGTTTTTCTCAGGGCTTAATAGTGTCTCTGTCTTCTAATACAAAGTATTACTAGCAGAAAGTCTGACACCAATTCTATTGTCATAAACAAAAGAGGATAATTTGCTTTTTGTAATATGAGTGTTTTCTGGATATTTCTCCTAATTCTTAACATTCTTAAATTTTAACACGATGTATCGGGGTATGTATATGTTTGTGTTTTCATCCCAATTGATACTCTCTGGACTCTTTTCATCTGAAGATTTGTGTATTTCTCCAGGTCTGCGAGGTTTTCTTCAATTGTTTGGTTATTGTATTAGTCCATTCTCACACTGCTATAAAGAACTGCCCGAGACTGGGCAACTTATAAAGAAAAGAGTTTTAATTGACTCATAGTTCTGCATGGCTGAGGAGGTCTCAGGAAACTTATAAGCATGGCAGAAGGAGAAGCAGGCATGTCATACGTGGTGGCAGGCAAGAGAGAAGAGTGAACAAAGGAGGAACTTGCCAAACACTTATAAAACCATCAGATCTCGTGAGAACTCACTGTCATGAGACCAGCATGGGGGAAACTGCCCCCGATCCAATCACCTCCCACCAGATTCCTCCTTCGACAGCTGGGGATTACAATTCAAGATGAGATTTGGGAGGAGACACAAAACCTAACCATATCAATTATAGTCTTCCTTCCATTCCCTTGTCTCATCTTTCTACTCCTAGATATATCTTAGAATTTTCTCTATTTTCCCCCACACTTCCCATTTCTAAGCCTTTTTACACTGTGCTGAATTTTCCAATTCACTAACATGACCTATACCTATTTCCATGCTGCTTATCAGCCAATCTATGATTTCATGATCAAATTTTTAGTGTACAAAATATCTAATTGTTTCTTTTCCATAATGTAATAGTTTCCTTAACATTACATAAGGATAGTAATTAGCTATACTTTAAAATATTCTTCTGTTTCCTTTGGTAGCTCTGTTTCTCTGGGTGTTAACTCTTCTGTTGTGTTTGGTCCTCCTCTTCCAGGGTGGGTATTGTGTCTTGGTTGTCTTCTTCTCTTTGTACTTAAGTATCCGTTTGTTTGACAAAACTGTTTACTATAGCCTGTAGTGGTCGTGGAGAAGTGGGAGGACTATGGTCTGGAAGAATATGTTGGTAATGTATCTTCTAGATTGGGGGCTTCCCATCTCTCCTAGAGGTCTCTGGCTACCTGGAGCATGAATTATTCTCTGGCCCTTGTTTTCCACTTACCCGCTACCTACCTAGGAAAGAATACAATTGTCATGCACTGCTCAGCTCCAACAGGGCCACATGCCAATTTCTCTCCTCTCACCTCCTTTTTAATTGCTGATTCAGTCCTTGGGACTTCTCAGAATGGCTTCCACCACAGAATTCCTCCTGAATGTATTTTGGGCTAGTTTCCTATAATCCTATTTATCCATGTATATAAACTGCCCACTTTTTAACCATTAAGAATTTCCCAGATTTTTTAGTTTGTTGGTACAACTTTGTCTTCTTTTCCAGGGCTATCACAGAGATATTGTTCTTTATACAACTTTGAGGTCATTTCATGAGATTTGCCATATGCGATGAAGTAGATGCAGAATTATTAGCTGTCATCTTGATCCAAAGTCCGTGTCTTGTCTTAAATTCTTAAAAATGCCTAATATTTTATTTTCTTTGACATGGTCTAATTTTTAAATTATAATTATTTAATCATTGAATATTCTATACTCCATGGCACAGTTAATATTGGAAAGGGGCCAAAGGCCAGAATTAACAGAAAAATCCAGTGTAATCCCACCAGGACTGCTGAGGAATAGAAGAACCACTTTCCCCTGTTTATGAACACTAGCTTATTACACAGGGTGGTATGTTGGATGAATCTGAGGAAAATTTGTACTTATGTTGCTAATTGGTATCTTGGCAATATTGAGTATAATAAGTTTAGTCAACTTCTTTTTTTTTCTCCTGTCCTTAGAATGGTTACTGCAGAGCAAACAGGATTATTTCTCCCTTGTTTTCACTGCAGGCTTATCTTTCCCAAATCTCTTCTGTCATGTAATTAGATTCAAGTAGCAGAGACTGGGGCATTTTCAGACTTTATTGGTAGCCTCTTTCTAGCCAGAAACTCCTTAAAATTTTATTTTACGTGTGTTAAACGTGGGGCTTCCTCTTTTGTCACCAGCAGTTAATGGATATCCAAATCCAATTTACTGTACTAAGTGTTTGATCCTGATGGTAGCTGACTTGACAAAAACTGCTCAGTGGCAAAAACAAAAAGCAAAACAAAAAAAAAAACCTTGAAGTTAGTGAGATTACCAACACAAGCAAAAAAATTGTATGCTTTAGTGTATTAAAAATCACCCACTGATCCCCCAAGATGACCTTATAAATACTTAAAACGAAATTCTTCATGGGAGAAGCTTCTGGAAAATAATTATTCAGGCTATGAATCTGGAAAGAAGATTAAAGAGACCCAACATTGAAATATTTCCTTTCAAAGTCAAGTTCCTCATCTTTGTGGGCTAAGGCTACTTTCTTACTGAAATCAGTAACTTTTTCCTTGTTAAAATAAGGAACAGTTGTGTTACTCCTGAGAAACACTGTTAGTTTATTATCTTATGAATCTGTGACTTCTGCAACTGATTGTGTTTCTCTCTCCCAGTTGGCTGCTAGAAAGCTCAGATCAAATCTGTGCCCCTGTAGTAAGTATGGAGAGCTCTATGGTGTGTATTTTTATTTTAGTCTTATTCCTGGCTTTATCAGATACCTTTATTCTTCTCTTTGTCACCTACTTCTGGTTTATTTTATTTCTGGTTAAATTTTCTTTCTTCTGATAGACTGCTTTGTTTAATAGTTGATTTAATTTTAAAAAATACTCTTATTCTACAAGATTTGCATAGTGAGGCTGCCTGATAGAGTTTTACTATCCATTAGATGAACTATTATAACTACAGGTGGTGCTCAGACAATAGTATAATCATATCTGAAAACTAGTATTGGAGGTTCGGGTTCCCTACTTTCTGTCGGTGTTCAAAGAGAGGCTGGATGACCATCTCAAGATGCCATATCAAACATGAGAACCCCAGCCCTCCCCACTAGCCCTCCCCACTAGCAGAGGAGAATCCAGAGAATATATGCTTCCACCATCGGCAAAAATCATCCCCAAGTTGAGAGTGACCCCTGGGGGCAATCTGGGCATAATGTCCTCTGGGGTCTAAAAAGGAAATTCAGTCTCCTTAGGCTCCACGATGGTTTATGGTTTGGAGAGAAATGTTCTCATTCCTTTGTGCCTTTAAGACTATTTGCTGAGCATCAACCCTCCCAGAAATGGCTACACCCATACCTGAACCGGCAGGTGTGAGTCAGCAGGGCAGCTCATCACAAAGCAGGCACACAAGTGCTGGGATGCTGAATAGCTACAGCTATTTGGTCAAGGAACTCCTACATGAACATCTGCAAACACAGGGAACCTGCACTTCCAACCCTGGCTTTCCTAGCTGTGTCCTGGTAACGCCAATAGCAACACAGTGACAACTCGTGGATGAAAATTTAAAACAAAAAAGTTAACATGGTTTTGTTTTAGATCATGATTCTTGCCAGTGTCATTAACTATCAAAATAATGTCTACAAATCCAGATTCACATAATAGGTAACTCAATAAAATCTTACAATTTTTGTGTTCACTCTGGTTCTGAAGGCTCAAGAGAGGGATCTTTTAAATTGCAAAATGTTAAATGCTAAAGACTTTTCCCCTTTAAAAAACCCACAAAAATACATCATAAATTGTTACCATAAAAATTACTATCTGGACTTAATGCCATTATGAGTTCATAGTCTATATTTTATAGCTAAAATGTTTCAAGCTGCAAAGCATCATTATAAAACACAAAAAATTACTTTTGTCTCAGAGACTCACTATTCCTTTTACGCTGAGAGACTCACCACGCTTCCCTCCTGTCTGAATACCAATCTTTAATTAAATGTCCGCCTGCATTGTCTATTCCTTATACGCCACTCCAGATGTCTATCCAGTGGGAAGGGGTCCCTGGGCCATTTTGTGGTTGATGTCCAAGTCACTTCCATGCTTTTACTGGGCACTACGCCAAATAAATTATCTAAGTCATTCAAAGTAGATGTCAAAATTAATAATTTTTTATTCATAAGAAATTCAGGATCATGTCCCCTATTTTATGAAACATGAGTGCTGTCAACAAACTAGAGGAGATTTTTAAATAAAGTCATTTCCCTGTAAATTTAATCAGCACCATTTTCTTCAGACAATGAGAGAGCTTCCTTCAAAGATTAGCAAGTACGGTGCGATCATTTGAAAGATTTGCACTAAAATGCAGCATATTACAGAGCGAGTTGTTTTCCAAACCTCTAGACCCACAAACTTTCTCTGGTGAGTTAAAATGACATTAAATTCCACCCATGTAATGCACACAGCCCACAAAAATGCCAAAGGACAATGAACCTAGCACCAGCCCCAGAATTCCAATCACATTGAGAAGCTGTGACTCACAGTCTCTACCCAACAGGGTCAGTACCTAATTTGTAGACACCCATGACTAAGTCTCTCACCCCCAGGAAGAGAACCTTCCTCTCCACTTCTATAGTCTCTGTCAACACCTCTACGATAGTATCACATTAGGATTAGTTTTGTCCATTCATTTCCCCTGCTGGGCTCTGGCCTAGTTGAAAACAGAAACTGTCTTGTTCCTCACTTTATTGCAGAGGGTTGGTGTATAGTAGGTGTTCAACTTGTCTTGATTGAATGGATGATTCAGTTCATTTTTGTTTCGGAGGGTTTAAGGAGATATTTTACATTACATTTTCCATTTCACTCTTGTGATTACACCCAGACGGTAAATTTAATGAAACGCAGAAAATGGAAATGATGTGGCAGGTTGTAATAAATACCAGCTCAGGAATTCCTTACAAGTGTGTTTCCCCAATACAATGCAGTATTGTGCTCTTTCCAACAGCCATAATTTACCCAGCCCATTTTGACAGATTCTAATGAACCAAATGTCATTTATGACAATATCCATTACCTGTGCTCACTGTAGTCTGACAGGAATCACATTCGGAATGACACCATATCCTAAGCTGGTGGTTTCTAAAGAAACATACCCCTTTAACACAAAAAAAAGATAAACAGGTATGTGTGACTTTCTGATGAAAATTCAACTCTGTGTATGAGGTAGAAAGATAATCTAGCACAAATGAGGCAAATTCAATAAATTCCATTTCCATGAAATGTTAACAGAATAAAAATAATGGTTTTATGGAATGTAATCAACTAGTTAAGACGGAGCTGAATATTGTTTATATAGTTTCTAATAGATTTCTAGAGTATTTCTTGTAATCCAAATTCATTAATAAATGTCAAAGCAATAGCCCTGGTATATATTATTGCCCATCATTATTTGACCAGAATTGAATTTTCTGGGAAAATCAAAATTTTAAGGAATACCATTCATTCCAAGCTGTTCCTTTAAATCCCACTTTTACTCGTGTATGTTTTGAACTGACAAAGGAAGCATCTGTTAGGCAGATAAATATACAGTGTTGACTCACTTATCTGACAGAATTAGGACACTTAGTTATTTTCTAGGTAATAAAGGATGCCCTTTAGTGTATTATTTTTAGCTTAACTTTTTAAATGGAAAACACACATTACAGTCTGGAAATAAGGTACCTAGAAAATAATTTAACCCCTTCTGAGTACTCAGAATCATTTTTGGGAACACCAATTACTATCAAAGCAATGGGTTTGTTGTGATTCTCTTTTAGTAAAAGCTGTACATATGTAAGAGGTACAACATGTTTTGATATACATATACATAGTGAAATGATTACTATAGTCAAGCAAATTAACATATCCATCTCCTCACATGGTTACTTTTGTGTATGTGTGGTGAAATTTACTCTCATAGCAAATTTCCAGTATATAATACAGCATTATTAACTATAGTCACTTATCCTACATAACTGCAACTTGTACCCTTTAACCAACATCTCCTCTCCATTCCAGGCCCTGGTAACCATAGTTCTACTCTCTGTTGCTATATAATCTTTAGATTTCACGTATAAGTGAGATCATGCAGTATTTTTATTTCTGTGTCTGGCTTATTCCACTTAGCATAATGTTCTCCAGGTCCATTCATGTTGTTGCAAAAGGCAAGATTTCCTTCTTTTTTAAGGCTCAATAATATTCATAATAATTCATAAAGAATAATATAGTTATATATATGTATGTACATCACATTTTCTTTATCCATTCATCTATCAATGGACACTTAAGTTATTGCCATATCTTGGCTATTGAGTATAACACTGCAATGAACACGGGAGTGCAGATATCTCTTCAAGACAATGATTTTATTTCCTTTGGATACATACCTAGAATCATGAGTGCTAGATTATATGGTAATTCTATTTTTAAACTTTTGAAGAACCTCCATACTGTTTTCTAAAATAGCTGCACTAATTTACATTCCCACCAACAGCATATAAGAGTTCCTTTTCTTCACACTCTCACCAACACTTATTATCTCTTGTCTATTTGATAACAGACATCCTAATAGATATGAGATGTTTTGTCATTGTGGTTTTTATTTGCATTTTCCTGATGATTAGTGATTCTGAGCACCTTTTTATATACCTGTTGGCCACTTGTATGTCTTCTTTTGAGAAATGCCATTTGCCCATTTTTTAATCCAGTTAGTTGGAAGCATCACACTTCCTACTATACTTCCCGATTTCAAATTGTATTACAAACATACAGTAATCAAAACAGTATGGTACCGGCATAAAAACAAACACATAAACCAATGAAACCAAAGAGTGAGTCCATAAATAAACCCACACATATATGGTCAACTAATTTTCAACAAGGGGCCAAGAATATACAATGGGAAAAGGATAGTCTCTTCAATAAATAGTGTTTGGAAAACTGAAAAGCCATATTTGAAAGAATGAAATTGAACCCTTATCTTACACCATACCCAAAAATCAACTCAAAATGCCTTGAAGACTTAAATGTAAGACCTAAAACCACCATAAAACTCTTAGAAGAAAACAGATGGGAAAGCTTTTTGATATTAGCCTTGGCAAGAATTTTTCAAATATGACACCAAAACCTCAGGCAACAAAAGTGAAAATAAGTGAGACTGCATTAAACTAAAAAGCTTCTGCATGGCAAAGAAAACAATCAACAGAATGAAAAGGAAACCTACATATTAGGACAAAATATTTGCAAACCATATATCTGAGAAAGGATTAATATCCAAAATATATAAGAAATTCACACAACTGAAAAGCAAAAAAAAAAATTATGATTCTAAATGCTCCTAACCATTATACTTTTTGGGTTCTTGAGGCTGGTTTTGCTTTGGTATGAAACTGTGCTTGGCTTCTTTTACACTATTCTCCATTCCAGCATCTGACCTCCGTTTTTTACCTCTTTCCATGGAGAGCAACCTGAGCACCACTCCGAGGAGGATCCTCTAGCTTTAGCCCTTACTGGTTCACCATCCCAGGTTTGGAATTTTGTTTCAGATTCAGACTTGCAGAGTTTATTCCTGTAGTTCCTCCACCTGTAAAATCCATTGGTTTGGTGTGCCGTAGGAAGTCAGTGCCCCTGGCCTCATCCACTAGCACCTTCTCTGGGCAATCAATATTCTTGAGTGATCCAGTGCCTTCTATAATGTTCCATGTTTCTTCTTAAGCATCAGGTTTTTAATTTCAGTTTTTAGATGTTATCCATCTCTTAAAGATAAAAATAGGCCCTTCAGCTCACATAGAACTCCACTTCGTTGCCTGTTCTCTGACACTTCTGTCCCTGAATCATCACGCTGAGTGGTCTTTTTCAAACTGAGATCCATAGAGGTATGGTTTTTATACCCAGTGGATTTTGCCAAGGTAGTACTTCTACAAGTCTGCTAGAGCCACAGGGTTATTGGGCTTGGGGTGCCCATTAAAGCAAGTATGGCTGCAGTGACCAAAGACTTAGATCACAATACCCAAGTCCCATCAAATACTTAGAAAGCCTTCCCAATAAGGATGGGTACAAACAAGCCCAAACTGAGAAGACGACAATAAATATCCAACTCTTCAATGCCCAGATACTGACAAACATCCACAAGCATCAAGCCCATCCAGGAAAACAGGACCTTACCAAACAAAGTATATAAGGCACCAGTGACCAATTCTGGAGTGACAGAGATATGTGACCTTTCAAACAGAGAATTCAAAATAGCTGTTTTGAGAAGCTCAATGAAATCCAAAATAATACAGAGAAGGAATTCAGAATTCTATCAGATAAAACTAACAAAGAGATTGACATATTTTAAAATAATCAAGCAGAAGTTCTGGAGCTGAAAAATGCAATTGACAAATAGAAGAATGCATCAGAATCCCTTAACAGCAGAAATGATCAAGCAGAGGAAAGAATTAGTGAGCTTGAAGACAGGCTATTTGAAAATACACAGAGAAGACAAAGAAAAAAAATAAAAAATAACGACATATGCCTATGGGATCAAAAAATAGCCTCAACAGGGGACATCTAAGAGTTATTGGTGTTAAAGAGAAGGTAGAGAGAAAGATTAGGGTAGGAATTTTACTCAAAAGGATAATAACAGAGAATTTCCCAAACCTACAGAAAAAATACCAATATTCAAGTACAAGAAGCTTATAGAACACCAAGCAGATTTAACCCAAAGAAGACTACCACAAAGTATTTAATAATCAAACTCCCAAGGGTTAAGAATAAAGAAAGGATCCTAAAGGCAGCAAGAGAAAGAAACAGCATACAATGGAGCCCCAATATATCTGGCAGCAGCCTCCTCAGTGGAAAATTTACAGGCCAGGAGAGAGTAACATCACATATGTAAACTGCTGAAAGAGAAGAAAAACCCTTTATCCTAGAATAGTATATCCAGCAAAAACACCCTTTAAACATGAAGGAGAAATAAGGACTTTCCCAGACAAACAAAAACTGAGAGATTTCATCAACACCAGACTTGCTCTGCAAGAAACGCTAAAGGGCATTCTTTAACTGGAAAGAAAAAGACTTTAATGAGAAATAAGAAATCATCTGAAGGTACAAAACTCACCAGTAATAGTAGCTACACAGAAAAACACAGAATATTATGACACTGTAATTGTGGCACATAAACTACTCAAATCTTGAGTAGAAAGATTAAAAGATGAACCTATCAAAAATAATAACTACAACTTTTCAGGACATAGACAGTATAATAAGATGTAAATAGAAACAAAAAGTTTAAAAGCAGGAGGATGTAGTTTAAGTGCAGAATTTATGTTGGTTTTCTCTTTGCTTGTCAGTTTGTTTATGCAATCAGTGTTAAGTTGTCATCAGTTTAAAATAATGGGTTACCAGATAGTATTTGTAAGCCTCATGGTAACCTCAAATCAAAAAGCATACAACAGATATATAAAAATTAAAAACAAGAAATTATACCACCAGAGAAAATCACCCTCACTAAAAAGAAAATAGGAAGGGGGCGGGGGGAACGAGGAGAAGACCAGAAAACAAATAACAAAATGGCAAAAGTCCATACTTACAAATAATAACATTGAATGTAAATGGACTAAACTCTCCAATCAAAAGACATAGAGTGGCTAAATGAATAAAAAAAAAAGACTCAATGATGTGTTGCCTACAAAAACACACTTCGCCTATAAAGACACACATAGACTGAAAAAAAGGGATGAAAAAAGATATTCCATGTCAATGGAAACCAAGAAAGAGCAGGGGTAGCTGTACGTAAACAAAATATATTTCAAGACAAAACCTAGAAAAAAGAGACAAAGTCATTATATAATGATAAAGAGGTCAAAACACCAAGAGGATATAACAATTATAAATATGTATGCACCCAACACTGGATCACACAGATAAATAAAACAAATAGTATTACAGCTAAAGACAGACATAGATTCCAATAACAATAATAGCTGGAGACTTCAGCACCCCACTTCCAGCACTGGATAGATCATCCACAAGAAAATAAGCAAAGAAACACTGGACTTAATCTGCACTATAGACCAAATGAACCTAATAGATATTTACAGAACATTTCATCCAATGGTTGCAGAATACACTTTCTTCTCCTCAACACATGGCTCGTTCTCAAGGATAGACCACATGTTAGGCCAAAAACAGGTCTTTAAAAAAAAATTTAAATTGAAATCATATCAAGTATCTTCTCTGACCACAATGGAATGGAACTAGAAATCAATAACAAGAGGAATTTTGGAAACTATGCAAACACATGGAAATTAAACAATATGCTTCTGAATGACCAGTGGGTCAATGAAGAAATTAAGAAGGAAATTAAAAATGAAAATGGAAACACAACATACCAAAACTGATGTAATACAGCAAAAGTAGTACTAAGAAATTTATAGCAATAAACACCAAAACAAAAACTGGAAAAGTTGTAAATAAACAACCTAATGATGCATCTTAAAGAACTAGAAAAACAACAGAAAACAAAATCCAAAATTAGCAGAAGAAATGGAATAATAAACATCAGAGCACAAATAAATGAAATTAACACAAAAAATACAAAAAAAATCAATGAAACAAAAAGTTGATTTTTGAAAAGATAAACAAAATCAACAAACCCTTAGCCAGACTAAGAAGAAAAAAGAAAAGACTCAAATGAAATCAGAGATGAAAAAGGAGACATTATAAGAGACACCAAAGAAATCTGAAGGATAATTAGTGGTTATTACGAGCAACTATATGCCAATACATTGAAAAATCTAGAAAAAAAAATGGATAAATTCCTAGACACATACAACCTACCAAGATTGAACCAGGAAGAAATTCAAGACCTGAACAGACCAATAACAAGTAATGTGATTGAAGCCATAATTAAAAGGCTCCTAACAAGGAAAAGCCCAAGACCCAATGGCTTCACTACTGAATTCTACCAAACATTTAAACAAGAACTAATACTAACCCTACTCAAACTATTCTCAAAAATCGAGGAGAGAATACTTCCAGACTCATTCTCTGAGGCCAGTATTACCCTGATACTAAAACCAAAGACACAAAAAAAAAAGAAAAAAGAAAACTACAGGCCAATACCCCTGATTAACACTGATGCAAAAATCCTCAACAAAATACTAGCAAACTGAAATCAACAATAAATTAGAAAGATTATTCATCATGACCTAGTAGGATTTATTCCAGGGATGCAAGGATGGTTTAACATATGCAAATCAATGTGACACATCATATCAACAGAATGAAGGACAAAAACCATATGATGATTTCAATTGATGCTGGAAAAGCATTTAATAAAATTCAACATTCCTTCATGATAAAAATAAAACTAAAAAACTAGATATAGAAGGAACATACATCAACATAATGAAAGCCATATATAACAGACCCAGAGCTGGTATCATACTGCATAAGGGAAAATTGCAAGCCTTTCCTCTAAGATCAGCAACAAGACAAGGATGCTCAGTTTCACCACTGTCATTCAACGTAGTACTGGAATTACTAGCTAGAGCAATCAGACAGAGAAATAAATAAACGGCATCCAAATTGGAAAGGAAGAAGTAAAATTATCCATGTTTTCAGATGATATGATCTTATATTTGGAAAAAACTAAAGATAACACACAAAAAAACTATTAGAACTGACAAATCCAGTAAAGTTGCAGGACACAAAGTCAGCATACAAAAATCAGTAGCATTTCCATATGCCAATAGCAAACTATCTGAAAAAGAAATCAAGAAAGCGGTCCCATTCACAATACCTACAAATAAAATAAAATACCTAGAAATAAACTTAACCAAAGAAATGAAAGATTTCTACAATGAAAACGACGAAACGTTGATGCAAGAAATTGAAGAGGACACACCAAAAAAAGGAAAAGATATTCCATATTCATGGGTTGGAAGAATCAATATCGTTAAAATGTCCATAATACCAAAAGTCATCTACAGATTAAATGCAATCCATATCAAAATATCAATGACATTCTTCACAGAAAGAGAAAAAATAATACTAAAATTTCTGTGGAACCACAAAAGACCCAGAATAGCCAAAGCTATCCTGACCAAAAATAAGAAAACTGGAGGAATCACATTACCTGACTTCAAATTATACTACAGAGCTGTAGTAACCAAAACATCATGGTACTGCCATAAAAAACAGACATATAGACCAAAGGAATAGAGAACCCAGATATAAATGCATACTTCTACAGTGAACTCATTTTCAACAAAGGTGCCAAGAACGTACACTGGGGAAAGGAGAGTCTCTTCAACAAATGATGCTGGGAATATTGGATGTCCATATGCAGAAGAATAAAACTAGATACCCATCTCTTGCCATACACAAAAATCAAATCAAAATGGATTAAATTCTTAAGTCTAAGACCTCAAACTGTGAAACTACTAAAAGAAAACACTGGGGAAATTCTCCAGGACATTGGACTGGGCAAAGATTTCTTGAGTAATACCCGACAAGTGCAGGCAACCAAAGCAAAAGAAGACAAGTGGGATCACATCAAGTTAAAAAGCCTGTGGTCCCACCTACTCAAGAGGCTGAGATGAGAGGATCACTTGAGTCCAAACAGGCATATGAAAAAGTACTCAGCATTATTGATCTTCAGAGAAATGTAAATCAAAACTACAATGAGATATCATCTCACTCCAGTTAAAATGACTTTTATCCAAATGACAAGCAATAATGAATGATGGCAAGAATGTGGAGAAAGAGGAACCCTCATACACTGTTGGTGGGAATGTAAATTAGCACAACCACTATGGAGAACAGTATGGAGGTTCCTCAAAAAACTAAAAATAGAACTATCATGTTCCAGCAATCCCACTCCTAGGTATATACCCAAAAGAAAGGAAATCAGTATATCGAAGAGATATCTGCCCTCCCATGTTTTTTGCAGCACTATTCACAATTGCTAAGAATTGGAAGCAACATAAGGGTCCATGAACAGATGAATGGATAAAAAAAAAATGTGATGCATATACACAATGGAGTACTCTTCAGCCATAAAAAAAGAAAGAGATTCTGTCATTTGCAATGACATGGATGAAACTGGAGGTCTTTATGCTAAGTGAAATAAACCAGGTACAGAAAGACAAACTTCACATGTTCTCAGTTATTTGTGGAAGCTAAAAAAAATTAAAACATTTGAACTCATGGGGATACACAGTAGAATGGTGGTCACCAGTGGCTAGGAAGGATAGTGGCGGTGGGGGAAGTGGGGATGGCTAATGGGTACAAAAATATAGTTAGATAAAATGAATAAGATCTAGTATCTGGTAGCACAACAGGGTGACTACAGTCAACAATAATTTACTATAGATTTTAAAATAACTGAGAGTATAATTTGACTGAACACAAAGAAAGGATAAATGCCTGAGGTGACGGATACCCCATTTACCCTGATGTGATTATTGTGTATTGCATGCCTGATTCAAAATATCTCACATACCCCATAAATATATACACTTACTAGGTACCCACAAATGTTAAAAATAAATGAATAGGCCAGGTGCGGTGGCTCACACCTGTAACCCCAGCACTTTGGAAGGCTGAGGCAGGCAGATCAAGAGGTCAGGAGATCGAGACCATCCTGGGCAACATGGTGAAACCCGTGTCTCTACTAAAAATACAAAAATTAGCTGTGTGTGGTGGTGTGTGCCTGTAATCCCAGCTACTCGGGAGGCTGAGACGGGAGAATCACTTGAACCCAAGAGGCAGAGATTGCAGTGAGCCGAGATTGCATCACTGCACTCCAGCCTGGCAACAGAGACTCTGTCTCAAAAAATAAAAAATAAAATAAAAATAAATGAATAAATAAAATTTAAAAATTAAAAAAAAACAAGAAGGGAAATCAGAACCAGGAGTAGAAAAAAGTGGACACTATTAAACAAGTATTGAGCCTTGGATGTCCATTCCCCCAATCCTTTCTTTGTATTAAAATTGCCACCAACCTTCAAAATATCTTAATTGTTAATTAACTACTGTTAATCCCTTCCCAAGTGCTTCTTCATCAGTATTTAGAAGGAATATTTTAATCATATTTTAATGATCAAAGTATTATATGCTCATTTGTAGTAAGCCTGGAGAATACATTTAAAAGAAAATTTAAAACACTCTTAATTCCACAACCCAGTGATAACCACTGTTATTTTTGCTTTTTCATGAGGTTTCTCTTTCTGTTCACATATAAATAAAATTATAGATTTCCTATGTGATTCTGTGACCTGATCTTTTAACTTAAGGATATCATGTTAGCATTTCCTGTTATTTCAAAAGTATAAGCATAATAAAAATTAGTAATATTCCATCTCAGAAATCCCATAATTTACTTGGCCATTCCCCTACGGTTTAACATTTAGATTGTTTCTGGTTGTCAAGTATTATAAATAATAATATCAATGTATTTTTGCAGGAAGCATTCTTTTTACTTAGACTATTCCCTCAGGAAATTCCCTGAAACAACATTTGCTGAGTCAAAAACTAAAGATATTTCTGAGGTTCTTAATACATGTTGCAAAACTGCTTATCAAAAGCACTGCACTTAGCAGTATTCAACAGCACAATATAAACTTGATCTCTGCCCATCACCATCACTAGCACTGGGTTTGCAAACTTCTTTTTTTGAAAGTAATTGCTGGAGGTGGGGGAGTGCTTTTTAGTCATTGCTTGGGTTTATATTTTATTGATTAGAAATAAAGTTGAATCTTTCCATATGATTATTAACCAGTCACTTGCTTTTCTATTACAACTGTAAAGTATTTTCCTTTACCTATTCATCTACTATCTCTTTTTTGTCCATTTGAAAAGTCTTTTACATGGTATTTTACAAAATTTGTATTACATGTTATCTTACTTTAACTTCTCATTTGAATGTTTTTCGACAAGTATTCATTTTAAGGCTTCTATGTAGTTAAATCCATCAATACATTTTACTTTCCATTCATTTGAAGCTTCTCCATCAGAAATTTGGAAGTATTTACTTTCATGGTATTTTTATGTTTTTATGGTTAAATTTTTTATTTAACTCTTCAATCCATCTGGAATTTACTATTACATATGTTAACAATTTAAATTAACTTTTTCTAAATTAACCAACTGTTCCAATATCACTTACTGAATATATTAAATGTTTACATTTTTGAAAGAATGTGAGGTCCTCTCAGTATAGACTGTAGTTACATGATAATTTCTGAAACGAATACTCTTGTTTTTGTTATCTTCTACATAATGTGTAATTATATTTTTCATTTCCTCTTGCATGAATAATTTCTTCAGAAGAGTGTTTTAAAATTTGTAATGTTTATAGGTTTTGATTCAAACCTCTTCACTTAATGTTTATTTGAATTACTTAGGCTCAGAGGATAAGGCCTATAACAATTTCTGTATCATAATTTTTTCTGTTTCTACATTTCCTAAATTCTAACTTGCTCCTTCCTATCTTTTTCCATTTTTTGAAATCAAAATGCAATACATCTTACAACTGACACATATTTAATGACAGCTTTGAATTTTTTTCACAAAAGCTTTTAGTAAATCAAAGCTGTCTTATAGCACTGACTGAATTTCCTCTCTTCCGTTTGATGTCTTCTCTCTTTTGTGAGTACTTACATTGGATGTCTGAGATCTGTCCAACATAGCTACAGTCTCCTCGTTGATTTTATTTCCCTGTCCTTATCCCCTGTAACTGAACTTTTCTGAATTTGTTTTCACTAATCTGATTCTCTGCTGAATCCAGCATCTCCCGCCTCTTGATTTCATTTGGAAACTATGCCTTTCATCTGTTTTCATCTTTGCTCATCTCAGTCTGTCCTGCCTCATGAGTTTAAGGCAGTTTCATAAAGGCAATGTCCTCTTAAAAACATAAATCTGTGGCCAGGTGCAGTGGCTCATGCCTGTAATCCCAGCACTTTGAGAGGCCAAGGCAGACGGATCATGAGGTCAGGAGTTCGAGACCAGCCTGGCCAACATGGTGAAACCCCATCTCTACTAAAAATAAAAAAATTAGCTGGGCATGGTGGTGCACACCTGTAGTCCCAGCTACTCAGGAGGCTGAAGTAGGAGAATCGCTTGAACCCAGGAGGCAGAGGTTGCAGTGAGCCAAGATCGAGCCACTGCACTCCAGCTTGGGCAACAGGGCAAGACTCCATCCCAAAAACAAACAAACAAACAAAACACATAAATATGCTAGTGTCTTGTGTTTCCTAGGTTTCTTGTTGTAAATCTACTTCAGAAGAAGGCAACATCTAAGAGTGTTTAGAGAATTGGAGGTCCCCTTCTCTCAAACTACGGAACATGTACTAGGCTCCGTGATATACTGCTTATACTTCCTTAAAGATGTTAATCTATGTAGAACTGGATTATAACTGAGTAGGAGTTAAACAAGGGGCTCTCAGAGACCCTCCAGGAAAGATACTTTGTTCACCCAAATCCTTTACTAAGAGGCTTCTGAGTCTGAAGCGTCAGAGTTCTCCCTGTGTGCAGATGGGACAATGTGACTGTGAGGTCCAACACTAATCAATGCTCATGAATGATAAGACATGCCAGATATTTAATAAGATTGCTGATGAACTCTGGTTGTTTAAAATAAGGTTTCCTGTGCCATGTGGCAAGAGTTAGGCCTAACAGACAGATATCAAGTCATGGCAAAATCACATCTGGCAGAGAAAATGGAACTTCAGGGTAACTTCCTATAGTTCTGCCAAACTGTTCCAATTCCAGGTAGGGCCAATTTTGCTAACTTAAAAAGTACATATGCTGCTTCTAAATAAAATATAACAAAAAATAAAAACATAAAAAATTGCTAACTAAGCTGGACAGAAAAAAGATTTCCCATACTCATCATCTGAACCTGGGGAAGAACAAAATGTCTTGTGCATTTATTTTTTAGACTTCTTATTCAAGTATTTTACAATAAAATTTGGCAAGTTTAATGAAATATTTTTTAACATAAAAACCATGAGTGGAATAATTCAAGGTTTAAAACTAAGAAAAAATATGCTTTAAAACATTTTAAAGGTTTGCCCCAAGTTCATGGCATTATAAATCCATGTCTTAAAATGAGTTGAATTGGGGACATTTATTTTATATTATAAAAGTACTATCCTGTAATGGGGCAGGAAATAAAGCTGCTTCAAGTTAGAACACAAAATAGACTCAACTTGTAAAATATGCTAATGGTAACACAGTTTCACTGCCAACAGCAGGGCATACTTACTGTCATTAAAATAGTTTAGTACTTAACATGGCTATTCAGAGTGTAATGCCCACTGACACATTCTAACCTTTGTGTGTGCTGAAAATTCTAAAAACCTTTTGTCACCAACCGCTAAATCAATATTTCTCAAACATGTTCTGGTGTCAGAATGTGTGAAGTATCACGGGGATGCTTTTACAAAGCCTCATGGAATACTCATAAATTAAACTTTAAATTACTGCACACATAAGTTTGAACTTAATTGAATATGATTATATATCTTATTTTAATGTGGCAATGAGGTCAGGGACCAAACATTTAAGAAATATCTATGGAAGAAATGTTTAATTGTAAAATGCTTTTCTGCTAATTAATTTTTTCTAGTGAATTTGATATTTTTGAAGTTGCATTATTTGATTTTAGGTATGCAATGTAGTATGGCAAAAAAGTGAACATGTTTTCTCTCTTTATTTATTTATTTTTTAAAATGAGACAGAGTCTCTCTCTGACACCCAGGCTGGAGTGCAGTGGTATGATTTCTGCTCACTGCAACCTCTGCCTCCCAGACTCAAGTGATTCTCCTGCCTAAGCCTCCTGAGTAGCTGGGATTACAGGCATAAGCCACCACGCCCAGCAATTTTTGTATTTTTAGTAGAGATGGGGTTTTGCCATGTTGGTCAGTCTGGTCTCAAGCTCCTAGCCTCAAGTGATCTGCCCACCTCGGCCTCCCAAAGTACTGGGATTACAGGTATGAGCCACCTCACCAGGCCAAATATTTTTTCTCTTGAAAAAGACCTAGGTATGAAATTGGCTTTGCCATTGACTGATTGTGTCCTGGTGAGGCTGTTAACTCCTCCAAGCCACAACTTCCTTATTAATAATATGGAATGACACTATCCAATTCACAGCAAAGTTGAGTTTCATTTTTGTTTTGTTGATGCTGTTTTGTTGTTGTTACTTTTATCTTTTACCTTTTACTATGCAAGATTTCAAACATACATAAAGGTAGACAGAAAAGTCTAATGAACCCCAAGTACCCATAGCCCAGCCCCACAATCAGCAACCCAAGTCCAAGCTTATTCTACTACTCACCCACTCCCACTATACAAAACATCATTTAATCAGTAAATATTTTTATGTGTATTCATAAAATATACTTTTTAGCATATTCACAATACCATTTTCATGCCTCAGAAATTAGGAGTTGACAACAAAATAGTAATTTTCCAATTTTCTTATAAATGTCATAAAGAGTGTTGTCGTAGGTTTTTTGTCTGTTTATTTGTTCATTTACATAAAGATCCAAATAAGGGCCATGCATTGCAGTTGGTGGATACATCTTTTAAGTCTCACTTAATCTTTTTGGTTCTGTATCTAGTTTTCTTTTTCTTTTGCAATTTATTTGTTGAAGAAATTGAATTGTTTGTCCTGTAAAGTTTCCCACTGTCTGGATTTTGGTGGTTGCAAACCCATGATTTAGTTTAATGTGTTTCCTTGTACACTGTAATTCTCATAAATAGGTAGTTAGATCTGCAGCCTCAATTTTCGGGAGGTCGAGAAGCACCATAGAAGGCAAGAATCCTACATGGGTAGTACTGGGTTCTTCCATCAAGAGATGTACACTGTTTGGCTGTCTCCCTTTTTGCGACTTTATTGGCTTTGATATTCAATGCATATATCAGTTCATTAGAGTTGCAAAATGATGACATTCTCATTCTATCATCCCTTCCTTATTTATTGACTGAAATATTTCTGTAAAGACAAATTTTCCTCATCTACTGTTTGGTTATCCAGTGATATTGTTCATATAGAAAAGGCAGAATGAATATTTGGGTTTTTTCCTTCTATTTGTTTTCAATGTAATGAGTTGATTCCTGAGCACCCGCCAACAGTGACTAATGCATTTTAGTATTATTATTAACTTAGTGATATAAACATAGTTGACATGCTTAAGTCCTTTGCAATTTTTGCTTTTATTGATGCTCAAATTTTGTCCCAATTTTTTTTTTTTTTTTTTGAGACGGAGTCTCACTCTGTCACCCAGGCTAGAATGCAGTGGCAGGATCTCAGCTCGCGGCAACCTCTGCCTCCCGGGTTCAAGCAGTTCTTGTGTAGCTGGGATTATATAGCCATGCACCACCACGCCTGGCTAATTTTTGTATTTTTAGTAGGAATGAGGTTTCACCATTTTGGCCAGGCTGGTCTCAAACTCCTGACCTCAAGTGATCTGCCCGCCTCAGCATCTCAAAATTCTGGGATTGCAGGTGTGAGCCACTGCGCCTGGCTTCAAATTGTCCCAATTTCTGCTTATAAAAGTGTTGACAAGCTGATTCCTGAGTCCTTCTGATGAGACTCTAGTAGTCTTGACAGCTTCCTTGCTACCTGTTAATTACATAATGTTCCAGGCTAATTTTGCATTGTTTTACCTCCAGACCCAGAATAAGTAATTTTGCCATGGAATCCTGGTTCCTTTTAAATGGGATATGGTGTTGAGAGACCATGACCTGGGCACTAGATCACTGCTATTAAGTTGGCCATTTGCTCATTGTTATTATGCCTTTTCAGTGAAGGGATCTGCAAAATATGTCCTGGTTTGGTTTTGTTTAAGATAAAAGACCTCAGGAGTTTTTACAGATACTTACAATTCAATTCTAGGACTATAGAGTTTTCACTTAATTTCTTCTATCTTTTTTCCCTGTCTCCTTTTTCCCATATCAAGAATACGGATTTTCAAGATTACCAGAATAAAAAACCAAATGATCACATTTGTATTGTTCATTTGCTTTGTCTCACATCACCCACACAGCAGTCTCATAACAGCAAGTCCAATGCTACCATCAACAATAACGTCACTGCAAAAAGTTTTAAATCTCATTTTTAGTTCTTTTATCCTTGGATATACTGACCTTCAGTGAAATTCATGTGTATTAAAGTCAATTAGAATAATTCTTCTCTATGTGGTTACCACCACCAATGGGAATCATAGGTTTTTTTGCTTTTATTATTTTATTTTTTATTCTTAGGGATTGTTCTTTTAAAATCTAATTTTACTTTACAAATATATAAAATATTTGCATGATCCCAAAGCCAAATGTGTAAGATAGGTATATACAGAGAAGCTTAGCTTCTGTCGCTTCTCCCGCACCTTCTTTTCTCCCTTCCCTTACAACTAACTGGTCTTTTTTAAAACTCATCACAAATTTCATATCATCCTTGTACAGAGGCCATGCTAATCTTCTCTGTATTGTTCATTTTAATATATGTGCTGCTGAAGCAAACACAGAGGAGCAGAAGAGTAAACTGTAATTATAAGGCACAGGGCATATCTCATACAGTTCTTATACATGCAGGTTGCTTAATAAAGGGCAACTGTAATCTTAGCCTTCAAAAAGAAAAAGCTCCTCTTCTCTAGTTTCAAGATTGAAATTGCAGGAATTACTTTGGATACAATTCTATCTCACATCACAGTATCATACACCCAGCATGATGCCACATTACAGAGATTCAATCAACATTTGTTGAGGGATTGATGGAATGAATGACTACTCCTTTAAACTACTGCTATTATCAGCTCAGATGTCAGTCTCCACTCAAGGTATTATAATTTTTCATGAGAACCATGTGTTCAGAATTAGGTTTTTAAATAGAGCATAGCTTTATTTAATGTATATTTACAATATATCATAGCTCTATTTGATAAATATATGTCTTAATGCAGTGTAAACCTAACGCAAAAGCAAAATTCTTAGTTAAAAATCTTGCCTTTTCCCAATTATAAAGAAAAATTTACTCAATCATTTTGAAATGTAAATTTTAAAAACCCTGTTAGCATTAAATCCCAGAGGGAAGGGATTAAGAGAAGGATTCATCCAAATGGACTAGGAATACTATTCCTTGTTGGTGGTCTGCCACGTGGAAAGCGTTGAGAATTGGAAGCAAGCAGCCAGGGTCCAAAACAAAGAACAGTCTGATTCTACAAACAAGCCTTTGGACTAACAGTATTTGGAAAAGAGACTATTACTTCCTCATAGTTGTAGGAAAAGAGTGAAAAATAGAAATAATTACAAACACACACACACACAACACACACACACACACAAAGAAATAAAGATAGGCTCTTTATTATCACAAAGAATAATTAACTTTTTTAAGAATTTATTTTCTTTCTTTCTTTTCCTTTTTTTTTTTTTTTGAGACGGAGTTTTGCTCTTGTTGCCCAGGCTGGAATGCAATGGCACGCTCTCGGCTCACTGCAAACCTCCGCCTCCCATGTTCAAGCAATTCTACCTCAACCTCCTGAGTAGCTGCGATTACAGGCGCCTGCCGCCATGCCTAGCTAATTTGTGTGTGTGTGTGTGTGTGTTTTTAGTAGAGACAGGGTTTCACTATGTTGGCCAGGCTGGTCTCAAACTCCTGACCTCAGGTGAACCTCCCACCTTGGCCTCCCAAAGTGCTGAGATTACTGGCATGAGCTACCGTGCCCGGCCTAAGAATTTATTTTATTTCTTAAAGCAAACTCAGAAATAAAAATTTAATTAGAATTTCTTCAAGTCTTGTCACTCCTGGAAGTAGATCTAGCTATTCCATGTCCATGGGAATTGCAGAAAAGTCATGCAGACTCACTCTAGATTGTTCTGACTCCAACAGGATAAGACATCCATGTCAATAATTACAAACCCAGATGAATCCTTAGGGCCATAAGCAAACATGAGTGACTATTTCAAAGAGCAGGAAGAAACGCTGTTAGGCTGAGGACTTCACTGAAAACTACCTGGAAGAGATGGCACTAAGCTGGACATCGCAGAAAACACAGACATTCAATAAAGAGCTTTGCACACCCTTGGCACAGGAAAATATCAGAACAGGAAAGGCATGGAGTCCAGTCTGGCCAGAGCACAGGGCACACAGAGAGAAATGGGGGATAAGGGAAGACAGGTAACCTGGGGCCAAGCTGTGCAGGGGCTTTAATACCGGTCAGCAGTTGGCCTATTTCAGAGGAGGAAACAAGGACCCATGTAAGGTTTTTGACAAGGGGTATAATCTTCAACAAATATATGCTCGTTGTGCATTTACTGTGTGCCAGGCTGCAGAGTACAATCTGGAGCTATAGTGATGAGAAGACATAGTCCCTGCCCCTAGGGGCTCAAAGCCTGGTGGAAAAGACAAAGGAGGAAATGTGCAGTGCTGGGTGCAGAGGAGAAGGACTTAATAAGAGAATCTCAAAGGGGATGAGAGAAGACTTGGAGAAAGTACCCAATCAGTTCAATCCAGCTCTGGGAAGGGAGGTGTATGTTATATATGTTAATTTCCACATAATCCAAATGTATTCATGTATGTAGCCATGTATTATTAACTTTTAGAAACAGAAACCTGTCCAAAATAATCATGCATGTGTGCATGTGCAGAATGATGAATGTAATTGAAATGGTTTCCTGGAAGAGGCAATATTAAGGGCCATCAGTCACTGTCCTGAGCTATCACTGCTGACC
The DNA here is from genome assembly GCF_000001405.40 of Homo sapiens. Classification (NCBI taxonomy): domain Eukaryota; kingdom Metazoa; phylum Chordata; class Mammalia; order Primates; family Hominidae; genus Homo; species Homo sapiens. Next base: position 83,715,218 of record NC_000015.10, on the reverse strand, counting down.
CCAGGGACATGAGGCTCAGCAGAAATTGCTCCAAGCCTCACATCCTGCATTGTGTTTTCTTGAAACAGTTCATGATGCAGCATCCCCACAGGGTTTGTTGTTTGGATAAGTAAGTCACCCAGACTAGCATGAGAAATCCAAACTGAGTGCACTGTTTGACCACACCCACCTTCTCTTCCCTCCTCACTCCCTCCCACTACAACCCATGAAGGTTACAGTGGGTCAGGAGGTCAAAATGCTATAAGAAAAAAAATTCCAAGATGAGAAAGGAAAGAAGGATGGAAGGAAGGAAGGAAGGAAGGAAGGAAGGAAGGAAGGAAGGAAGGAAGGAAGGAAGGAAGGGAGGGAGGGAGGGAGGGAGGGAGGGAAAGAGAGAGAAAGAAAGAGAGAGAGAAGGAAAGAAAGAAAGAAGAAAGAAAGAGAGAGAAAGAAAAAGAAAGAAAGAAAGAAAGAAAGAGAAAAGGGAAGGAAGGAAAAGGAGAAGGAGAGAAAAAGAAAGAAAGAGGGAAGGAGGGAAGGAAGGAAGGGAGGAAGGGAGGGAGGGAGGGAGGGAGGAAGGGAGAGAGAGAAAGAAAGGAAAGCAGGAGGCCTAGGAAGCAAGCAGGTGGACCTAATCTCACCTGCGCGTGTAAGTGAAGGTGGCCTTACTTCTTTGAGGAAGTAACAACTGAGCTGAAGGATATACAAGGGTTAGACGAGGATGGCAGGGGGAGGAACAGTGTGTACAAAGCAGAGGGGATGTTCCAAGCAAACAGGACAATTTATGCAAAGGCTGCAGTTGAAGAGCTACTTGAAGGGAAAGGAAACATACAAGCTTCATCAATAACACCTGGCCTAGAAATGTGCTGGACAGCAATGCAGACAGTGTTCCAGTGGGCATCCCTAACAGCTACACACCTGTGCCCCCACTTGCCCTTGGGATGTCCCACCAAGCACAACAGCTAGCAGGATCCTGATCTCAGGCTACCAGTTTCATTGAAGAACTCCAGCCCAAGAGTGGACATTAAAGTCCAAGCTAGAAGATAGGGTGGAAATTGGGACTGTCTCAGTGCCAGGAAAGCCAGGACAGTTGGCCACCCTAAAAAGGTTTACACAAAAAGCAGATTAAGAGTACTACCAAAGGTAACTAAACACAGAGAATAACACAACAGATACTTTCAAGATATTTATCTGCCTGGCCTCAGGTATCCATATGTCAGTGCCATTTTCCCAACCATCTGGAAGAGCCCTCAACACGTCTCAGCTCCCCAAAGTCCAGAACCAAGAAATACACTCCAGAGTGTTAAAACTCCAAGCATGAGCAGGCAAAGGTGTCCACTGAGAGACTCAAGCCCCATGGAGCCTTTACCCACCAGGAATCTCTTTGCAAACTGTGCCTACACTTTTTTGACGTAGGCTAGAATTGGCCAAACAAAAGGAAACATTTCTGAATAAGCCAATCAAAACATAATGCCTCAAATCCCTTGTGATAGGGAATAAATTCCATTACTGCTTCTACATCTGGTCCTTCAAAATTCAGCTTGCAGAGAATCGGCGAAGTCTTTTCTTGCCTGGCATGGCCCTTCTTTGCTGGCCAGCAAATTAACTTACCTTTGTTTTGAAATTCAGAGTTCATATGTGACATAGTCAATCAGAACAGCATGTACAGTTGCATGTGCATTATTCATGCATTTGTTTTATGCTGTAATAAGAGAAAAAAAAAAGATGTTCCCATCCAGTCCTCCACCTGCCATTACTCCCCATTCTTATAGCAAACCTGCAAGTCCAGTTTCCTGCATTTTCTCAAGATCACAAACACTAATAAAATCTACTCCCTTCACTATGCCTGAGGAGGACAGGCCACAACAGAACAGAAATCTGGCACTCGTTTAAGAAAAACACACATTCAGTCGCAGAGATGTTTAGTAGAAGGGGGTTGATGAATGCGGTCAAAATAAAGAATTAGAGATGATCAAAGGTGACATTGAGGGTTCCCCCACTACATGAGGCTGTATTTCATGGCTGATCGATCTTCTTTAGCAGAGCTCAGAAGGCCATCTAAGACAGAGAAAGACACCAAGTTGTAGAGAACCTGATAGAAAGTTCCACTAGGCTAGTGGGCCAGGAAAATCATGCATAGAAGGTGAGGGATGACACTGATAGAAGAGGCCACGTGGGTAGGAAACCTAGAGATGCTGAAAGGTGGCTGATCACCTGGGAGAAGTAGAGAGATAAGAGAATTAGTTGTCTCTTAGAGATTAAAAGGAATGCATGTAGTAGAAGCATGCATAGGAGGAGGTGAAGGAGAAGGGTCTGAGATTAGAGAGAGGCTGCAGGATTTAATACTTCTAAGGCAGAGTAGTTTGAAGAATGATATGGTCCAGTTTGGACACTTGGAATGGGTGACTGAAGTGGAAGGTCTGTGAAGGTCACTGGAGCCAGAGAGATGCAGAAATGACAGGGTTAGACTGAAGCTTGCAGAATGACAAATGCAATTGAAATGGTTTCTTGGAACAGGCAATTTTAAGGGCCATCAGTCACTGCCCTGAGCTATCACTGCTGACCCCAGGGACAGGAGGCTCAACAGAAATTGCTCCAAGTGTTAATTCTTGAACACTCCCCGGATCATGGCATGACCTTGGAAGGAAGGAAGTCATGATCAGGTCATAAAGGTTTTGGTGAATGCTCTGATCAGTGGTTTAGACAGATGACATGAGCCTCCAAAAAAGAGGAGCACTGAGATGAGAGAAGAGGACTAGCCAGGAAGTAGCAGTAGGGACTCCAAGAAGGTCAACCCCCCACCTTAGCCGTGTAGCACTTGGGTTGTGAGGTATGAGCAGCCTCCACTGGTGAGGCCTGCAAGAGAGGCAGTGAGCCTGGCCAAGGCCAGTTTTCAGTTGCAGCAGAAAGTTGGAATTCAGGACATGGGGTCCTGTTGACCATGAGGGGACGATGGAAAGCACTGGGAAGGGGAAATCAATAAACAAAGGATAAAACAGGAGGAAGAACAGAAAAGCAAGTCATAAAAGGCCACTGAAGAGAGGAGATGGTGGAGAGGAAAGTCTACTTGCTTTCTTTCATCCAGGGATTGTGACAGAACTGAGTTGCTCAAAACAACCTCATCTCAAAGCACTTGAAGGCTGTGAGGATATGTGAGTAGGGACTGATCTGATCTCAAAGAGAAAGGATGATCTGACGGTAAGCAGCAAGGGCCCTGTCAGAACAGAACTTATCTCTCAGTGTTCTTAAGGGTAGTGAGGGACTTTTAAGGAAAGATCCATTTGGGTCTGTCTTGAACATCCCCACCCTATACCCACCCCTTAACCCATAGGGTGTAAGTGATAAAAATCACCCAGTACCCCAAATATGAGTTTAGGAAGATGACACTGAAAGAGGAAAATGTCTGCATCCTTCAAAAGCTAGATATTAAATCTCTACCCACACAATTCTTTTATGCTTTCATGATTTGTGAAAAAGCTCAATGATAATGAAATTCAGAGTTCATGTGTGACACAGTCAATCAGAACAGCATGTACAGTTGCATGTGCAGTATTCATGCATTTGCTACACGCATGAACTGTGAACACAGTACAAGTTATTCCAACTAATTTGTTCTTGTCTTCTCTTAACAGACCATGAGCTTGCTTTCTTGTTAGATCGCTAAATCTTGGAATATTTAAGCAGCATAACTACATTTGACCGAGATTACTTACTAACAAAGGAATGAACTATTCAAACTCAAATGGCTTGCTGCTTAAAAATATTATACACACAGGCCAGAAACAACACAGAAACTCTCCTATGTGGAGAACATATAAGTTGCTCATTTTGGTCAGTGAAGAAGATGAAAATACCCAGTAGACCCATGGGCTATGTCCGTCTTCTTTCACCAGAAATTTCAGAAGTTGGTATATACTTTCCAACTAAAAACGATTACATAAATAACTTGGAAACGTCAAGTGATATTTCTGAGGGCTGCCAATAGTTTAACCACATTGAAACTCCTGGCCAAGATATTCATGAAAAGTTCGGAAGAAGTTACTTTGAGAGAGATGTACTCACAGCAAATAGATTTCTCCTCTTTAGAAAGAATGCATAAATCAATAGTTAAACGAGGAAAAGGAAAATTATGTTTATCATAATAGTATAAGAAAAAAGGCATTTAAAAGAAGTTTAGAAATAAGACTACACAGACTTCATTATTAATATATTATTGTTATTATTAGTATTAAAAATTCATTCAAACATTTCTCTCATACTTTTCCTGCCCACAGATTAGATGTAAAAATGTCTTAACTGAGCTTAAGGGCAAAGAACGGGCACTTGGCTTTGCTACTGCCTGGCTGTGTGATCTTGGACAAGACACTGTTCCTCTCCGGGGCTCAGATTCCTCACCTGAAAAGCCAGAATCCTATACTTTCTTTCAACTCTGACATGCTATTAATACAATTCCAGATGCTACCAAGGCTGCACATCCAGCCCTCTGCCTCCTTTGGGATGGAAACAGTAAAGAAAATACAATTTAGAGAGGCATATTGAAACAAGGAATCATACAAATAGGCAGCCAATGACATCCCAGGAAGGAAAGAGAAGAGTCAACTATGACTTCACCTATGATGTCATTAAGGCCTTAGGACTTTACAAACATGGAATTGTACCAACACAGACTTTTACAAATATAGGCTGATTCATACCAGAATATAGGTGTGACTTGAAGAAAGTAACTGAAATTCTTAAAAAGGATGCCTGTTGAAGGTGGTGGGGGGAGGGAGGTTGGAGGACATAGAAGAAGTTAGATTTTAAAGGTTAAAAATGAGTAGCAGAATGAGTAGCAGAAAGCAGCAAGAGACAGTAAGAATTTGAAAACCAAGTGGTCACTGAAAGCAATGGTAGATGAGAGTACAGGCAAAAGCATTTTTAAGTCTGGAAAAAAATCTCAAATCCTCTTAAATGTGGTCAGGAAGAGACACAGCAAACGCTAAATTAGTCAAGGGCAGAGGAGCAGGAAGTTTACCAGGGAGAAGGGATGGCCTGGTATGAATAGGTATAAAAGGACCTCTCCAACATGAGATCAAGGTAGTTCTCTAAATGGCTTCGAGCTTGCATTAGTGGGATTATCCTTGGTTAATTTTAGGAAAATCAAAACCCACTACTTGTCCTACATGCTTGGAATCCAAGGTATTAACCTTTTTTCCTGCCTTTTGGTGCCTAGTAGACTAAAAGTGGCAAGGTCAGCATTATTTTAATACCCTATATTAATATTAACAGGTACACACATAAAGAATTCATAAAACATAGGAAAGTGTGCATGAGGCCCAATTTCTAAGTCACCTACTGCTCGTGCTTAATGTCCTTTATCCTACGATGGCTGCCAGTGAGGAGGAAGCACATTACAGCAAATCCACCAAGTCTGGGAGGACACACCTTCCACCTTCCCCCATGCCTAACAAATGCTAAAAATAAAGAGAAATAAAAGAATATTTATGCAAAAAACAACTTTTCCTAACTCCTTAAAAAATAAATGACCTCTAACTGAGAAACACTGTGCTTGTCACAGGCTTTCAGTGACCATAATAAAGCTCCAAGTTTAAATCTTCAGTGAGTTGAAGCAAGGTAAGGATGGAAAACAACCACACCATCCCCCTTTCCCAGAAGGTGATCTAGGCAGAGAAAGACAGAGCAGATCTCCAAAAACTGACTTACTCAGCGATGAAAAGAACCATGTGCAGTGACCAATATCCAGCTGTTTGCCTATGAACAGGTCCTCTATGGGACAAAACTCCAAAACCACTATGAGGAATGACCAAAGAATCTACCCCAGAGACAGGCTGGCTAGTAACTGAAACCACAGCCTTCTTAGCCAGTCGTCCCAAACTAATACATTCTAGCTACTTCATGTACCTGATGCAACCAAGTGCTAGAACACCTTTATTCTAAGAATGTGCCCATCCAATAGAAAGTCAGTGCCATTTTAATTTCAGTTAATGTTTCACTCAAGCTTCAAAAAAAAATTGTGGCTTCTATTAAAAACTGGAAAGGAATAAATATGCTTATGAATGTTCTCCACATAGCTAATTCCAAATTCCTGAAGGAGATGAGAATGAGCTGATAAGGCATCCATTAATCTTAATCTTAATCTCTGGGGTCTATTAAGATCCCCAAAGCTCTACTAACTGTAAACAGTGGAATCAGGATTTTTAGGATAGGAGATAATTTTCTAGGTGGTTCTTCTGAGAGAAGCTCCTGGATATATCTCAGAGCAGGAGAGCCTTGGGTTTGGAGTGTAATGGTCTTAGTTTTTCAAATAACCACGGGTGTCCTTGAGTAAGTCATTTGCACATTTGGCGTCTCTGTTTTCTTGACTTGTAGAATGAGGCACTTGGGCCAAAGTCTCCACCAGCTGTAAAACTGTATAATTCTCTAAGTAATAGTTTACCGAATTGCTGGCAAGACTGCCTCAATAATCAGAATGATCCAATTAACACTCTGCAACGTGGAATATTCTATTTGTAGTTTCAGACTATTTTAGAGTGGAAAGAGTTCAGATCATGAAATCCAGTCACTTTGTTTTTTAAAAGAAATAAAGAATCCAAAGTCCAAAACGTTAAATAGTTCTGTTAGATTATAAGCTGATTAGTGGTAGAAGCAAGACCAGGCTGCCTGACTAGTCCTGTTTGCACTAAACCACATTGTTACTCAGTTGGCTTCAGACCACTTTCTTCACTAGAAGCTGCCGCGGCCCTCCGTATGATCCATAATGTGGCTTTTACGCCTCCCATTAAATGCAGCCTACATCACAGCTATGTGTTACTGGCCTCAGGGTTATTAGTTTTCCAGGCATCTAACCCAGGAGACATTTGAAGAATGACCTGAAGGTCTTCATGAAATGCGCCCAGGATAAAACACTTTAAAAAGTCCTGTGAGGTTCATCCAAGACAGCAAATATCTACACACCATCCATTTGCATCCCATTTTATCAAATGAGTACTCTATAGGTAGGAAGATCCTAGTGAACCCACATCTGACCCAACAGCATTAGAAACTAGGCTGCAGCCTCAATTGCATAAGTACTTTGTCACTCTGGCTTCAAGCCACTGTGACAGCAGGACAGCACCCCTGGCATATATATATGGAGATTCCACAGGTAGGTACCCATGCCACCTGACACAGGTTCTGCCCTGGCAGCCACTCACACAGACCCTGTACCTACTTCTGGCTGTGGAATGCCGGTGGCTGCTGGCATATAACAAAGGCTACACTGGAAAACTGTCCCCACCATTTCCCCAGGTATGAAATCTTTGGAGAGACTGCTCTGAAAACCTTTTAGGGACAACCTGGGAATTTCTGTGCAAGAGTAATGCTGCATGCCACCCAGTATGCTGCAATTTGTTCCAACATGAGACAATTTGTTCCAAAGAGTACAACTGGCTGCTAGACATTAAACCCTATATTATGTTGGATCCAGCAACTGGGTTGAATCTCTCAGACATAATGATGTGTGAAAGAAGCCAGACACAAACGAGTATGTGGTGTATGATTCCATTTATATAAAATCAAAAATAAAATTAAAAGCAGGCAAAATGAATCTGTAATACTGATAAAAGTCTGAATGGTGGTTACTTCTTGAATGTGGGATATTGATCGGAAAGAGGTTCAAGGAGCCTCCTAGGGTGCTAGAAATGTTCATTTTCTTGATCTAGGTAGCAACTACACAGGTGTAAAAATACTTAAAAATTCATCAAGCTCTATACTTCAGATATGTATGCGTTTTACTTACATATGTTATAGCTCAATAAAAAATTAATTGAAAATATTGCATGAGATCTCCTAAAGTAAGAATTAACTTCTTCCTTTCTTTTAGCATAAGCATATCTGAGATTCTTTGAATTGAGTGTTTGCAAACAACATTCTTAGTAATAACAATAGCTAAATTAAATGCTTATATGTACCAGGCCCTATGCAGGGAGACATGAATTAACGCCTACATAAGGTAGATACCATCCAAATCTCCATTTCATAGATGAGAAAATTAAGGGACAGGGAAGTAAAGTAACTTGTCCAAAGTAAAACAGCAAATCAAATGGCAGAACTGACAAATCAAATTCAAACCCAAAGCAGTCTGACTCCAGAGACTTTGTTCTTAATTGATCTTAATGTTTTGTCATATGCTGAAGGATCAGGGGATTTTTTAAAAGTTTGATAGTATTTGATTGGTTTTATCCTTTCCCCAGTGCCTGAGAAGCATGTTCAGCATTAAGAAAAAAGAGGATTGGCCAGGCGCAGTGGCTCACACCTGTAATCCCAACGCTTTGGGAGGCCGAGGAGAGCAGATCGCTTGAGCCCAGGAGTTTGAGGCCAACCTGGTCAACATAGCAAAACCTCATTTCTACAAAATACAGACAAAAAAAATTATCCAGGGGTGGTGGTACATGCCTAATGCCTATAATCCCAGCTACCTGGGGTGGGGGGCGGGGGCTGAGGCAGGAGGATCACCTAAGTGTGGGTGGGGAGGTTGAGGCTGCAGTGAGCTGTGATCATGCCACTGCACTTCAGCCTGGGTGACAGAACAAGACCCAATCTCAAAAAAAAAGAAAAGAAAAAAGAGGAAAGAGAATCAGGATTTGGTTGGTGGGTTAACAGTCTCTAGCTGATTAAATTCCTGAGGTTCATTCAATAGATAAACCTAGTTTAGTCCAAGCGCCTATTTTCTGTGCCTTTAGTAGAGGAAAGTGGGTGCTATTATTGGCTTGTTATAGTCTCAAATTATTCCTTTCTCCTAAAAGAAATACACAGTGGGGGCAACACAGAGTGTTTTCATATGCTAGTCACTGAGGCTTTCTGGAACACTATGTCCTAGGATGAAATTTCCACAGCATGCCACACACTTTTCAGATCTGCTTTAGACCTTTTGAAAAGACTGAAGGGGCTTGTTTTCCCCTTTTCCCAGCTTTTATATTGTTATTATGTTAAATATAAAGTATCTGTGGAACCTGGAGAAGACATTAACCACTCTTTAATTATAAAATGCATAGCTTGGTATTTTCCAGACACCCGCTTTTATCCTTTACGGCCCTCTCAATTAGTTCCTCTGAAGTTCTCATATGAAAACCTGTTGGATTATTGATTTCTGGATTAAAAGGAGCTATAAATTATAGACCCTCTCAAAATCCATCAAGGGAAGGGGGAAGGCAGAAAGTGACTTAATGATGTTTTAGCCCCTATTAGCAACCAGGCCCAAATGTTTGGGCTCTACAATGCAAATATAGAATTATTCCCCAGCCCACCCCTGCTCCCCACAATGACTAGTAATGCACTCACTCACTTTTAAAGTAACTTGAAAATATGATTGAATGTTGACATTTTGAGTAAGAAATTGGTCTCATCCCACTCTTGCCCCAATGACCAGTGTGGCTCCCTGCCCACAGCGGTCTGGAGGGTCACAGCCCTGACCTTCACCCCAGTCCCAGCTCTGGAATGAAGCCCACCAAGGGTAGGTCACTGAGCAGCAGCCTCAAGGATGGAGAGTGTGCAGTGTCTTCCCCTGAGCTGGGAGATAGAGGACTGAGCAACAGACTCCTCTACCTGCCCTCTATGCTCTAATCTCCGTCCTGCATCAGCCACTGATGCTCTGCAAGACTTTCATCCTTCTCCCAGCCCACCTCCAGCACTCTGCCTAGCTCCAGCCAGCCCTCAGAACAGGGTCCTACTCCCTGTGGTCACATCTTGGATCTACCCATGTTGGCAGACTGAATTTCTCAGAGCTGTTCCTTTTGAGTACTGTCTTTTGCACTCTGACTAGGCTTTACCTAAATCAAACCAGGATGCACTGGCCTTTGGCTATACAGCTGAGGAGAGCACAGCTGGCCTCAGTCACTGGGCCATCTCCCTCCACTCTATCACGTACCATGGGAAGGTGATCTTGCCCCAGCTCCTCACCTTCACTTGGGCCCTACAGGTGCTGAGGTCTGCCAGATCCACCCAGGCCCTACATCATCTTAAAGTCCACCCTGGTTTGCTCAACTGCCCCATAAATTCAGGCTTTACCAGCTTTGCATTAGGCAAAGTTGAAACTCTCTGTTTCACCAAGTTGTGAGTGATTTCAAAGATGGATAATCTTAAATGCTATTATGGCATCAAGGTGAATTGAGGATGGAAGGGAATCACAACTTCCAGTGCTCAGCTTACACATGTCAGCCAAGCAAGGCCTTCTTCTCTAGTTAGCCTTCCTAAAATGATTTCAACACACACACACACACACACACACACACACACACTCACAGACATATGCACACACAGGCATTCACACTGTGTTCCTTTCTGAAAAGTAATCTTGGGGAAAAAAGCATGCAACATTGGTGCTGGTAAAAGAAATGAAGTAAAAGCTGAGGGCAAAGAAGTAACACATAAGCAGAAAACAGAATTTTGGATAATTTCAGAATTGAATCATCAATGTGGTGATAGCTGAGATGAACAAATCCATCATATATTTCTGATGAAAATAAGAAAAAGTGACTTTTATGCAAATGCAGAGAAAGAACTGCACATTATATAGGAAATTACATGCAAACATGGGCAATCCACATATTCTGGGATCCTTCAAGGGTGTCAAGGGTCTGTTGTACTTGTATTGCAAAGAGGAAAATATAATTACTTTGAAGGTCTTTTAGAGACAGTTTCCTGACCACTGGCAAACAGCAAAGCCAAAGGTAGATCCTTGTCCAATGTTCTTACCTGGTCATCATAGCGATAAGTGAGGAACTGCTCCCCTGTTGTGTCTTCCAGAAAACTTCCCTGAGGAGAAAGTGCAAACTCGGGAAGGAAATAGGCTCCAGGAGATTTCTCAGCTGTGGTCTGAAAAACAAGATCATTTGGTCACAAATAAGGCTCCAGTAAGGACCCCCTGACAGGTAAAGTCCAAGAAGGCCATTCCAGGAGAATCCACCATTAATAGCTGTACCAAGAAACAAAAAGGGAAGTGACCTCTCTTGGCAAAGACCAGGGTGAGGCACACCAGGTGTGTCAGGGCACTGTTAGGCCAGGATATCACAGTGGCCCGAATCAAACTGGCAGCCATGGCATTTATTCTCTGACACCTGCCTCTCTCCCCCTCCCCGCTACCTCTGCTCCCCATCTTCCAGCAATTCAGTCACAGAGTAGTTAACTTTGTCTTGTTGTTGCAAATCTATTGTTTTTAGGATTTTCTTTTCTTCTTCCTTTTGTGTTTTTTTTTTTTTTTGGCAAAGGAGTGAGAAACAAAAATTTTCTCCCATACTACAACAAAAATGCACTTCATTGTAGAAACTTTAGAACATATAAATGAGCACAGAAGAAAATAAAATCACCCATAATCTTTTCAACCTGTAATAACCACTGTTAATTGTTTTGGTGTATTTCCTTTGAGACTTTTTCTTCATAATGCTTTGTTTAAAAATCCAAGCTTAAATAAACATGCATATTGTAGACTGTGTTTAGTTCATGGAAAGCTCATACCCCAGTCCGTTTTCATGCTGCTGATAACTACATACCCGAGACTGGGAAGAAAAAGAGGTTTAATTGGACTTAGAGTTCCACGTGGCTGGGGAGGCCTCAGTATCATGGCAGGAGGTGAAAGGCACTTCCGACATGACGGCCACAAGAGAAAGTGAGAGGGATGCAAAAGCGGAAACCCCTGATAAAACCATCAGATCTCGTGAGACTTATTCACTATCACGAGAACAGTATGGGGGAAACTGTCCCTATGATTCAAATTATCTCCCACCGGGTCCCTCCCACAACACATGGGAATTATAGGAGTACAATTCAAGATGAGATTTGAGTGGGGACACAGAGCCAAACCATATCACTCCACCCCTGGCCCCTCCAAATCTCATGTCCTCACATTTCAAAACCAATCATGCCTTCCCAACAGTCCCCCAAAGTCTTAACTAATTTCAGCATTAACCAAAAAGTCCACAGTCCAAAGTCTCATTTGAGACAAGGCAAGTCACTTCTGCCTATAAGCCTGTAAATTCAAAAGCAAGCTAGTTACTTCCTAGATACAATGAGGGTATAGGTATTGGATAAACACAGCCATTCCAAATGGGAGAAATTGGCCAAAACAAAGGAGTTACAGGGCACATGCAAGTCCAAAATCTAGTGGGGCGGTCAAATTTTAAAGCTCCAAAATGATCTCCTTTCACTCCAGGTCTCATGTCCAGGTCACGCTGAGGCAAGAGGTGGGTTCTCATGGTCTTGGGCAACTCCACCCTTGTGGCTTTTCAGGGTATGGCCTCTCTCCCAGCTGTTTTCACAGGCAGGCGTTGAATGTCTGTGGCTCTTCGAGGAACATGGTCCAAGCTGTCAGTGGATCTACCATTCTGGGGTCTGGAGGACAGTAGCCCTCTTCTCACAGCTCCACTAGGCAGTGCCCCAGTAGGAACTCTGTATGGGGGCTCCGACCCCACATTTCCCTTCCGTACTGCTATTGCACAGGTTCTTCATGAGGGCCCCGCCCCTGCAGCAAACTTTTGCCTGGGCATCCAGGTGTTTCCATACAACCTCTGAAATCTGGGCAGAGGTTCCCAAACCTCAATTCTTGACTTCTGTTGCAGGCTCAACATCACAAGGAAGATGCCAAGACTTGGGGCTTCCACCCTCTGAAGCCACAGCCCGAGCTCTACATTGGCCCCTTTCAGCCATAGCTGGAGCAGCTGGGACACAGGGCACCAGGTCCCTAGGATGCACACAGCCAAGGGACCCAGGGCCCAGCCCGCAAAACCACTTTTTCCTCTTGGGCCTCCAGGCCTGTAATGGGAGGGGCTGCCATGAAGGTCTCTGACATGCCCTGGAGACATTTTCCCCATAGTTCTGGGAATTAGCATTAGGCTCCTTACTACTTATGGAAATTTCTGCAGCCAGCTTGAATTTTTCCCCAGAAAATGGGTTTTTCTTTTCTATTGCATAGTCAGGCTGCAAATTTTCTGAACTTTTATGTTCTGTTTCCCTTTTTAAACTGAATGCCTTTAACAGTATCCAAGTCATCTCTTGAATGCTTTGCTGCTTAGAAATTTCTTCCACCGGGTACCCTAAATCTTCTCTCTCAAGTTCAAAGTTCCACAAATCTCTAGGGCAGGGGCAAAATGCCACCAGTCTCTTTGCCAAAACATAACAAGAGTCACCTTTGCTCCAGTTCCCAAGAAGTTCCTCATCTCTATCTGAGACCACCTCAGCCTGGACCTTTTCATTCATATCATTATCAGCATTTTGGTAAAGGCAATCAACAAGTCTCTCCGGAGTTCCAAACTTTCCCACATTTTCCTGTCTTCTTCTGAGCCCTCCAAACTGTTCCAACCTCTGCTTGTTACCCAGTTCCAAAGTTGCTTCTACATTTTCAGGTATCTTTTCAGCAGCACCCGATTCCACTGGTGCCAATTTACTGAATTAGTCCAATTTCATGCTGCTGGTAATGACATACTCGAGACTGGGAAGAAAAAGAGGTTTAATTGGACTTACAGTTCGACATGGCTGGGGAGGCCTCAGAATCATGGCAGGAGGCAAAAGGCACTTCTTACATGATGGTGGCAAGAGAAAATGAAGGGATGCAAAGTGGAAACCATTGATAAAGCCATCAGATCTTGTGAGACTTATTCACTGCCATGAGAACAGTATGGGGGATACCTCCCCCATGATTCAAATTATCTCCCACCGGGTCTCTCCCACAGCATGTGGGAATTATGAGAGCACAATTGAAGATGAGATTTGGGTGGGGACACAGAATCAAACCATATTACCTGGCATCTGAATCACTGGACATAAATCACAATGGTTGGAGTCTGAGGGGGTCAGAAAGGACACCCTCTTTAGGGGAATATGGCTGGGATATGATGACCCAATGGACTTGCTACCATCACACTATCACCCACCTCCTGGGAGAGCCTGTCCAAGGGAAGACTGAGGAGGTAGAGGGTTTACCAGGATCACTGCCTTGATTGCTTCAAGGAGGAAAGTAATAAAGGAGATAGAATCTGCAGAGCTTAGCCCCATCCAGTCAAAAATACATGGATCTGTGACTATACCCCCGACTGGATACCTCACTCCCCCTGCTTGGGAAGAAATGAGTCAGAAATAAATTAAGAGGCCACAGGTGTTACTCTAAGAAAATTGCTCTCTGCAAACAGGAGAAGCAGGGAGTAAACATATTCCTCTGACACCTCTGCTGCTCCAATGGACTCATTCTCAAACTGCAGCAGGAACTATAGTTTACGCTAAAACGTCCCTCTGAATACTGTGTTTTAGAAAGGGAAATCAACATCATTCTGTCAAGGAATATAGAAGAGATAACTCCACTAGACTAGATGGCTTAGATAGCACTAGACTGTTAAAATAATTTGAAGACTTTCTTATTAAATTTCATTTATGTGAGAGATTTAGCACCACTATTGCTAATTGCTCTTACTGGCTTCAATCATCACTTTATTTTTTTTACTTTAATTTTTTTTAGACGGAGTCTTGCTCTGTCACCCAGGCTGGAATTGAGTGACGTGATTTCAGCTCACTGCACTCTCCGCCTCACAGGTTCAAGCAATTCTCCTGCCTCAGCCTTCCTAGTAGCTGGGATTACAAGTGCCCACCACCATGCCTGGATAATTTTTGTATTTTTAGTAGAGACGGGGTTTCACCATGTTGGCCAGGCTGGTCTCGAACACCTAATCTCAGGCGACCTGCCCGCCTTGGCCTCCCAAAGTGCTGGGATTACAGGCATGAGCCACCGCGCCCAGCCAGAATCATCATTTTAAATACCTAAAGAGACCTTAGAAGTCATCTAGGTCAAACTCCTTATTTTAAAAATGAGTAAACTATAGCTCTGAGAGTTAGGAGACTAACCAATCACCAAATCTGACAGTGACTATTCCTGGCACACAAAAAAAGAACAAGTGCAAAAGCCCTAAAATAGAAAGGAGGTCAGTGAGTTTGAGGAACAGACGCAGGCTTACAGCCAGGGCTGGAACCTGTTAGCAGCCATGTGCCAATACCTGGACAGATCCATTTACCAGAGTGGAAGCAGTCAAAGATCGCCACCTTAAAACAGCTTCCCGCATATAGTGGACCTTCCAGTGTGATGCTTATATTCAGTTGACCATGCATTCAACACATATTTATTGAGCACCTAATATATGCCTGGCACAGTTCTCAGTGCGATAGATACAATGAGGAACAAAAAAGATCAGGTTCCTATTTTCATGGAGGTTACATCCTAGAGGTGGAGATACATAGTAAAATAAGTAAACAAATACATAAATAAGAAAACTAACATTCTAAGTTCTAAAGGAAATAAACAAGGTGATATGAGAATAATGTTGGGAGAGGACTGTTCAATTTTAGATAAGATGGTCAAAAAAGGCATCCATGGGAAGATAAGATTTCAGATGATACCTCAAACAGGAGGAGCCAGTTATGGAAAAAGCTAAGGATGAGTATTACCGGCAAAAGAAGAGCAAGTACAAAAGCTCCAAAGTGGAAAGGAAGTCAGTGAATTGGAAGAACTAGAGTGTGGCTGAATTCAGTGCGGACAAGTAACAGTGGCACGAAATGGATAAAGAAGGAAGGGAAAAGCCACCCAAGACATTTAAAGCCTTATGGTAAGGAGACGGAGAACAATAGAAGAGTATTTAAACAACACTGACTGCTTTGTGGAGACTGAGCTAGAAGAAGGTAAAGTGGAATCACAAAGACTAGTTGGAAGGCTGTTGGTACTAACCCAGGTGAAAAGGGATGGTTCCTTGGACTGGGATGATGGCAGTAGAGAAGGGGAGAGGTGCATGGATTAGAAGTAGAACCAACAAAGCTTTCCGATGAGGGAGGAAAAGGGAGGAATCAAGGGTGACTTCTGGGTTTTTGGCTTGAGCAATGGCTGTAAAGGAATTGTAATGGATGGATAGCCCTGAGGCAGAAACTGATTTGTTGGTGAGGATAGAGTCAACAGTTCTGTTTGAGTCATGTTAAGTTGGAGGTGTCCATAAAACATCCATGTGAAGAGCTTGAGTTTGCCATTCAATATGCAAGTCCAGAGCTCAGAAAGGAAATCTGACGCTGGAGATAGGGATTTGGAAGTCATCACTTAACATTTTCATAATGTATGTATGTATGTATGTATATTTACATATATTTACAACCATTATACCAGAAAAGCCACTCCCTAGAGAAAGAGTTTGGCAGGCAAGAGGGCTTTGCCTGACACCCTCAATTCTAATATTTGAAATTAAGTAGAAGAGGAGGAGCAAGCAGAAGAGACTAAAAATGAACATCAATTAGAGTAGAATAAAAAGGAAAACACCCTATATTAGGTCATGGGAAGATTTAGCGTCAAACAGAATAGTCAAGTGTCTTGAATGCTGCTAAGAAACTGAGGAAGATGAGGCCAGAGAAGTATCCCTTGGATCTAGCAACAGGGAAGTCAACGTTGACTTTGACAAGGGTAGTTATGGTGCAGTTTTTCTTAGAAAAATTGGGCCTTCCCTTAGGAGAAATGGCTGAGTTCACACACGGCTTCAGAAAGCAAGCATCATACCAAACATGCGTTGGACATTTCCAGCCAGATGGAAGTTGACTTCCTAAATGTCAGGAAGACTCAGTGGCATGTGGCCCTCACAGGATGGGGTGACCAAAGGGGTCAGGGCCCTTAAGTAGCAAAAGTTGGAGGGAAAGCAGGAGGAACAAGCCTGGATCAGGAAGTGTGCGATCTTCCCAGGGCACTGAGCCAGGCCTAGGAGAGAAGCTGCCAAAATGCATCATCTCCACCAGCCACTGTCCACAGCTGCTGAGTCACCAGGGACAAGGTCAGGAGGAATCCAGACAGCACCTCCAGGGACTATGAATATGAGACGTGGGGATACAGCTGTGTCTCCACATCCCCATCCAGCTGAAGGATTTGACTTGAGCAGGAGGAAGTGTATATGGGATGGCTAGTCAAGGACAAGAGTTGAGCATTCTAGACCTTGATCTACACATTGTAAAGGGTCAAGAATAACTATGAAAGCTGGGTGAAAGTTCTGCTTGATTGTGATATTATGATATAATAGAAATATATATGTGGCCTCTGACTAAGGTTCTTGACATAGAGCTCCTAAAATCCTTGTAATTTTGTGAGCAATAGGGGCCATAGGAGAATCTTTTGTTCTACTATTTGGTCTTTGACTGCAGTTCCTGACACAGAGCTCCTAAGGCTTTGTGATTTCCTGAGTGACAGGGGCATCTGACTCAGCCCCTAAATTCCTTGGAATTTCCTGGGTGCTAGAAGCATCTTTTGTTCTAATGAGGTTACTCTTGGTGGACCCCTGGATAGCCTCAGGATGGGGGCTGGTTGCCAGGGGAACCAATCAAGTGATTAGAGGGTTGGAACTTTCAGTCCTCACCCCCAACCTCTGGTGAAGGGAGAGGTGCTGAAAGTTGAGCTGATACTAATGGCCAATGAGGTCATCAACCATGCCTGGGTAATGAAGCCTCCATGAAAACTCAGAAGGATTGGGTTCAGGGAGTTTCTGAGTTGGTGAACATATCTGTGTGCCTGGAGGTGGCACACCCCAACTCCTGCACTTGGGACCTCCTTCCAGACCTCACCCTACGTATCTCTTCATCTGGGCATTCATCTTTATCCTTTATTCTATCCCTTTATAAGCTAGAAGATGTAAGTAAAGTGTTTCATTTAGCTCTCCAAGCTGCTCTGGCAAATTAGTCAAAGCCAAGGAGAGGCTCAATTTATAGCCTGTTTGTCAGAAGTATAAGTGATAACCTATACTCAACCTACTGCTTGAGATTGGCGTGTGAAGGGCAGTCTTGTGGGATGGAGCCCTTAACCTGTGGGGTCTGATACTATCTCTAGGTAGATAGTCTCAGAATTGAATTGAAATAGAGGATACCCAGTGGTGTCCAGTGAATAGCTTGCTGTGTGCAGAAATACCTCCACACAAGTGCTGTGTTGAGTGGAAAATGGACAGTATGAAAAAGCACTTTAGTGTTTTGTTTTTTCCTATTTCTCAGATTGATGTAATGGGAAGAGAGAGAAGCAGGGGAGAAGAGGGTATTCCTAGATTCAAGAGCAGAATCCAGTGTGCCTCAAAAGTTAAGCAGTCACCAGTTAAAACAAACACAATGTGATTCCCATTGCAATTAAACAAGCCAGTCTGAACACTTCTCCTAACCTGGTGTGAGCTCTCACACCCATCTCTCTCCAGAGCACAAACACAGCCAAATATCACACCGCTAACGTCTACAGAACCTCGGTCAGTGAAGGGACCTAGCCTTTCTCCCACATGCCATTGCTAAGCCATGTCACTGCACTCTGGATTGAGAACCCAACTGCACGCTTTCCTGCCATTCACTTTCTCTTTAGATTTGGCATCTCAAGACTGTTTTAGATCTGGACTCCATTTATCAGGATATGCAGCACTCTCCCCCTGCTTCACGTCAGCCCAAATTTGTGGGGCATGCTCACAATCTGCCTCCTTGTCACTGCTACAAACACTGAACAGGAATAGGGCTGAGGCCTGAGCCCTCTACCTATCCAGGCTGATGGCAAATTTGCCCAATTATAGTTCCTCATTTGACATGTCGTCATCTTGGCCACTAAGGATTCAAGGAATACACTCTCAGACGCTTCAAATCTACACTGACAGACGACACAAGAAGGTAAGATGCTAGATGGAAGAACTGAGATTCCAACAGATTTTAACAGGTTGGGCAAAGGCTAAATGCCAAGAAGGCAAAGCCCTGAGCCATTATTGCTGGACTCTTCCCATGACACCAGCGCTTAGCCAGACACCATGTAAGGTCACTGTCAGGAATATTAATGCATAGGTAGGCCTATCTCTATTAACAGCAACCAAAGCAGGGCGTGGTGACTCATGCCTGTAATCCCAGCACTTAGGGAAGCCGAGGCAGGAGGATCACTTGAGTCCAGGAGGTCAAGGCCGCACTGCAGTGAGCGGTGATCATGTCACCACACTCCAGCCTGGGTGACAAACCAAGATCGGCCAGGAAGACTTTAGTATTTGAATGGGAAGTTAGGATCACTCCTACAAGTGAAAGGTCCCTTTAAATGTCAATATTCCATGAGTCAGGAAGCGTATCTTCCAGGCAAATCAGGCAGAATCCCCAGGCTCAACGCCAGCCACAGTCTGCAAGGGATACATTCTCTGTATTCCTCTGGGGCCTCAGGGGCTATTCCCCCTGGCCTGGATGGCACATGGGACTTTACAGTTTGTAGCTTCCAAGGCCCATGAGGGAAAGTCAAGTTAACCAGCAGTACTTAAACTCAGTGCACCCAACACATTTTTCTTCAAAAAAAAACCATGATGTACATTTGGTTCCTTGAACCTGAAACAAAAGTTAAAAAATAAACCTTCCAGATCATTTTGGTTTTTCAAGTAGAATGCGGTCATTATGAGACTTTTCAGTCTTAAGTGTCCAAAACCTTCCTGATGAAATATAAAATACATTTACTTTGGCAGGATTGGAAGGGAGGGTTTAAAAGAAAAGGACTTTTCACATTTTTTTCCAAGATAAAAAAAATTATTTCCAGGGATTTAAGATTCTTTTTCTCTATTTACCATCAATTAATTATATGTTCTTCTAATATTGTTCATTTAAAAGACCTAACATTTGAATAAAGTCTGGATACACCTCAGCCAAAATACCATGTAGTTTTGAACTTCAGCTTCACTCTGGGTCACATTTTCAAAAGAAATATGAGCCCCGGGCCCTTCTCCTCCCCTCCTAGGTCAGTGAGGTGGGCAGGGCCTTGCGAGTGCTTCCCTTACTCAGAATGAGCTGTTTACATGGACAGGCTCCTTCCCGGAGTTTAAATCTATCACAGGAAGAATCTCTTTAGCAAACTGGAATTTTCATAGCACCACTCCTCCTTCTGCCACAAAACATGCATTTTCTCTGGAATTTTCTCTCTCCCTCTCTCTCCTTCCCTCCCCTTCTCAAAGACCCCACCACCACACACACACACACACACACACACACACACACATTACACACACACACACACACCACAAACGTATCATGCACATATCATGCACATCACATGCTACATACATACACACACACATACCTACACCACAAATATACCCCCACACACACACACCACACATGCACACATACCACACACACACCCCACACACTACATACATGCACACGCCACAAATACTCCAAATACATATACACCACATAGCACACACACTGACTCCCACATCCCTAGTTAGCATTGGCAAGCAGGGCCCAGATTAATCAGTGAAAAGATCTTGCTAGAACACATTTCACCTTTCAGTTCCCCAAAAGGAGAAAACCTAAACATGGAGTTGTATGACTTCTCTACATATCTGAACGTTCTTTAGTGCTCAGCACTGGGCTTTATACATGGAAGACCTTCAGTAACTAACATCTTTTGTAGGAAAGCCAGCCCAGGTTGACCCTCTCCCCGCAGAGCCTGCATGCCTGCTGTCTGAATATTCTCTGCACCACAGAAGGCCCAAAGGCTCTGGCTGAGTAGCATGCTGGCATTTCACAAGGGGTTATTTAAAAACTCAACTATTCCTCCGAATGGGGAGCGGAAAGAAAGCCTTGCCCTGCCAATATACACAATGCAGATCCTCTTTCCCTAGAGCCCGCCCCCCAAAAATTTTACTTAAGAGTCCATTTTTCAAGACCTTGAAGTAAGCTGACCTATTGGAAACAGCCTCAATTAGCAAAATGTCACATGGAAATAAGTCTACTTTAAAGTTCCCCAGGAAAAAAACTGAAAATAGTATTCTATGAACAGGGCTCCATTGCTAGAGAAAAAAACGAGGTGTTTGTCTCAAATCTTGATAAATTGTAAACTCCCTACCTCACTCTCCGCCAGCCTCCCCCTCCTCCTGGTCTAGCCACTCGGTGAGGGGTGACACCGTTCCGTTCCCACCAAAGCACCCAGGAGAGAGAGAATGCTGGTTATTTGTTATCCGAGGGGCATGAGTCACTGTTGGTGAGAGTAAGTGCTGTTTGTGAGAGCTACCAGAAAAAGTGCGGTGCAGAAGGGAGGTGTTTTCTGGTGGATCTTGGTCTTTCCCAAAAATCGCTTCCACGCCCTGACAGGAATTCCGTGTTGAAGAAGAACATGCTCTCAGGGCCCCATCTAGGCAGTGGAATCTGCACTTTGATCCTCCAGTGAAGCATGTATTTTCCCACAGCCTCTTCACCACTAACACTCATCATTATCTCTCTGGCAGAGAAAAGGCATCTTTGTCTTTTAAATTAAGTACAAATAAATATTTTATTTTACCCAAATGGTTGCGGGGGGAGAATCTCAAAAGAATGGAGTGTTAGGTTAATTCTTGGGGTTCACAGGACCCATTCAATCACTCAGCATATGTTTATTAAGCACCTACTATGTGCCAAGTACTATTTTTGCTACTGAGAGTTCAACAGTCAACAAAACAGACAAGAATCACTTTTCCCAAGGAGCTCATATTCTAACTTGGGGAAGCAGAAATAAACATAATAGAGAAGTAAATTGTATACTATGTCATATGGGAAAAGGAAATCCAAAGTGCTGGGAGATGGGGTATAAATTGCAGCTTTAAATAGAGTGTTCAGGGCAGACCAGAGTAGGTCTAGGTTCCTTAAAGAATCACTTTTTTTTTCTGATTATCTAAACTGACAAGTTGGATCTTGCCATCTTCCTTGGAGATTTCAAAGGGTCTATACTCTCTAGGAACCTGGCTGGGACCTGCAGGACGCTGGAGTCCATCTGCCTCTACCCAAGGCAGTAGAGTGACCCTTTCCTCCTTGGTCCAAGTACTCTGCCTCCACAGCCCTCCAGCTCCAGCCTGGCCAGGCCCGAGCATGGCTGCTCCCCAAGCACCTCCTGCCTCCTGGACCAGTGGGGGCCTCTGCCATCCTGCTGTCCCTGGCTGTTCTCCTGGCCATGCTTCTGCCCAGTGAGACATAGCCCAACAATGCTCACACCTTATAACACCAGTGCAACCGACATATGCAGAAAACATCCATGTCAACAACTGATTAATTATGCAGACATGACGTTCTTGTTGCCAACCTCAGAGACCATTACTGAGTATCAGACAAATCTGTGTATATTCTCACGCATGCATTTGTGTTAATTCAGTAGCAAAAAAAATAAAAAAGAAGAAAGAAAGAAAAAAAAAGCATTACCAGCTCTTCCCAATTTGGCAATGAGACACCTCCCAACCTGACAAAGTCCAGAAACACGTCGGGGACACATTCATGTTTATTCAAGGTCTTTCTCACCCCTACAGCTTTATTTCTTTCAGGAAACAGCTCGTCTGTGTGGCTGAAATCATGCAGGCTTTCAAAATGCAGCCTTCCAAGAGAAGAAAAAGACAGAAATGTGCTTTTTGCACATACTCCGAAAAACGTTTATATTCATCTTAAGCTGGTTTGTTTTTCTAAGCTTTTCAGGGCAGGAAGTGTTCAGTGTGAACACATCAGTGGAGCTGCCAGATTTGCTGTTTGGATGCTCATGGCTTTCAAAATTCTTTTTTTTTTTTTTTTTTTTTTGAGATGGAGTCTCGCTCTGTCGCCCAGGCTGGAGTGCAGTGGCGCGATCTCAGCTCACTGCAAACTCTGCCTCTCAGGTTCATGACATTCTCCTGCCTCAGCCTCCCCAGTAGCTGGGGCTACAGGTGCCCGCCGCCACACCCAGCTAATTTTTTGTATTTTTCAGTAGAGACAGGGTTTCACGGTGTTAGCCAGGATGGTCTCGATCTCCTGACCTCGTGATCCGCCCACCTCGGCCTCCCAAAGTGCTGGGATTATAGGTGTGAGCCACCGTGCCCAGCCTCAAAACTCTTAAACAAGCAAGACGATAGGAAGACAGAGATTTAGAGTCAGGGTGTCTTTGTTCAATGTATATAAAATGGCATCACTCTCATTTCTATAAACCACAAAAAAAAAATCCTTGGGGGTTAGCAGAACATATTAAAGACTTCTTAAAAACAAAAGGTGATGTTTTTATAATATTAAGATGCTAACATCAACCCCTGCAATACAATGGTAACAAAGCCATATTGGAGTCATAAATCAGCAGGAAAAAAAAAACTGTTACAAACATACTATCTTTTGTTAAAAGAAAAAAAAAAGAAGAAGGCAAACTACAGTCTATGATCCAAGCAGTGTGTTGGGTGCAATACAGGTTTCTGACTTTAAGTTGGCATATTTTAAGGTATACTTTAAATTTCTTAATATATGGAATTATGAATACTTTTCTTTTGGTTGCTTAAAACATCATCATACCATTCTATATTTATTTGACATTAAAATGTCACTTGGACGCTGGGCGCCGTGGTTCACACCTGTAATCCCAGCACTTTGGGAGGCCAAAGCGGGCAGATCACTTGAGGTCAGGAGTTCGAGACCAGCATGACCAACGTGGTGAAACCCGTCTCTACTAAAAATACAAAAATTAGCTGGGCATGGTGGCAGGCGCCTGTAATCCCAGCTACTCGGGAGGCTGAGGCAGGAGAATCACTTGAACCTGGGAGGTGGAGGTTGCAATGAGCCAAGATCGCACCATTGCACTCCAGCCTAGGCAATAATGAAACTCCATCTCAAAATAAATAAATAAACGAAGAAAAGAAAATGTAACTTGGTTTTGGGTTTGAATAAACATTGGACTCATTAGTAGTAGATATTTGGAAAATCACACAAACTAGACAAACTTGGAGACACTGGACATCTGTTATAATATATTGGTGATGGCTGCTCAAATTTCAAAAGGGAGCCAGGCTTGCAGTTGGGAGCCCAAGCGCCCAACCCACCTCTGCAAGAAAGTGACCATATGGCTCCTGACACGACCTTTCAGGTCTCCAGGTCTTACTCTCCACACTGCTAAAGGTGGGCAACATGTGTTAGATGAACTCCAAAATTCTCCACAGCGGAAGGAAAGCCAGGCAGGAGGATGAAGGTGCAGTAATTTTGTCTCTCTACTGTATATTTCTTAATTACCAAAGTAATACCATTGATGTGAATTTAGAAAAAAAGTTCCCTGAGGAGAAAAATACCCAGCAGTCAAAAAATAAAACTCTGGTATCCTTTGTCATGAGAATCATTGCATTTTCTTAAATCAAAAGGAGGCGCAGGAGAGAAAAACTGCACAGTGCCCCTTCACCGACTCAAAGAGCCCTCAGATAGAGCCACACTCAGCTCAGTGATAAAAGGAAAATGTAGAATAACCTCACGATAAAAGAATCAACATTGAACCCTAGCTTATTTCTTCACCCCACTGCTACTGGTGAGAGGAGGCAGCTTGCATATTTTGACAAGGCATATTTGTGCTCCCAAGGCTTCAGTTTCCTAAAATAATGTATGTGATAGTGTTCTTTAAACTGTAAGAAGCTGTACAAATGTATGATATTACGATTGTTGTAATCACAAAGTTCTAAAGGCAAGGTTTTAATGTAAGCCTTAGTACTACTGTACAAGCATGCGTCTTGTCTGGTGCTAGCCATGAGAGACGGAACAAGACACTCCATGCTCCCATGGAACTCACTGTCTGGGATTGGGTGTGGAATGAGAAACAGACAAGCAAATAGGCAATTCTGAAGCTATGTGACAAGGACTATCCAAGACAGGGAAGAACAGAGTGCTAGGGGGGCACAGGAGCGTAAGTGTCACACATGGCATTACAGAGGCAATGACCACAAAGCTGAGATGTAAAGAACAAGTAGGAATTAGCCAGAAAAATGGAGAGGACAGAGGAACAGATCTTCTAGAACAACAGGGGCATAATGAACAACACAGGCAAGGACAGGAGACGGGGGGCAACAGTCCAAGTTGCATGAACGGTGTGTAGCTCTGCAGAGCTGGATTTCAGAATGTGGGGGAAGTTGGGAGAAGAGAAGTTGGAGAGGTAGGCATGGGCTGGATCCTGAAGGGGCTCTGGAAGGCAGACCATGAAGTCCGTGTTCATCCTGAGGAAGCACTGGAGAGATATTAAGTAGAGAAGTGAAATTATTATTATGAAGAATGGATGGGAGGGTAAGTGATACAGAAGGCAGGGAAACTAGTGAGGCCGCTGTAACATTCCAGGAGACAAATGATGGGGCAATGAGGATTGAGAGGAAAATGAACCAGAACAAAATAACATATCTCAGAACTCAAGAAAAAATTATCCTAATATATTTGAAATATTGGGACAAGTGGCAAAGTTTCAGACAAACTATGTAATTAACCAAAACTGACTCCAAATAGAAGAGGAAAATCTCAATAGTCCTTTAACCAATAAAGAAATGGAATCCGTTTTTTACATTCTTTCCATAAAGAAAACAATACAACCACAAGGTTTTACAGGTGTGCCCTACAAAACATGTGTGCTCTACACAACATTCAAAGTATAAATAATTCTCATCTTTAAAAAAAAGAAAACTCTTTCAAAGAATAGTAAAAGAAAGGAACACCCAATAATTCATCTTATGAGTTTATTATGCTCTTGAAAACAAAACCAAATAAGAATAATAAAAGAAAAAAATCACATATCAGTCTCACTCTAAAATGAAGGCAGATTTCTAAATAAAAGACAAAATAAATCTAACATTTTACAAAAATAAACCATCAACAGTAGAATGAATCAATAAATCGTGGTGTATTTATACACTGGAATACAATAAAGCAGTAAAAATGAGTGAGCTCAGCTTCACAGGTCAACAGAGATGAAATTTAAAACTACAATACTGAGCAGAATAAGGCAAGGTATGATTCCATTTGTATAAAATCCAAAACAGTGACAGCAAAAAATGATATATTATTTAGGGATACATACTCAAATGGTAAACTATAAAGATAAGGAAGTATAAAAACTAAATTCACCTTTGCTGTGCATACATCTGAGCAGAGAGTAGGAGAGAGTAAGGAAAAGTCATACAAGAAGCTTCACAGGTATTGATACTGTTCCATTTCCTAAGCTCCACGGTAGGTACCTACATGTTCACTATGTCATTATTACTGAGCCATCTTACGTATTATTGTGCAGTTGGGCACTACACAAATTTATATGGCCATCTTCCTTTAAATATCACGTTATATGAATTCTTTTGTATATACATTTTATAATAAAATAAGTTTTAGGCCAGGTGCAGTGGCTCACACCTGTAATCCCAACATCTTGGGAGGCCAAGACGGGTGGATCACTTGAGCCCAGGAGTTCGAGACCAGCCTGGGCAACATGGTGAAACTCCGTCTCTACAAAAAATGCAAAAACAAAAACAAAAAAATTAGCCTGCTGTGGTGGCACACACCTGTAGTCCCAGCTACCTGGGAGGCTGAGATGGGAGGATCACCTGAGCCCAGGAGGTGGAAGCTGCAGTGAGCCAAGATCATGCCACTACACTCTAGCCTGGCGACAGAGCAAGACCTTGTCTCAAAAAAAATTAATTTTGTTTTAAATCAGGCATGTGTGTGTGTGTATGTGTGTGTGTGTGTGTGTGTGTGTGTATATATATGCATGTGTATACTTAACACTAGATAGTTTTTTTTGTATCAATGAGAAAGTGGTGAATTATTTAATAAATTCTTCAGCTCAATAGATAAATAAGGAGGAAAATGAGTAAACACAGATCCTCCCTCAATGCACCTAAAACAATTCCATAGGAATAAAAGAACGTAAAGGTTAAAAATATACAAATAAATATAATTTCACTATTTTCTAGAATTAAGAATTGCAAAAAAAAAAGAGTCTGTTATCAATCAGATTGTTTTCCCATTATGAGTTACTTTTCTTTCATCTGGAGTTTTTGAACATATTTGTAACAGCTGATCTAAAGTATCTGTCTAATATGTCCAACATCTGGCTTCCTAAAAGACAGTTTTTATTAACGGCTTTCTTTTCATGTTATGGGCCACACTTTGCTGTTTCATTGTGTGCCTCATAACGTTTGGTTGAAAACTAGAGAGTTTAAATAATATAATGTGGCAACTCCAGAAATCTTTTCATCTTCCTCCTTAGAAGTTAGAAATTTTACAGATTAAGTATATGTCTCAGTATGCGTCTTTTCTCATCAGTCCTGACTGTAAGCCAGAGAGTGCACCCTTTGAGATACAAGTCTTCCTTCATTCAAGGAAACTTTCTAACAGTTGTTTCATTATTGCCCCTTCTCCATCCATTCCTTTCCTCCTGCTGCTTCTATTGTTTGAACGTTAAGGCTTCTAAAACTGTTCTCCAAGTCTCTTAGCTTTTCCCTCATGCTTTACACTTTGTGGTTTTCCACTGTGTTAGATGGTATTTCCTCCACTTGGCTTTCCTTCAACTCATCCACTGAATTTTTGCTTGGAAAATCTCATTTGATTTTTAGTTTAAAAAACTGGTGTTGGGCTGTAGTGGAATCTCCTTACATACTCTTAGTTGGTGGCTGTTCCAGTTTTCCTCCATCCCCGCCATCAGTACTGTTTCAATAAGAGCCATCTGTTCTGGATATATGGCCTGTTATTCCTCCTTCTGGCTGCTAGGCCCCCTAGGTGTGCTGCTTTCATATTCTTTCACATACACAATCTAAGAAGTAATATTGAAGGATATTTTGAAATCATATGTAGCTTATCAGTATGTTAACGGGGAGGGGGAAGCTGTAGGCTATGTAAAGATTAAACTCTACATTGGTTATCTCCTTGCAAGCAAAAGAGGACAGAGGATGTAACAGCTAGCTGTGGTCTGAGTGATGGAAGGAACAAGATAGGGCAAGATATACTGATCCCACCTTTTCCCAGGAAGTCCTAAGAGCTGCACTGTTCAGTAGAGTAGCCAGTAGACACACGTGGCTATCATACATTCTAAATGCAGCTAGTCTGAATTGAGATGGGCTGAAAATGTAAAATAAGTACTTGATTTCAAAAGACTTAGTAGGACAAAAAGTAATGTAAAATATCTCATTTAGGATTTTCATACTGATTACATGTTGAAATAATATTTGGATATATTAAGTTAAATGAAATATGTTACTAAAATTAATTTTCACTTGATACTTTCAACTTAATTTAATTTTATTTTATTTTAGAGATAGAGTTTCACTCTGCGGCCCAGGCTGAAGTGCAGTGGTACAATCATAGCTCACTGCAACTTCAAACTCCTGGGCTCAAGGGACTCCCCCACCTCAGCCTCCTAAGTAGCCAGGACAACAGGACCTCCACTATGCCAGCTAACTGTTTGTTTGTTTGTTTGTTTGTTTGTTTGTAGAGACAGGGTCCTGCTGTGTTGCCCAGACTCATCTCGAACTCCTCAACTCAAGTAGTCCTCCTACCTCAGCCCCTCAAAGCACTGGAATTACAGGTGTGAGCCACTGAACCCACCCCTTTTAGCTTATTTTAATACAGCTACTAGAAAATGTACAGTTATATATGTGGCTTGCATTACATTTTTATGGAACAGTGCTGCTATATAAGATCCTGGAGTAGTTCTTACTTCCCTAAAAGTTCTGAGGAGAAGGAAAGGCACTGATTTAAGTCAGGCAAGTGTTTCCAATACATTTTACTCACCAAGATGCAGTCTTTGGTTCAAGACTAAGGAGATGATACCTAAAGGGGCTTCACAAAGGAATAATCAAGACCTCGTGGCATTGCAGACTCCATACCTAAGAAGGGCTCCCACCCACACATCAATTATTAGCTCTGCCACCAACCTCAAACCACTGTGAAAAGACCTAACTGCAAGAACACCACATAGAAGAATCCCACAATGAAACTGAACAACTAAATCATTTGATTCCTGAGCAGGAAGCCATAAAACAGCACAAATGTTCTAACTGCAATGTTGTGCATAATCCAAGACATGAAGTTTCTTCCATTTCTTCCATTTTTAGCAGCTGCAACTCAAGCATAATTCAAAGTGTGACTATATCTATTTCTGACACTTGGATGATATCTCATCATTACCACAAATCTGTTTGTCCCCTCCCATAGCAAGTCGCTGCCCACAGTAAAACACTGACCGATATGATTGGTTGTGTTCAGGAGTAAGTGAAATGCAAATGAATCACAAAGTTGCTTGTGAGAAAACCGGTCTATACCCTTCTTTAAAAACAGCTCAGTTTTGATGAAAAGCGTCTTTAAGTGTTCAGAAGGAAAAATGGTGTAGCTGCTTGCCTGCATCTACTCAGAGGTCTGTGACAGGTTGTAAAAGAGAGGCGTCTGCTACTTGGCTTAGGGCAGAAACCCAGGCTGTGGAGAAGAGGCCAGACCAGGAGAAGGAGGAGGGAGGACGAGCTAGCTGCCAGCAAGAGGCTGGAAAGAGCCCATTGCGGGGTTTCTCTACGTACCGGGGGAAGTCACAGGGAAAGGCAGTTTCATATTCCTGGGGCCTCACTTTCATTTTGCTGTCCTCAGGGAAGATAAAAGAGAAAGAAGAAACAGCTACCTTATTAAATGACTATGACATGCCAGGCATCTACTAGATGCTTGGCATAGTTTATCTAAATTAATCTCACATCAACCCTGCACAAGGAAGTTAGTATCATCTCCGTTTGAGAAAGAGGGAAAGAAATGAGGTTCTGGAGGTAAAGAGAGCTGTCTAATATAACAGTTAGAATGTGGCACAGCCCATTGGAAAACTCATTCATTTCCTCTTCCCAGAGCCATACAGGATATAAAATAATTTTCCTTTGGGCGAAAAACAAATGAAGTTAAACATTTAGAAGAAAATATAAGAGGAAATCTTTGTGGCATCAAAGTAAGAAGGGATTTCTTTAAAAAGACACACAAAAAGGCAAACTATAAGAGACAAGATCAGTAATCATCCTTCCATTCACTGATTCAACAAATATTTCTGAACATCTGACAGTTGTCACACACTGCCCCAGGCACCTAGGATACATCACTGAACAAAAGAGACCAAAAGCCCTGCTGTCCAAGAGCTTATATTTCTAGAGAGAAACTACAATAAATACAAATAAACATTTTTGTTCACCATTAAAGATAAAAAAAACAGGCCAAAGACTGAGAAAAGGTATATAACCAACAAAGAATTTGTATCCAGAATACATAAATGATGTGTACAAATAAACTAAAAGAAGGAAAAAACAAAAACAAAAAAACCCTTAAGGGCAAAAGAATAAGCAATTCGCAGAAGTAGAAAGGCAAACGCCAGTAAACATGAAAAGATGGGTATTTCACTAGTAATCAGGGCAATATAAATTATAATACTGAAGAGATACCATTTTATAACCATGAACTGGCAAAAAAGAAAAAGCCCGACAATATCAAGTACTGAAGATAATATGGTACAACTAGGATTCTTAATTGTTCAGTTAAACTATACATTGTTGCCATATTTTACCTAATAATTTTTCCAAAAGCTAGTAAACCTCAAGATGGGTGTATCATTTCCCCCAGCAATTCCACTCCTAGGTATAGACCTTAGAAAAATGAACATATATAAAGAAGATATATAGAATTGTTTGTAAAAAACAAAATTGAAAACAACTAAATGTACAACAGGAGAATAAATAAAGAATTCTGATGTCTTCATACAGTGAGATACTACACAACAGTGAAAATAAATGAATTAAAACTATATTTAACAACATGAATAATCTCACTAACATAATGCCCAGTAATTGAAGCACGTTACAGAATACTCACAGTATAATTGTCTTATATAAAGTGGGTTTTTTGGTTGTTTTTTTTCCCTAGAGATGGGGTCTTGCTATGTTACCCAGGCTGGAGTGCAGTGGCTATTCACAGGCACAACTATAGCACACTACAGCCTCAAACTCCTGGCCTCAAGTGATCCTCCTCCCTCAGACTCCCAAGTGGCTGGAACTTCAAGTCCTAGCCATTTATATAAAGTTTTAAAAGTACAAAATAACAATGTATATTTTGTTTAGAAATATGTAGCAAAAGTATAAAGAACAGGAAAGAAATTATAAACTTAAAATTCAGAATGGTCATTTCCTCTGAAGACAAAAGGGAGAGGAAAAGGAAAATGTGGCTAGGGTTTTGTGTTGACAAAGTTTTATTTTGCAAACTGGGAAGTGGTAAATGTGTGTGTCTGTATTATTTATTTAATCCATTTAATTATTAACAAACTAAGCAGAAATCTCCAAAAACTTATAATATCTATGAGACATAAGCAAGGATGCTGACAAGATAAATTAATGTTATCCTTGATAGGTTGTAAACAAGTAATCTTTGCTTCAGGTTTCAAATCTACTATGAAGCTCTAAGGTTGGAATACCAACGTGAAGTTTTTAGCCGGGGACATATGTATGGCCTAAAATACTATTATGCAAGGGAGAAAACATAAATGTTTTTACTAAAAGCAGAATGAGAAAACAAAAACAAAATGATTAAGTGTCAGGCTGTCAAAGCCTAAGCCAGATCTTTAAGATGTCTTAGGGAAAAACACAGCTGTATGAGAAAACAATAGCAGCTCCTATATGAGAAGCTCAGGTGTTGAAAGTATGAGACAAGTGTGGAAAGGGCCATGGAATGGAGCGCTACTGACCTTAGAGACTGAGGGTGTGAAGGAGGCGCCGGGTACAGTACTGGATGGACAGGGACTCCAGATGCAACAAGGCTGCCAGGAACTGTTTTCTGCTACTTAGGTCCTGTTGCCTACTTACCTCCTCAATTTGACGTGGACTTCTTCCAGACAGATACCATATGCTCAAATGAGTCTTCATTATGTCCCAGGATCTGCTCTAGATTGTGTGAGGGGCCCAAAGGTAAAATAGACATAGACCTCAAGGAATGGGGAAGAAAAGTCAAATGGGAAGTCCAACGAAGGAGAAAAGACATGTGTAGAAATAATTACATGATGGGATACAAAAACGGGGAGATGTATGCCAGTGGGAGGATTGGGAAAGACTTTGTGGATGTCTTGAGTGTTGAAGGATAGCTAGGATTAACAATAGAGGAGCAGGGAGGAAGGACTGAGAGGAGGGGAAAATAAGAAGAGGAAAGCATGGAGCAGTGCAAGTTCAGTTTGACTACAGCCTGAATACACAATTGGCCACACTATTTGGAGGAAACAACAAGCCACATGCAAGGGTAAAGTAAAAACTCAGTAATACCTATCTTCATGGCTGCACACAGAAGGTCTGAGCAAGTATCAACCATCTTTCATTCTCCCCACTAATGCTGGTTTCATCTTGGCTCAAAGGAATGACCAGTTTTGTTGAGCCAATGCCTTAAATTGAATTTGTGGCCAAAGTCCAAATATTTCCAAGTGAATTTCCTTGTACTCTTAAACCTCTGAAAAACATCAGGCAAGCTTTGATGGCCTGCCTGGGATGTCTTTCTCACCACTAGGCAGTTTAGTCCACCAGACAATAGGCTGGGTAATCACCCAGGGAGAAAAGTTAATGGGAGGCAAATCAGAATAGAGTCACATTTCTTTACGAGTTATAAACAACACATTTTTGTAACTGAAGAAATAAACATAGCTCACTTCTAAGAAAGCAAACATTTGTAGGAAAGTCATTAGATGACATCTGCTCTCTAATGGAAAATTTAAGGAAAACAGTGTGATTCAGGCCAAGCCAAGGGAAACACCAATTAGTATTATTTAGACTACGGCACTATCATGCTTCCTTGTACAATAAACAAACACTGAATCTCCTTACCCTTTAACACCAATGTTCTCCCATGAGACACCAACTTAGTTCCTCTTCCAATATACTAGTCATCAATCTACTCAGCCATTTGTGCCAACAGCAAGGACGAGTGACATTGGTAGGCTCTTCTGGAAGACCTAACATATCTCAGAGAAAAAGGATAAAAAGACATGGAATAGAAGAATGGGATGGTGAAAGAGTGACATACGACAGAGAAAGAGCAAAGGTAAATGCATCTAAGGTAGTGTGACAAGTAGAGTCCCCTACCTGCTACCTTCTGGTCTGGATACCACAGGTTTTCCAGAACAAGACATCTGGTGAGCTATAGGTGTAGATCTGCTATTAGTTCTGACCCTCACTTGTCCTGTGAACCTTGGGCAGGTCTGTCTCAGGCTCCATGATCTCTGATGCTCTCTTTATCCCATCCCTGAGTCTCTAAATCAACTGGCCAACCATAAATTATGCCAGAGAGAATACAGAGAAGCCTGCTACATACAGCCAAGAGCCCTCTCCCAGGGTCACAGAGTCAAGATGCCAGCATTCAGGTAACTAAGATACCCAAGCGTCTCTAGCCAGAAATTGTCCAAAACAACTGAAGAAAAACAGAACAAGAGAATATCAAAAATAGTTCTGAAATTGGAAACAATGCCAACTATACAACACAAATTTTAAGGTGTTTTTGCTAGATCAAGTACAGGTAGGATCAAATAAAAAAAGAAGTCACTAAGGACAGATTTTTAAATGTCCATTCTTAGGAAAAGAGGAGCAATGTTATGGGGAGTAAATAAATAAAATTCTAGAAGTATCCTTGATATGGAGGGTTAGCAGCTGAAGACCATGACAGGGCACAGGGGAGACGGGAACACCTTCACTTGAGGTCTCTCTCTTTCTCTTACCATGCACCGACAGCAGTTAGGGAAATTGGGAAAGCAAGTCGACCACATCCAATGTGAGTCTGTAGTTAGGGCTGTCCATGACCCCAGCTTCCACAGCCAGCCCTTTTAGAGTGCTATTCAAACTATTTAATCCACAGGCACTAACCAATCAGAGAAATGTCAACCAGAACTATTGATATGTCTAGGCTGGCAAATATTTGCCTAACATTAATCCCGAATCCATTCTTGATCACCTTAAAGATGAATTTCTAGGGCACAAAAGCAAACAACGGTGGATCTATGGTAGCCATTAGTGCTTCTCACTAAATATTTTCAGTTCTCCTCCTGGGTCCATGATAGAAGTGCACGACCCCATCCCTTTGAAGTTAAGTATGTCCACATGACTTATTTTAACTAACAAAATATAAATGACGTGTCACCTCTATTCAGAAGTCTTTAAGATCAAGCACCCAATTTGCCACATTTTCTATTTTCCTCTGACATGGAAATCTGCAATGTTTCAGATGGCAACAGCACTGAGGAGAAATGTGATAGATATGTAAATGAACAAGAAAAAATCCTTTCTGTATTATGTCACTAAAATATTTTGATTATTTGTTACTGAAGCATGATATAGCCTATTCTAGCTGGTATCAGATCCAAGGAAAAGTGTGCCTCCCAAGTTTGGGGAATACTGCAAATAGTGATAGGGCTATTGCAAATGCTTATTGAAGAATATGTAAACAGGAATAAAACCAACTTGAAAACTACGAGAATCTGTAGCATTAAAATAATAATAATGTAATCTGTAAGAGAAAATGTTTTAAATTTTTATTCTAGAAAATAAACTAAATTTTGGATAACATTTGCTTTGAACTCTTAAGGAAATTAAAGAAAACATGACCTTTGAAAAATAAGACATGAATAATACCATGAACAATATCTTATTAAGACAATAATTTGAAATTTAAAAAAGAGCTAGTATAAAAAAATAATGAAAGGAAATAATGTCTTAAAGCACCAGAAAAGGTACAGAGCAGAAATTACATTACAGAAAATTAAGTCAGTTAAGTAGCAGATCAGTGTGAGAATTAGGGATAAAAAGGAAAACACAAAAATTATAAAAGATGATTAAACAGTACAATATCTACATATGGAAAATTGATGTTCTTAAAGAAGGGAACAGAAAAACTAAAAGAGAAGAAAAAATATTTAAAGACATACTAGAAGAAAACATTCCTAAGTCAAAAAAAAAAAAAACAACAACTAAGGTGTGCCAATCAAAAATTAGGACCTAGTCATATCTTAGTAAAAGTATCGAAATTATCAAAGATTACAAAAAGGAATCTTGGATTATGGACAAAATGGTGTATACTCATGTCCCCCTTGCCCATCACCCAAATACAACTAAACACCCTGGACATAATCACACAAACCATCATAAGAAGAGCCTCTGAAAAGTAAAAAGAAGAGAAAAGACTGGCTAGGAACCTCAGAACTTAAGGAACAATATAGTGGTGGGTTCACTGGGTTTTCCTTTCACATTCCATATGTTCTGGACTGTGTGCTAGAGAACAATGCAACTCATAAATGCCAACAAGCAGAGACAAAAAGGAAATAAAAGCCTGCTCTCTCCAGTCAAAGGACTAGGAGACAGCCCAGCACAACAAACATCTTTTTGACAATAACCCCCTTACATCAGCCAAACACCATGGATGCCTTCCCCAACTCCTGCCCTGCAAAGAGTGAAAAGTCTGAATTTCTACACCCTAATAAATGGTAGTGGACACTCTGGGACATGCTACCCTCCCACCAATGGTGGCATGGTGTCAGCAAAGACCAAGTCAGGATTTTGGACTCCCACCTTAATCCTGGTAATAATGGGTAACACAGAGTAACACTCCCCTTAACCACTGCTGGACAATATCTGCTGAGATGAAGTGAGAAGCCTGGACTTCCACCCTTACCCAGTGGTGGCAGGCGGTGCTCCTCTCCCTCACAAATAGAGTGGGGGCTGGGGAGGCACAACTTGGAGAGAAGGGAGCTGGAGAAAGGAAATCCTTAAAACTTCACATAAAGCTCTAGGCAGACCCCTAACCAACTCACACATGAAACTGACCAGAATTAACAATACAAAAGGTTTGAGAACTGAACTACTGTGTGGAATACCACTGCATGTGAATGAAGCAGATCAGAGTAGCATTGCAGGGCACTAAAAATTAAACTCTTATAATTATGGCCTACGAAAGGAGGCAGGGACCTACACACTAGATCTAAACATGATCACTGTCTGCTGAAATAGAAGATAGATTTAAATTGAATCAAATAAGATCCAGAGTCTCATAATACTCAAAATGTTTAGGATATAATTTAAAAATCACTTTTTATACTACGAATTAGGAAAATAACTTAAATGGGAAAAGACAATCAACAGATACCTACACTGAAATGAACTCAGATGTTCAAATTATCTGCCAATGATGTTAAAGCAGCCATCTTAAAAATGTTTCTATGAGCAATTATGAGCACTCTTGAAACAAACAAAAAATAGAAAATCTCATAAAAGAAATAGAAGATATGTTTTAAAACCCAAATAGAAATTACAGAACTGAAAACGCAATATCTTAAATTTAAAAAATTTTTAAAACCTCACTGGATAGAGGTTTTTAGCACACTGAGATGACAGATCAGTATACTTCAACAAAAATCAAGAGAAATTACTTAATATGAACAACAGAAAGAAAATATACTGAAAATAAAATAAACAGAACATCTGAGGCCTATGGGAGAATAACAAAGGATATGATACTTTCACTATCACAGAACAAAAAGGAGAAGAAATATATATATATAAAATATATATTTCCTTTTAAATTCACTGAAGTTTGTTTTGTATCCAATAATATGGTCATAATATATTTATATTTTATATATATATTTATATATATTTATATTTTATATTATATAAATATATATTATATATACATATATATTAATGTTATATATATACACAATATATATATAATATATATATTAGGCAATATATATATTGCCTAAAATAACACTTGAAGAAATAATGGCTAAAATTTTCCCAATTTGGGGGAAAAGACTAAAACTAAAGATTCAATAATCTGAATTCTAAACAGCATAAACCCAAAGAACTACAAGAAGATATATCACTATTAAACATTTCAAATCTAAGGACAAACAAAAATCTAAAAATCAGCTAGAGAGAAACAATGCATTACCTACAGGAAAAAAACAATTTGAATAACATTAAATTTCTCATCTGAAACCACAGAGACAGAAGGCAGTAGCACAACGTGTTTCAAGTGCTAAAAAAGAGAGGGGAACTCTTAGCCTATAATTCTATATCCAGCAAAAATATCCTTCTGGAATCAAGACATTCTCAAATGAAGCAAAACTAAGAATTTGTCACCAGAAGGCCTACCATTAAAGAAGAGATAAAAGAAGTGTTCCAAAAAGAAAGGATAAAATAACAGAAGATGGCTTCAAAACTCTTGGAAGGAAGAAACAACAATTAATGGGCAAAAATAGGGGTGAAGATAATAGAATATCCTTCTCCTTATGAGTTTGTTAAACGTATTTGACAGTTGAAACAAAAATTATGTCATCTGATGTGGTGCTCAAACTATATTGAGGACATATTAAGACAGCTATATTCAAAAGGGTAAAGAATAAGGGGACCTAAATAGAGGTAAGGTTTCTACACTAAGTGAGGTGGTAAAGTTGGTATCAGTAGACTTTAATAAGATAAAGCAGGAAGGGGAGAGGCAGGGAGAGAAATAGAGAGAGACAGAGAGAGAGAGAGAGAAAATGAAAACTCCCATAGAAAAATCAACATCCAATCTTAAAAAAAAAATTCAAGTAACCCACAGGAAGGCAAGAAAAGGGAAACAGCAGAACAAAAAAAAGTGAGACTAAAGACAAAATAAGTTTAAAACTGGAAAACTGAAGTATTATTTAGTATAATTACTTTTCATGTAAATAGTCAAATTACAGCAAATACACTGATATACCAGATAGAGATGGGCAGAATGAATTTTTTAAAAACATGACTCAACCATATGCTCTCTATAAGAAACTCACCTCAAATATGATAATGTAGGCAGGTTCAAAGTAAACGATGAAAACACATATACTATGCTAATAATATATTTCATAGTAATTTTTAAAAGAAGTGGCTACATTCATATTAGATAAAGTAAACCTCAGAGTAAAGAAAAATATCGGAGACATAGAGCAAAGTTCTACCACCAAGAAGACATAGGAATTCTAAATGTGTATGCACCAAACAACAAAGTTTCAAAATATTTGAAGCAAAAACTGATAAAACTGAAAGAAAAATTATACTCAATGAAACTATACTTGAGGATTTCATCATCTCTCTCTCAGCAATTTTGAATAACTAGATAGAAAATCAGCAAGATTATAGAAGAACTAAACAACGCCATCAACCAACAAAATCTAATTGACATCTAAAGAACACTCCACCCAACAACAGCAGAATACACATTTTTTTCAAGAGTGCCCATGGAACATTCACCAAAACAGACCATATTATTGGACACAAAACAAACTTCAGTGAATTTAAAAGGATTAAAATCAGACAGAGTCTATTATTTGACCACAATGGAATAAAACTAGAAATCAGTAACAGAAAGGTAACAGGAAAATTTCCAAACACTGGGAAAGTAAATAACATGTTTCTAAATAATCCATGAGTCAAAGAGAAATTCTCAAAATGTCTTAGTCCATTTGGGATGCTTTAACAAAATATCACAAACTGGGTAGTTTATAAAAAACAGAAATGTATTTCTCACAGTTCTGGAGAGTGGGAGGTCCAAGATCATGGTTCCAGCAAGTCCAGTATCTGGTGAGGGCCTACTCTCTGGTTCATAGATGTGTCTTCTCACTGTGTTTTCACGTGGAAGAAGGGGCAAACAAGCGCCTTTTGGCCTATTTTATAAGGGCATTGATCTCATTCAGGAGGGCTTGCCCTCATGAGTTGATCACCTCCCACTTCCTAATACCATAACCTTGGAGGGTAGGATTTTGTTATTGTTGTTGTTGTTGAGATGGAGTGTTACTCTGTCGCCCAGGCTGGAGTGCAGCGGTGCAATCTCCGCTCACTGCAAGCTCCCCTTCCCGGGTTCACGCCATTCTCCTGCCTCAGCCTCCTGAGTAGCTGGGACTACAGGCGCCCACCACCAAGCCCGGCTAATTTTTTGTATTTTTAGCAGAGACGGGGTTTCACCATGTTAGCCAGGATGGTCTCGATCTCCTGACCTCATGATCCGCCCACCTCAGCCTCCCAAAGTGCTAGGATTACAGGTGTCAGCCACCACGCCTGGCCAAAGGGTAAGATTTTAACATATGAATTTGGAGGTGGATGGACACAAACATTGAGAACATAGCACAAAGGAAAGCTTAAAAATATTGTTTAATAAGAATGAAAATGAAAGTAAAACATATCAAATTTTGTGGTATGGCAAACTCAGTTACAGAGAGAGAAATTTATAGCACTAAATGCTTGCATTAGAAAAAAAAGAAAAGATCTCAAATCAATAATCTAATCCTACCCCCAAGAAAATGGAAAACAGAGGGAGAAAAAAAGTGACCAGAAGGAAGAAAATAATAAAGAGCAAAATTCACTGAAATAGAAAACAGAAAAACAACAGAGGAAATGTATAAAACAAAAACCTAATTCTTTTTAAAGATCAACAAAACAATAAGCTGACAAAGAAAAAAGTAAGCAATATTACAAAGAATAAAAGAGAAAAAATGCAAACTTCAAATATCAGGAATGAAATGGGTATCACTACAGATCCTGCAACCATTAAAAGGATAACAAGGAAATGCAACAAACAATTCTACACAGAAAAATTCAACAATTTGAAATAGACCCATTCCTTGAAAAACAAAAAATACCAAAATTCACTCAATATAAAATAGATAACCTGAATAATACTATATAACTGTTAAGGAAATTGAGTTCACAGTTTAAAATCTGTCAAAAATGAAATATCCAAGTTTCACTGGAGAATTATACCAAACATGTAAAGAACACCAATCTCTTCAGGAAACAGAAGAGAGAACACTCTCCAACTCATTTTATGAAGATAGTACTAAAACCAGACAATGACAGGACAAAAAAAAAAAAAAAGAAAACAGCACGTGAATATCTCTCATGAATTTAGATGCAAAAATTCTCAACAAAATATTAGTAAATAGAATTCAGCAATATATATAAAAAGAATGATAGGCCATGACCAAGTGGAGTTTATTTCAGGGATGCAAGGCTGGTTCAATACCTGAAAATCAATGTAATACATCAAATCAACAGCATTAAAA
The DNA here is from genome assembly GCF_000001405.40 of Homo sapiens. Taxonomy (NCBI): domain Eukaryota; kingdom Metazoa; phylum Chordata; class Mammalia; order Primates; family Hominidae; genus Homo; species Homo sapiens. Next base: position 83,675,398 of record NC_000015.10, on the reverse strand, counting down.
GAAAAAAAGATAAATCATGTGATCATATAAACTGATGCGGAAAAGAGCATTTCACATAATTAAACACCTATTCATGATTTAAAAAAAATTCTTCCATGGACCTTACCCATGGGAATGGATTAGGGAGAGAAACTTAACATTAAGCCATTCAAGGACCTCCTAGTTTCACCAGATATCAAGGCAGCACATAGTATTGGTTGTTAATTTTAGGTCTTATATCCCTTTGTCTATGTAGAGAATCCCAAGAAATCTAAAAAAGAACCCTTCCTAGAACCAGTATATGATTTCAGAAAGGTTGCAAGATACAAGATCAATACACAAAAATCAATTGTATTTCTGTGTATTAGCAACCAACAGATGGGTAATGAAATGAAAAACCCACCACCATTTACCATCACTCCAAAAAAATATAGAATATGTAATTATAAATCCAACAAGGATTGTTCAGAATTTTACAAAACATTATGATAGAAGTCAAGAAACAGCTACATAATGAAGAGACAGACCATATTCATGGATTGGGAAGACTCAACACAGTAAAAATGTTTATCCTCCCCCAAAAGCGACCTATAGGTTTAACACAATTCCTATCAAAATTCCAGCAAGATTTATATATATATATATATATATATGTATATATGTGTGTATATATGTATATATGTGTGTATATATGTATATATGTGTGTATATATGTATATATATGTGTATATATGTATATATGTGTGTATATATGTATATATGTGTATATGTATATGTGTGTATATATATGTTTATATATAGACAAGCAAAACTTACATGGAAATGCAAAGAATCTAGAAGAGTTAAAATAATTTTGATAAAGAATAATAAAGAGGAATCACTCTAAGACTTACTGTAAAGCTACAGTAATCAAGATAGTGTGACACAGTAGGACAAATAGATACATAGATCAATGGAACAAAATGAAGAATCTGAAAATAGACCCAAACAAATACCCTCAACTAATTTTTGACAAAGGAGCAAAAGTAATGTAATGGAGGATGAATGTCTTTTCAAGAAATGACGATGGTGCAATTGGACATCATAGGCAAAAGTGAGTCTTGACCTTAACCTCACACCATATAACGTAAGATGTGACCTTAACCTCACACTGTATGAACAAATTAATTCAAAATGGATCATTTACTTAAATATAAAATATAAAACTATAAAATATTTAGAAGAAAACATAGGAGAAAATCTTCAGGACTTAGGGTAGGCAAAGCATTCTTAGCCATGACACCAAAAACCATGATCTATAAGTGAAAAAATTTGATAAATAGAACTTCACCAAAATTTATAACTTTTCCTCTCCAAAAAAAAAAAAACATAAAAATAAAAAATAAAAACCTATAAGAGGGTAAAAGAATCAAGCTACATACTGGGAGAAAATATTTACAAACCACACATTTCATATTAAAGAAGCTAAAAGTCCGCAGTATACAACAACCTTACAAACAGAAAGCAGAGAAGAAGCCATGAATTCTAAATGCTGAATACAGATGAGGACTCCACTTGCACTTCTGGTGCCAACCCTAGTCTCATATTAGTTTCTCTTAAGATAGCTTTCTTTCTTGACCTTATCAGGGATTGTCAGTCAATGGATTCATTAATTGCACCTCAGAATTATGTGCTAATCCTATGTTACAAAACAGAGCTCTGAGGTCAGTGAGTACTTCCACATGACAGCTTAAAAAAGATGCCTATGTCCTGCGTGCCATGTGTCTTTTGAAGGACAAACTTCCCTTGGTTATTCCTAGAGTGGAAAAAAAACTGTTAACATCTAGGACACTACCCCAGGGCTGGCCAATGAAGCATCTTGGGAGCCAAGGCTTACTCAATGCACTCTGTGTCCTGGGAAGGGCATGAGAGAGGGTCAGCAGACAGCATAGAAAAAAAACCCAGCAATGATGCCAACAGACTGAGACACCACCTTGGCCTGTCACACTCTAGGGACTCACCAATGCTCTACTGGGGAAAAACTGAGGATAGCAATCAGTACATTATCTATCTTGCTCTGTGTCGTACAATTATGTATGTGTGCCTGTCTATTCGTTTATCAATTAACACTATAATAAACAGTGGCTAGTTCATTCCATGGTGTAGGCTGGGTTTCTCTCCCTCTCCCCAAAAGCTCTGTTATCTTTTAAAGTGTCTGGTTGCTAAGCGCACTGCTAAAGACCCACCAGACATCAGCCAGGTGCATAGAAGGCACCACCTAGGTGAACAGCCCTCTCACAAACAGGGCCTGAACAGCGCCTGCCAGATCATGGCCGCCTGCCACTCCATGCATTCCTTCTTTGCTCCATGCACCAAAATGCTTTCCTGGCTCTGACAATGGAAGCTGCTAATGCATCCCAGAAAGGATTTACAGAGGGTGCAGCATAAGTGCTCCACCTCTGGAGCTGTGAACAATGATGCCTGCCACATGCTGGACCTCCCAGGGACGGGAAGGAGAGCTCCAAGGTCAGCTCAAAGCCACCGGTCTACCTCCAAGATGCAAACCCACAAAGCCTGTCCTAAGAAGTAAGGCCACTGCTCAGGCCCCCAGCAAAGGCCTGACTGGGCTCTGGGAAGGTCTGTTTCCCTTGGAGAGTCATGGCACAAGGAAGCAACGTTGCAAATGTCCCACCTATCCCTGTTCTTTGGAAACGAGGCTCTGCATTCTAAGTGTGAAGTGTTTGCTTTGAAAGGAATTTGGGTTGAACAGTAAAGGGTGTTGGACTTGTTTCATCTGCCCATCCCACACCTCTTTTCTCTTCTCTCTCAACTGGAGGAATAATGATTACAAATGACTGCCAACAAATGGGCAACTTTCCTCCAGAAGGGCAGGCATGTCCCTCACATTCAGGCTGGCTTCTTTCTGCTACGATCTACAATCTGCACACCCAGCAAATGGGCAGTCATCCCTCAGCTTCACGGAGAATACCCATCCAGGCAGGAAGAGCCTCTTCACAGGCCCTGCCTTCACCTTAGCAAAAGATGTCAATAGTGCTTTCTCCTTTCCAAACACACTTTGAGTCCTATCTTCCAGACCCCCTGGAGCACCAGCAAGCTTTGCTTATGATTTACACCCCTGCTTCACTGACACCTTATTTTTGCATTCTAACATATATGGGTCACTCTTTTCACAAACTATAGACTCAGAGTATCCATTTTATAACATAGCTTAAAATGTACTCCTAAATGAGCTATACCAACCCTCAGAATTCTCTACTCTGATTCCCAGGGTGGTCACTTCTATTTGGATTTAAGGGTGACAGGGTTTAAAATGCCCAGGATTCTATGGAGTTAACATTTTATTAGTGACATCAAATGCGAGTGAGTATAGGTCGCAAGACACTCTCCCAGGCTACTAATGGTACAACTTAGTAATAAAGAGAAATGCTTGTTGCACAAAGGCGTTAAATATCCTTTATTGATAATATTGTAAAAACTAAAAAGCAACCCAGAGGCAAAATCAGCAAATTGGAAAGCAGAATTTAATCTTACCCAACAGCTAGGCCCATTATTCCTCTTAAGGAGAGAAGTATCTTTGCTTACAAAAACAGCTAGGCAAGCATTTGTTGGCAGAGCTCCTAAGGACACAGATCAATAGGAGACAAGAAAACAAAAGAGTTAGATTGCTCCCCACTAGAGCTAAAGGGGAATTAGTATGGGAGTGCAAAAGCAGAGGGAGAGAACTAGTAAAGAAGAGTCGGGGACAGCAGAACAATATTCTTCAATGCAGAGAATATAATTTATTGTCAAATAGCTGTGAAAATTTACAAAATGTCCAACTATCAAATATCCTTGGGATACACATAAAATTGAGCACCTTACAACATTTCAAAAAATGAGACTAAATAAAACCCACATTCTCTGAAGAGAGAATAAATCAAAATATCACTGCAAAATAACTTGAAAATATTTTAAAATAGTATAAAATATTTGCCTTTGCTGTCCAGAAGGCTTCTAGGAAAATACAAATTATCTTTTTGTATTTTATATTGATCAAATTGGATTAAAGAATCTGGAGAAATCCCGAACACACCAACAATTGTATAAAAAGTAAAGAGGACGTCAAAGAAGGGCTGCCCCCAAAAAGTTCTGTGCCCTCTTTATTTTATTGGCAAGTTCTTTCCAACCTTCAAGAAACAGGTTATTTCTGTGCAATTTAAACAGACCCAGGAAATGAAAATTATGAAAAGTACCCAATGCATTTTATGAGGTTACTGAAAATCTTGATATAAAAACCTGAAAAATATAGTACAAACCAACATCTCTTATGAATACAGATGTAGTAATTTTCAATAAAATATTTGCAAACCAAATCCAGCTGAATATTAAAAAAAACAATATATCATGGCCAAGTACAGTTAATGCCAGGAACACAAGGATGATTCAATATTCAGAAACCTATTACTATGTTTCCTCATGTTACTAGGTCAAAGGAGTGAAAGAATATGAACATCTAGATAGCTCTGAAGAACGCTAATTACTAAGCATGCTGGAAATTATAGTTGTATCTGCACACCATTGGCAATAGTTGGTTTAGCCCAGGAGATACCATCCCAGGAGAGCAGAGTTACAATAGACATCAGTTGACCAGAATCAGGCAGTTGTGCTAAGTGTCTCAGTTACCAGATACCAACCTCAATACACACACAGGTAGACAGAGAATGGGGTCTATTAACCAGAGCAGTATTTTTTCACACTGTGAATACATTCCATTAGTGGGTTATAAAATGAATTGATTAGGTCTTAGCCATTTTTTCATGGAATCAATTGGAATAGAATGAAATGAAATAGAATGGAAAAGAAAAACAAATAGGATTAAGTATTGTTTCCCAAAACTTTTGTTTAAGTATTATGAAAAACATACGTGTGCATATGTGTGTGTGTGTGTGGTCATAATATAAAATGCATTTCTTCCTGTGAGTCACAGTCAAAAAATTTAAATAACACCACTGACTTAGGGGATTAAGAGGAATTATTTTCTGGATTTCTACTGCTACAGACTTTGGTCTAGGGTTAGAGTTAGGATTATGAGTGAGATAGTAAATAAAGAATCAAAGCTTCTTCCTATAATTTATGAACATCTTTCTTTTTCTGTTCTTTTTTTTTTTTTTTTTTTTTTTTTGGAGACAGAGTCTCTCACTGTCACCCAGGCTGGAGTGCAGTGGCGCAATCTCAGCTCACTGCAACCTCTGCCTCCCAGGTTCAAATAATTCTCCTGCCTCAGCCTCCCAAGTAGCTGGGACTACAGGCGTGCACCACCAAGCTTGGCTAATTTTTGTATTTTTAGTAGAGATGAGATTTCACCATGTTGGCCAGGCTGGTCTCGAACTCCCAACCTCAGGTGATCTGCCCGCCTTGGCCTCCCAAAGTGCTGGGATTACAAGCGTGAGCCACCATGCTCAGCCCCTATGTTGTATAAACAACTATTTCATGAAGTAAGGCTGTGGCAGATCAGGGAGACCTGATTTGTGTCAACTCCTCCCAAAGTCATAATTTCATTTATGAGGGTTGTGAGAGTATAGTGATTAAAGCATGCTCTCTGGAACTAGGCTGCCTTAAAGAAAAGCCTGCCACAACAGTAGAGTAGATTATTTTTCAAAAATACTCACTCCTGGCCGGGCGCGGTGGCTCACACCTGTAATCCCAGCACTTTGGGAGGCCGAGGCGGACAGATCACGACGTCAGGAGATTGAGACCATCCTGGCTAACAGGGTGAAACCCCGTCTCTACTAAAAATACAAAAAAATTAGCCGGGCGTGGTGGCGGGCACCTGTAGTCCCAGCTACTCAGGAGGCTGAGGCAGGAGAATGGAGTGAACCCAGGAGGCAGAGCTTGCAGCGAGCCGAGATCACGCCACAGCACTCCAGCCTGGGAGACAGAGCAAGACTCTGTCTCAAAAAAAAAAAAAAAAAAAAAAAAAAAAAAAACCTCACTCCCGGCCAGGTGCAGTGGCTCACGCCTGTGATCTCAGTACTTTGGGAGGCCGATGCGGGCAGATCACAAGGTCAGGAGTTCCAGACCAGCCTGGCCAATATGGTGAAACCCCGTCTCTACTAAAAATACAAAAATTAGCCGCGCGTGGTGGTGCACAACTGTAATCCCAGCTACTGGGGTGGCTAAGGCAGGAGAATCGCTTGAACCCAGGAGGCGGAGGTTGCAGTGAGCCAAGACTGCGCCACTGCACTCCAGGCTGGGCAGCCGAGTGAGACTCCGTCTAAAAAAAATAAATAAATACTCACTCCTCCAACACACAGAGATACAGAAAATCTCCATGGGTGGAGCACACTCCCCTGCCCTAATAACATCGGACAAGGCTGTATAATTTGCTCTGCCCTCTGGCCTCATAGTAGGTAAGGATGTTTCCCTATTCCCTGACTTTGGCTTCAGCTGTGTGAGCTGCTTTGGCCAGTGGGATGTTAGCAGAAATGACATAAGCAGAAGCTTAAAAGACTCATGTGCATTTGGGTTTTTTGTATCTCTATCATTACCAAGAAAAAAAATATGTTCTGGTTAGTCTCTTGGTCCAAGGAGGATGGGAGACACACAGAGCAGAGCCCCATTAAGAAGAGAATACCCATCAGAACAGAATGTTCACAAGATTGATGCACACAAATTTTTAAAAATAGCAAGAAACAGAACCAAAATGTAGTCAAAGAACATGTATTACTAAATAAATTACTCAAAAAAAAGTCAAAAATACATTATGGACAACTTGATCTCCCTTTTTAAAAGCTCAGGTAGAAATATGAGTTTAAAGGAAACATTTCAAGACAACAGAAAAAGTGAGCTTAGGAAAAGAATAGCAAAAATAAAAATGAAAACATTACATATTTGATGACCCCATTTTTTAAAGTTACTGAAACACAAACACACATACACACAGAAATAAAAAATAATTTACATAAAAATTGTTTATATCATGTCCTGATATGACACTTCAGAATAAGGAAGAAATCATGTAGGTATAGTGTCAAAGTGAGAAAAAAAAAAGAGAAAATATCAGATTGACCACAGACTTCTCTTCAGTAATACTCAATACCAAAAAAACAGAATCAATATTTACAATGACCTGAAAAAAAAGAGTGAGAAAAGTTTTCCTTAATTATATTGTTGAATATTTTCTGTTCTCTTTTTCAAAAATATTAACTATGCATATGTTGGGCCTCCTTTGTCATCATTTTTCTATCACCATTTGTATATTTTTGTTTTTTACATTTCATCTTGTTGGGTGTATATTTTGTCTAGCATGTTCCCAATTGCTTATTCCATGGCACTTATTTTTGTTGTTTCAAGCTGAAGAGCAGCATAAAGAGGACATGGGGTACGAGACAGAAAATGAATAGAGTAGTCCCTAACTTCCACTATGCTTTGGTGTTTGGTTAATCCTATCACTAAATATGTTATTTTCTTTTCTCTGGAGTCCTATCTTCTCTTCATTTTCAGCATTCAAAAGTCATCAGGGATCTCAAGAGAGCCCCTAACCTACAGTCTCTTTGTTATGGAAAGGGTTGCTCTTCCACCCACCCACCCCTTCATCCCATTTCATCTGCACCAATCTCCCTCTGTAGGAGGCTGTTTTGTACAAATGGACAATCCAATTTTTGGTCAATAAGGGTTCCCTTTCAATTCTATGTACCATGTCATTTTTGGTGTCAAACTAGGCCTTTTTGGGGACAATACCTGCTTTTTCCAAGACCCACTCAGGGCCACCAATTTCACTGTTCTTTAAAAAGTTTATTACATAGGACATCCTTACAGAAATCTCTGTCCTGCTCAGAATCCAAGGAAACACATGTCAGTCTTCAGGATCCTCCCTCCCCTACATCCAAACTTCACAGTACTCAAAAAAAAAAAAAAAAAAAACCTTCATAATTTGTGTTTGGAAGCTGGCACCATTTCCTTGCTTCATTAGAGATAAACTGTTCTTTTTGTTGTTGTTTGTTTTACAAAGTTTTGAGAGAAGGAACTTTTGTTACTCCTCCATTATACCATATGCCATTTAAGACAAGAGAACTTTTTGTTCCTGGAATGTGACCAAAAACTTAAAGACCTGGACTAGTCAAAACTGTAATAATGAAGGGAGGTCTTGCCTTAGTGGATACCAACACATTACAAAGGTACAATAACTTTAAAAGTATGCATCAGCACAAGAAAAGACGGAAAGATTAACCGACAACATATATTCTAAAATAAAGATTTAAATATTTAAAAAGAAATATAAGACTAGGTGATAATATAGATATCCATATATTTTCTCCCAACATGAAGTTACTTCTAAGCATGACAAAAGTAGAGAGTTAAAAAATTAAGAGCCTCCTAGACTACTTAAAATTTTTTAATGGCAGTATATCCAAAACATAAACAAAAATAAAATGTAAATGACAAAATGGGAAAATTATTTGCAACATAAGATAAAAAATTAATACTCTTTGTATATGAGGAGTACTTACAAATTAATAAGATTCTCATAGAAAAATGGGGCATACATATGAAGATGAAAATTTATTTTTCTATTTCTTTTCTTTTTTTTTTTTTCTTGAGACAGGGTCTTGCTCTGTCACCCAGGCTGGAGTGCAGTGGCACAATCAGAGCTCACTGCAGCCTCAACCTCCCAAATTCAAGTGATCCTCTTGCTTCAGCCTTTCAAGTAGCTGGCACCACAGGCACACACACCACCACGCCCAGATAATTTATCTTTATCTGTTGTAGGGATGGGGGTCTCCCTATATTGTGCAGACTGGTCTTGAACTCCTGCAGTCAAGCAACCCTTCCACCTCAGCCTCCTAAAGTGCTGGGAGTACAGGTGTGGCCATTGTGCCCAGTCCTGTTATTCCATTTCTAATGCCTTAAGGAGACAACACACAAAAAAGAAGTAATACAAATGGCCCAAAGTATTTTTAATAACCTCTTACTAATAAAATTTCCTTAATCTTATAGTGGCAACTATTGCAAGGTAAGCATAGACATCAATGGAATTTTCTAAAAGACAATCTGTAGTATATATTAAAGGTCTTAAAATTTCACAAACTTCTTGACCCAAAAATTATGTGTCTTAACAAACATTTCTTTGAATACATTTCAACACTCAGTAGTGAAGAATTGGTCAATAAAGCATGACACATCCAAATGATGTAACAGCAGGAATACATTTAATATCATTATAGGAAAATATTTAATGACATGTAGAAAATACTCCTCATAATATTAAATTTTTTAAATAGTTATCAAAATGGAGTATAGTCACTGTTTAAAAGATACATATTTGTTAATATTCTAAGAAGAATATCAGAAATCTATACAACAAAATCCTAACAATTAGTATAATTAAAGGTGATGCTTATTTTCATCATTGTCCCTTCCTGTGTTTTCTACATTTTTATAATGAATATGTGCTGTTTTTAAATTTTAAAAAAAGGCAATTTCAAAAGAGAGTAAAGAGAATTTAGAGTCCTTTAATACTTTAAATATTCTTTTATTAGTAAAATAGTTACTCTTCTTTGTTTTTAAATTATTTTCAAAATAAAATACCGTTTATTTGTAAATGAAGGCTTGGACAATAAAAGCATTTCTGAGTATTTGACCACAATAATTTATAGCATACGTTGGCCGGAGCTGTTCAGTGCTGACAAATTCCAGAAAGTAATTCCATGAAATACTTGGAGAGGAAACTGCTTTATGCTTCCATGTTATTTATGGAAATTAGCATCTTTGTAAAAATAAACTGAAAGCAATCACAATCATAAACCTTGAAATGTGGTTTCCATAAGATGTTAGCTTTGGTGCTTTAAGATACATTAGTAATGCAATGGAGGAACACTGCCTAAGTTTTTTCTGTTATGAAACAATTACATGTAATTGGTTTTTTCCTCTTCTATCTTCAATCTCTCCCTTTCTCCTGGCTGCTTTCCTTTTAGAGTATGAATATACGGAATACACTCTGCTAAGGAAAACCTCTCTAATGATCCTGTTTCTCTCTCAAAGAGTAGTATATCCTTCCTTTATTCAGTGCCTCACCTTCCCCCGAAGGTGAGACTCCATGTAGTCCCCCAAACTACTCCTTCAAATGTAACCAATTATTTCCCAAGATCAGGGTGAATTTCCACCCTCACGTGTCCCTAACACTTGTTTGGAACCTGAAGGAATTTTGATTCCTCCCTCTCTCTCTCAAGCCCATGTAATCACTTACCAAGTTCCACTCCTTCAGGTTCTAACATCATCCCCACGTTCATATCCTCTTGTCCACAGCTAACTCTCCACCCAGTTTGCTCTTGAAAACTGAGTTTAAGGTCTCATCATTGCCCGCCTAGAAGAGGTCTCCCAATTATGTTTTGCTGAAGTGTGTCCCCATGGTCCAATGGTGTCGCAACGGTGCCTCCACCACCTCCTGATCAGCAACCACAGAACTCCATGTTACTAACTGAGTAAAATCCTTTACATGCTCTTCAAGGTCGTCCCCAGGGTAGCCACAAACTGCCTGGGCTTAAGCGACCCTCCCACCTCAGCCTCCCAAGTAGCTGGGACTACAAGCACAGCTATCATAACCAGCTAATTTTTTACATTTTTGGTAGGGATGAGGTCTTGCTATGTTTTCCAACCTGATCTCAAGCTTCTGGCCTCAACTAATCCTCCTGCCTTGGTCTCCCAAGGTGCTCGGATCACAGGCATGAGCCACTGTGCCCAAACACAGACTATCTTTGTTCATCATTATCTCATACTCCACGCTGCCATGTCCCTAGTCTTCAAACACAGCATCAATGGAAACTGAGAGGAGGAAACATTTAAAAGACATTTCTGAGATGGGAAAAATGGGAGTTAGTGGCTGAATGGGTACAGGGCAGGTACAGGAATAAAGAAGGCATCTACAGTGATGCCAGGATCTGGCTCAAATGGCTGGGTGATGGAGAATCTAGGCACAGCAAGAGAGCGCAGTGAGAGGTAAGGACTTTGGTTTGAGAAGCATTTGTGCTTGACACCACCAAGGAACATTCTGGTGCATGGTAGCTCATGCATATATTGGTCTGCAGCTCATTGAAGAGGCAAACAGAAGCCCCTCTGAGGTGCTGAGCCTCTTCCACTTTGGAGGGAACCTTGAGTTAAAAAAAAAAACGAAAAGAAAAGAAAAAGAAAGAAACAAGAAAAGCCAAAACAGAGTTATGAAGATTGTGTTTATTTTTAATGTTTACATTTAACAGTTAATGTAAAATAATGGACAACTTTTTATCTTTTCGGTATATATAATGCTATTTGAAGAAAACCTCAAAAGTTTACATTTGAGAGACGACATCGTCATGAGACCTGGGTCTCCACCTGATAACCCCCAGGCAGGAGCCTCTGGAGAGATGGAGGCTGCCTGGGAGAGCATGTGGAGGGACAGACGGGAGGGCAAAGGCAGAGCTCTGGAATTGAGGAGCATTTTTTAAAAGCCAGAGAGGAGCCAAAGAAGGAGAGTGAGATGGAAAGGTCAGAGAGGTAGAAAGAGAAAAAGGAGTGCCGGGATCACAGGCAACACACAAGGAGAGAGCTCCCATTCATTCTCCCACCAGATTCTCACTGGATCTAGCCAATAACTCTGTATTGCAGATTTTCAGGGCAACTTGGCAATAAAGCGGTGTCTGCATCCAAGACGACCCAAGATCTTCCTGCTCAGACTCCATCACCAGTGTCAACACAGACTGGAATATTGATCCAAAATCACTTGGGGGACAAGGTCATGGGAAGTACATTTATGACATAAAACCCGGAGTGCTGGAAAAGCTCTACACAGAACTGAAACAGGGTGAAAGGAGGAAGGCCACAATGTGTATCAAGTGTGTAGCAAAGCACAGTACACTAAGAAAGGATTATTCTAAGGAAATACTCAAGTAAGCAAAGATGTGAGCATGAGATGTTCATTTCAGGTGTCTGATGGTAAACACGAGTGAACAAACCATCCAGGAAGCAACCCAAATATTCAATAAGGAAATAATGGGTTTAAATAACACATAATGCCACTTATGCCATTATGGTATAACCATAACTACAATGGAACACAGCCATTAGAAATGAAAATAAAGAAAACGAGAAATACTCATAGAGATTGGGGGCGGCTGCAAGGAGAGAATGTCCGTCCACTCTACAGATGAACATCTGCTTAGACCGTGGGTCTGCTGATCTCTCCCTGGATCTATCAGAACAAGGAAAGGAGAACTGAAGGGAGTTGGCAGGACAGAGAGAGGAGGCAGCATTGAAGCATTCCGTCTTCTCACTGTCTGGCACAGTAAGAAGCATGCATTTCCTATGGGTCAGGTAGACTACACCAAAGGGAGCTGGGTTTGAACTCTCCAGCCTACACTCCATCCAATAAGGCTGCCTGCTAGGTGAGAAGACCCCGGCAGCAAGTGGCAAGCTGAAGCTGGACTACCTGCTGCAGGAAGTGTCCTGTGGAGCCCTCCAAAGAACTCACATCTGCTACCCAGAGGGCAGAGGGTTGAGGGAGAGCTGGAGTGGCAGTGACAACTACCAGAGAGAGGTATCCAGTTGAGTAAAGAGCTGATAGCCCTTATCCCCTTCCCCTTTCCTTGTTTCCTACCCTTGGAAAGCTAGATCCAGAAGAAATAAAAGGAAGAAGTATCTCAGAACCAGTGCCCACCACACCCGTACCATTCCATGGTAGAGGGAAAAGAGCCCTGTGCAACTTCAGGTACCTGAAGCCATGTGTCAAGCCCAGACTAGAGGAAAGGGAGATGAGATTTAAATCAAGTTGAGAATCAAAACTTTAAATGAACTGAACTTTTTTTTTTTCTTTCTTTCTTTTTTTTCTTTTTTTTTTTTATTATACTTTAAGTTTTAGGGTACATGTGCACATTGTGCAGGTTAGTTACATACGTATACATGTGCCATGCTGGTGCGCTGAACCCACTAACTCGTCATCTAGCATTAGGTATATCTCCCAATGCTATCCCCCCCTCCCCCCACCCCACCACAGTCCCCAGAGTGTGATATTCCCCTTCCTGTGTCCATGTGATCTCACTGTTCAATTCCCACCTATGAGTGAGAATATGCGGTGTTTGGTTTTTTGTTCTTGCGATAGTTTACTGAGAATGATGATTTCCAATTTCATCCATGTCCCTACAAAGGACATGAACTCATCATTTTTTATGGCTGCATAGTATTCCATGGTGTATATGTGCCACATTTTCTTAATCCAGTCTATCACTGTTGGACATTTGGGTTGGTTCCAAGTCTTTGCTATTGTGAATAATGCCGCAATAAACATACGTGTGCATGTGTCTTTATAGCAGCATGATTTATAGTCATTTGGGTGTATACCCAGTAATGGGATGGCTGGGTCAAATGGTATTTCTAGTTCTAGATCCCTGAGGAATCGCCACACTGACTTCCACAATGGTTGAACTAGTTTACAGTCCCACCAACAGTGTAAAAGTGTTCCTATTTCTCCACATCCTCTCCAGCACATGTTGTTTCCTGACTTTTTAATGATTGCCATTCTAACTGGTGTGAGGTGGTATCTCATAGTGGTTTTGATTTGCATTTCTCTGATGGCCAGTGATGATGAGCATTTTTTCATGTGTTTTTTGGCTGCATAAATGTCTTCTTTTGAGAAGTTTCTGTTCATGTCCTTTGCCCACTTTTTGATGGGGTTGTTTGTTTTTTTCTCGTAAATTTGTTTGAGTTCATTGTAGATTCTGGATATTAGCCCTTTGTCAGATGAGTAGCTGATAAGCAACTTCAGCAAAGTCTCAGGATACAAAATCAATGTACAAAAATCACAAGCATTCTTATACACCAACAAAAGACAAACAGAGAGCCAAATCATGAGTGAACTCCCGTTCACAATTGCTTCAAAGAGAATAAAATACCTAGGAATCCAACTTACAAGGGATGTGAAGGACCTCTTCAAGGAGAACTACAAACCTCTGCTCAAGGAAATAAAAGAGGATACAAACAAATGGAAGAACATTCCATGCTCATGGGTAGGAAGAATCAATATTGTGAAAATGGCCATACTGCCCAAGGTAATTTACAGATTCAATGCCATCCCCATCAAGCTACCAATGCCTTTCTTCACAGAATTGGAAAAAACTACTTTAAAGTTCATATGGAACCAAAAAAGAGCCCGCATCGCCAAGTCAATCCTAAGCCAAAAGAACAAAGCTGGAGGCATCACGCTATGTGACTTCAAACTATACTACAAGGCTACAGTAACCAAAACAGCATGGTACTGGTACCAAAACAGAGATATAGATCAATGGAACAGAACAGAGCCCTCAGAAATAACGCCACATATCTACAACTATCTGATCTTTGACAAACCTGAGAAAAACAAGCAATGGGGAAAGGATTCCCTATTTAATAAATGGTGCTGGGAAAACTGGCTAGCCATATGTAGAAAGCTGAAACTGGATCCCTTCCTTACACCTTATACAAAAATCAATTCAAGATGGATTAAAGATTTAAACGTTAGACCTAAAACCATAAAAACCCTAGAAGAAAACCTAGGCATTACCATTCAGGACATAGGCATGGGCAAGGACTTCATGTCCAAAACACCAAAAGCAATGGCAACAAAAGACAAAATTGACAAATGGGATCTAATTAAACTAAAGAGCTTCTGCACGGCAAAAGAAACTACCATCAGAGGGAACAGGCAACCTACAAAATGGGAGAAAATTTTTGGAACTGAACTTTTAATAACCAAAACTGGATCTTCCTAAGATTCCATTAGGGGATGGGAAAAGGCGATTTCACAAGGCATGGCTGGACCAGTGATTGGCTCCATATTTATACCTTACTGAAATGAGACTTCTCAATAAATCTGTGTCTTTCAGAGGCCCCAACTCTCCCAGATCACCCAGCATGGGGCAACACTCAGACACAAGGTTATGACTTGTCGAGGGGCCAAACCCAACCAAATCTAGGCTGACCTAAAAGGAATTATGTGCCATGTCAGAGTCAGGGCTACCTTGAGCTGATTTACCCACAGAGAAAGTTCCCTGAACCCTGACCCAGGACTACCTTCCTTAGGATTCCATCCTCACTGCCCATGATTGACATGATCAAGGGTGATAGCAATAGCAGGGGTAACTGGGGGAACTTGGATGGTGAAATTGCTATGGAGTGTGAGATTGCTGTAGAAGGTGAATAAGAGGCCTGGACTAAGCCACCAATACTCAAATGGCACTTCTTTTGTCCTCATGTCAATTATGTGACTTTGCCAGCCTCTCTCAGCCCCTATGATTGCACCTGGGTTACCGGAGGTGGAGAGAGGATGCCTGTGTTGGTGGCAGCAAAGAGGTCAAGATTCAAAGCCCACCCCTGACATCCTGTATTAGTTTCCTCTTGGTGCTGTAACAAATTACCACAAATTTAGGTCTTAAAACAACATAAGTTTATTCTTTTACAGTTCTGAAGGTCAGAAATCTGAAATGCATTTTTACAGGACTAAAATCAAGGTGTCACTACAGCCAGTTACATCTGAAGACTTGAGCAGAAAATCCATTTCTTATCTCTTCCAACTTCTAGAGGTTGCTGGCATGCGTTAGCTCCTGGCTACATTCTCCCAGTCTCTGGCTTCCATGGTAGCATCTTCTACTACCTCTGCCTCTGACTCTCCTGTGGCTCTCTTATAAGGACTGTTGTGATTGCATAATCCAGGATAGTCTCCCCAATTCAATATTCTTAATCACATCTGCCAAGTCCTTTTTGCCATATAAGGGAATATTTATGAGTTCCAGGGATTAGGACATGGACATATCTGGGGGTCATTAGGCAACCTACCACATATCCCAAGGACATCCACACTGTCAGCCTGGGAGCTCCACCAAATATTATGATGAAGGCAACAGGAGCTCAAAGGGCATCTACCCGAGGCCACCTGGCCTTCCATTCCCACCCTACCTCAAAGCCCTCTGTAAGATCAGCCTTCTACACTAGCCTCCAGCCTCAGGATCAGAAAAAAGAAGTTAAATAATTCTGTCCTATACTTATGCACCAACAAGACCCAGGGGACAGGATCGGAGCCAACCCAGATATTGCTTATTTTACAAGCTGTGTTTTGAAATTTTCAAAATCTTCCCTGCAGAGGAGGTCACCACAGACTTATAAGACCTCCCAGGACTTCTTCATCCAAATGTCTCCTGCCTTTCAAAACTGTGGCCTCGAGGGATCTGTTCCAGTAGATATCTATGAACTTGGCAGTGGAGACAGTCAAAGATCAAGTCATTCTTCTGAAAAGGCTATTCCATCCAGAGTCACAGGAAATGGGAGAGGACAGAATTTGCCAGAGAATCTAAACAGTACAGCACCTCCCGAGGGGCAAACACGGTGGAGGGCCATTCAGATATACACGAAGCCATCTTGACATGGTTGTTTAAAGAGATAATCGCAAGCCACATGACCAATGTTAAAACAGTTTCTAAAGGCACTTGGCCAGAGAGCTAGGAAGCCATCCTATGACAATTAAATTAGTGAACAGATAAGGCTGTTTATTCTTCTCATGGGCAAGAGAAAAAAAAGGGGGGGCACGTTGTAATTCAGGGCACAGTCAACACAGGACTCATCTTCAAGGTGTTCAGGATAAAGTTTGGAAAGCTCTCAAATACTCCAGGCTAGATAAAGTTTGGAAAGCTCTCAAATACTCCAGGCTGGATAAAGTTTGAAAAGCTTTCAAATACTCCAGGCTGGAAGAGAGAGTAGGAACAGCAGCTGCTGTCTTCTCTGGGAAAATCAGATCCCTAAGGAGAAGCCTGGAGCAACAGGAAGCTTCCAGGGCCTGTGAGACAGGAAGAGGGGAGGCCGCTCCAGCTGCCTGGATGAGGGGAACAGTGAGCTCCTCGAGGAATGGTCAAGAACGAGTTACAAAAACAAGGAACTACCAGCCTCTTACCTTGTTCTACAATCTCTCACAATTATTTGTGGGCAGTGAATATAAGAGTTTACATTTTAGCTGATTCAATAAAGAAAATATATTTGTGGACGGGCGCAGTGGCTCACATCTGTAATCCCAGCACTTTAGGAGGCCGAGGTGGGCAGATCACTTGAGGTCAGGAGTTCGAGACCAGCCTGGCCAACATGGCAAAACCTCATCTCTACCGATAATACAAAAATTAGCTGGATGTGGTAGTGTGCGCCTGTAGTCCCAGCTACTCAGAGGCTGAGACACGAGAATTGCTTGAACCCAGCAAGCAGAGGTTGCAGTGAGCTGAGATCATGCCACTGCATTCTAGCCTGAGCAACAGTGTGAAACCATGTCTCAAAAGAAAAGAAAAGAAAGGAAACTCTATTTGTTATTAATTAGTTGGCACATCCCTTGCTCCTCACAGCTCAGCCTCACACATCTAGCAGTTTTCTAACAACCACCTTGGTGGCAGCACATACGAAGCAAGGGTAGACGCCAGGGAACACCTTAAGCCCCACCCAAACACCAAAATCACAAGATACTTCAGAAAGGGCGGCCTTGAGTCAAACCCAGGCTGACCCTACGGAAAAAACAGAGCATCCAACCCACGGACAGGGACACAGGGCTGACCTACCACCCTTCATTAGAACCTTTTCTCAGGGCCTCTGGTGAGACAGACCTAGCCATGCCCACCCACACTCCCTGAAGATCAGGCCCTCCACAGCTGATACCTCTTGAGTGCCCCCTACAGGCTCTACACCAGAAAATACAGGCACTGCGCTTGCTTCAAGCTTCTAATGCTGACAAGCAGCAGCAACAGCAGAATGCTGACATTTATTGTACACTTACTATGTGCCAGACATTGTTTGGTTTGGTTTTTCACTTTTTTCCACTTCACAATGGATTAACTCTTCCAAACAATTCTGAGGTCTATACTAATATTATCTCCTCTGTATAGATGTGAAAACTGAGATGCGATGCAGAGACGTTTGCGTGACACAGTAATGAAGTGGTAGAGCTGGGATCCGAACAGTGAGTGGCGTGAATGATGAAGACTGCTGGTCTGAAATCTCCTTTTATGACCTTCTATGCACACTGCCTGGATACATGGAAACAGCACTGCCACAGGCACACAGATATGGAAAAATCCAAAAGAGGTCAGTGAGTGATTCAAGCTGGGCAAACACTGCCCTTGGCCAAAGGTCAACAGACTGCCTCAAAGCATATTTAAATTTTATAAGGTGAAAGAAGGCAAAATGAACACTGTGCCTTGAAGCCTCAGCCCCATTTGACCAGGAACAAATCTCTGAAGCTCTCAAAGCCTGTTTCAGATCCGCTGATGAGACAGAAACGTAAGTCTCCACGCTTTTACCTCAACAGTCATCTCGCTGGCCAGAGAACCCTAACATCATCCTGAAAAGACTTAACTTTTGTTCTAACAAAAGAGCTCTATTAATATGATTATGGGATAGTATCGATAAAATGGGATAGTGGGGAGAAGATGTACCTTGCTGACCAGTTCTTTGTGCATCACAGAATTCACAGGGCATTGGAGCCAAAAGAGGCTTTAGAGGCACTAAGTCCAAGAAAGTGAAACAAGAGGCAGAGGAGTCTGATTAATTTATCCCAGGGTATATATCTTCATTCATGGATGCATGTTTATTTAACAGACATTTAAGCCCTTAAGTGACAAGTCCCTTCCGAGACCCTGAGGGTACACAGGCCACCAAGCCATGTATTTGAGAAGCTATGTCTGCAGGGAGGGATTGCCTTGTTCTAATTCATAAGACACTGTATGGAGCTAGCAGCAGCCCTTGGGACACAATACTAAGATGTGCCCTGCCTTTAGATCTGGGGCTGCAAACTGCTTGGCTGAATCCAGGCTGCAAACACATTTATCTGCCTTTCAATACTTTAAAAACTGGGAAATTTTGTAAGAAGTCTAGATGATCCAGCTATCTTGAAAAATAAGATCTGGCAATCCTGGGCTTATGTCTCCACTTAGCAACGATCAGATGGAATTGAGTAGAGACTGCTCTTAATAGATGGAGCACGCGTTCTGCACTTTGCCACTGTCTCCGTTACTCTCTATTGTCTCTTAGGCAATGCTAGCCTCATTCCTTTGTTTGAGTCTGTCCTTTAGGCAAATAAAGATGCAATTCATGAGCCGGGTCCTCTCAAGTTGGTTGGAAAAGACAGCAGAAGTCTAAAGAGAGGACTGTGGGATAAAACAGTGGGATATGTGATGATAGATGTAAACTCAGAATATTTATTTAGCAGCTTAGCTAGGGCCAGAACCTGGCTCTGCCCATTGTTTCCTGGTCTCCAGCAACCCAGCCTCTGCTGGGCACATGCAGACAGCCATTCTAGTCTGAAATGACAGGGTCCATCACAGCCCCAGGTCATCACCGGTGTATGGTATCCACAGTGCTATTAAAGCCCTACTCAGGATTCAGAGAGGACCCAAGGGATCTGGATAATCCTTACAGCTAAGCCAACCAGAAATACCATTGGCTAGAGATAGGAAAGAAAGTCTGGTTCTCTGGTGTAGGATTAACACTAATCATGCCACATCTTAGGTGGTATACAATAATGCCTCTGAGTAAACAGAGGGATGTCCACCATTTCCCTTCCCCTCCCTATATGACCTTACCTGCGGGAGGGGAGAGTGCATGAAGACCATCCCTATCAGCACCCACCAGGGGCTCGTCCAGGAAGCCATGGGGTCTAGTCTCCTCCGGGTCTCAGTTGTAGCCTACAAACGAGGAAAGAGTTCATTACCAACCAGCTCTGGCCCCCATGGCAGTAAACCGTGACTTAAGCGACCCATTAGATGGAGGGACCCTGAAGCCCATATACTATTTTGGAAAGGTTTGTGTTGGCCCAGGTTGCCGCTGCCTACTGCAGGGTGCAGGCTAACTGGGCTCCCTTTAGAAGGTCCACAACAAAGTCAGGCGAGGGCTGGACCTGTCTCCAGTGGGCATCTCATACCTCCAGCTCTTCAGAAGCTGAGATATCCCTGCCCAAGCCTATCTGTCAGCAGCAGGGTGTCGCTATTGGCATTTGACTCAGGAAGCCAGCACAGAGCCAAGGTTTAGGCTAGCTTCTGCTGCTCGCGGCAAAAATGAGTCTAAGACAACAAAGCCGCCCAGAGAGGGAAAGGACCTGCCTAAGGTCACACAGCAAGATAGTGACATTTTAGGGCTGAAACGCAGATCTTCTGATAGTTCAAGGCTTTCCTCGCTAGATGACACCGTGCGCCCTCGAGGTCCGGGACCCACACCCAGAGAGACGCCTGAGAGCTAAGTTCAGGGAGGTTTGGAGGACACAGCCCCTGAGCCAGCCTAACACAATCTCCTAAAAGTAGGTGAGGGCCAGCCAGCAGAGGTCAGCTGAAACCAGGAGGGAAGCGGGGACTTTTTCCCTTACTTTTCCTGTCAATTTACAGGGAAATCAGTATGAGTCGAGACTGGAAAAGCCGAGGTCACACTCGACTCCCGCTTCGCCTCGCGGGCGCCTTGGCGGAGCTGGTGTCCGGGGGCGGGTCGGTGGCTTCTCTCCATCTGGAGAAGGCATTAAGGGCCTGGTCTAATGTGATCCGCAAATGTGCTGCTGTTTCCGACCTGAGGCGGCGACTCCTGGCTGAAGGGAGGCGGCCAGTGCGGGGCCCTGGGACTCTGCGCCACCCTCGCCTGCTCGCACCAGCCTTCCGAGTGCACACTCCTCCGACTACCCGCTGCCTCGAAGTCGCTCCTCCAGTGCCTCCGCCGCGTCCCGGTCACCCCCACGCCCACTTTCCACGATCGCGCGTCGCCTCAACCCCCGGCGTTCTGGGCGCTCGCTACCCAGTGGTCAACCGGCCGGACCTTCGGACCCGCGAGGTTTCTGCTTAGTAACTCCCAATCCTGAAAAACTCCAACCCTGTGGAGTTCCCCCATAATCAAGAACGCCCCTCAGCCCGCGAACTGCCGCCGAAAGACTCTCCCTGAACCTTCCGGGACGGCACGAAGCGCGCCCGACCCGAGGTGCCCAGCAGTGAGGAGCACCCCAGTCCTGAGGCCCCCTGGGGCCCGCGTGGCACGCCCCGACTCTGCTTGGAGACCCCCAACTTGCTTAGAGAGGCCACTGCTCCAAGTCTTACTCCCTCTGGGGAGCGCCTTCCCCCGACCCCTGAGGGGCCGCCCTGCGCCGAGCTCGGTGCACCCACCTTGCGCCGCAGAAGTATCTGGGACGTGCAGCCCCGGGGCCGCGCGGGCTCGGCGCGCGCTGGGGAGAAGTTGGCAGAAGCCGCCCGTCAACACCTCGTGCGGAATCCGGCACCAGGACCTTCCCCGACGCCGGCCTCCAGCCCGCGGCGCCGCAGTCGCCGCCGCCGCCGCGAAGTTAAATGGGGCTGGGACGGGGGCTGCCCCGCCTCTCCCGCCCCCTCCGGGCGCGCAGAGCGCTGCGCTGGCCCCGGCCCAGAGGCGGAGGGCGCGCGCCGCCACCTGCACCGCCCGGCAAGTGCACGGCGCGCCCAGGCGCCCGTCAGCCTGCGCGCCGGCACCGCGCCCTCGGCTTGAGCTGGAGGCGCCGGGGGCGCGAAGAGACGCCGTGTGGGGCCAGGCCCGGGCCGCTCGGAGCGCGCGGGGCCGCGGCGACGGCGGGACTCGGCTGGAACGCTCCTCCGCCCGCTTCCTGGAAGCCACTCCTCGCCCTGGGCCGGCCGCCAGGCGTTGTGCCAAGAGCCGGGATTGCCGACGCCGCCACCGCCGCCGCCGGCAGGCGCACTGGGGAAAGGCGGCCGCTGCGCCGCAAGCCAGCCTGGCCGCCCCGCCTCAGCCGGAGCCGGAGCAGGGATGCCGTCGCTCCCCCCGAGCCCACCCCCGGCCCCACCTCCCATAGCCTCCACCCACCCCGCCCAGACCCGGGCGCCAGCTCTGCAAAGTCAGGCCCAGCAGCCACACAGAGGTTTGCCCGGAACCGCTGGCTCGTGCCTAAGAGCCATAGGCACTCCTGGCCAGGCAGGACCATAGTGGAGACCAATGGCCCTCTCCTGGCCTGCGCCTCCTCCGCGCAGCATAGACGCCACACAAGGGACTGTGGAGCGCTCACTGCCCAGAGGCCTGGGACCTTTGGCAGCCAGGGACCACGAGGATCTTGCAGGAGCGCCTCTTAACTGGGTACCTGGCGCCTCCTTGTCTGAGCCGGGCTTGGGGAACTGAGAGCTCCACAGGTGCCAGAATCATGCCGTGTCCAGGCCTGGGATTTGGGGTTGGGGGGAAGAGTGTCGCGGACAAGAGACTGGGGTGAGTTGCCTGTGTACTTCTGGAGGTGAGGAGAAGTAAAAGGAAATGTTTGTCCCTGTCCTTGTCCTAGTCCCAGCAGGATAAGCCAAGGGCCAGGAGATTGATCTTAAAGGCTGCATTATGCCCCCACCTAAGTCCTACCACAGTCGCCATTTCCTTGGGTGTCTGTCGAGTACCAAGCTCTTTGTGTCTATCTGATCTTCACAGCAGCAGTAGTTCGAGCATTATCCCATTTCACCTAGGATAAATCTGAGGCTGGGAGGATAACTTGCCCACCATGAGTGGAGAAGCCAGGACTGGAACCCCTATCTGCCTCTCTCTAGAGCCTGGACTGTTCACCCCTAAAGTTGTTCTCCTGCCTTCTCTGTGGTTGCTGCGTTCCGGTTACTGCTAGAGCTTTGCCAAGAGCAATTGGCCCTGCCTGCTTTCCTCACTCATTCTTCCCTTACTTACTCTGGTGACTTCCTCTGACCAAGAAGAGGATCTTCAAGGCTGTCTCTCCACTCTATGTAAAATGATTGGACTTGTGGCAAGTGAGCAGAGGACAGGTCAGTGTGGAGACAGGAGAGGTAAGAGTAGCCAGTGAAGGGTAGGGAGGGCTGGGCTAAACTAGAACTAACTCATCTATGGACAATCGATCCTTTTTATTTACTGTAGTTGTGGTCTATAAAGTCACAGAACAACGAATTTGTGAATATGGAGCCATTGTTCCTAGGGGAAATATAGAGTTGGGTTCCTGCAAGCTCACAATATTTTTGTCAATCAATCAACACATTGCCTTATTTTATGCATGTTTCTGTTTAAAGACGCCTTACTTAACATCTATTGTTGATTCCTGAACACTGAGCTCACAGCCTACAGTGCTGTAACTCATGCCTGAATGAAGCTTATCTAACTTACGTATTTTCTCTGCAACACACATCCCAGCCTTCTTCCACTTAGGAACGCTAGACTTCACTTCAGCACTGTGCCTGGGGGGTGCTTTAAGCAGCAAAATCATCAAAAAAAAGACCAAAAAAATGTGAAAACATGGCAATGAAGAGAACTTTTGGGCCACTCATTTACAGTGTGAAAGCTGAAACAAGAAGACAGAGGGTTGACTGGTTGGACCTTAGCTTCCAACATGTGTCTCAAGAGACTCAAAACGTTCAGCACTGGTTCAATGACTTTGAAAGTGCTGCAGCTATTGATTATGAGGTGTTAAAATAAAAACTTTAGACAAATTTAACAGAGGTTAATTGAGCAAAGAACAATTTGAAAATAGGGCAGCCCCCCTCAGCCCCAAAACAAAATAGATTCAGAGCAACTCTGGGGCTTCCACATAGTCAGATAATATTTATGGATAGAAAACGGAATATGATGAACAGAAAACGGAAATGAGGTACAGAAACAGCTGGATTGGTTACAGCTCGGCATTTGCCTTATTTAAACATGGTTTAAACAGTTGACCGCCTGTGATTGGCCAAAACTCTGTGACTGCTTCAAGAGTAGGTTACAGTCTGTTTACACATCATCAGGTTACAGTTTACTATGTACAGAGAGACCTTTAGGCCGAACTTAAAATATGTAAGAAGGCAACTTTAGGCTAAACTTAATTTAACGGAGGTGACAAATAAATTTTACCCAGTAGCTGAATTCACAATAAGGAATCTGCAAATAATGAGAATTGATTTTTCGTGCTTCTCATATCAGAGTATCAGTAAAGGAATAGCCACATTAACATTCAAAACACTTAGGATGTGGCAGGCACTGTTCCAGATACTTTGCTTATACCGAGTCATCCCATCATCACAACAGCCTATGGGGTAGATATTATTTTTATTCCCATTTTGCAAATGAGGAAACTGAAGTGGAAAGGTTTAAATACCTCATGTTCTTAGCAACTAGACGATACCACTCCTCATCGTTCATATTCTAAAACTAGCCCCACCATATCATGGAGTCAAATGCAAAAAAGTCACATGAATATGCAAGATGAAATGGAGAATTCAAAGAAATATTATGCTTGTGCAGTGGTGGCTGCATTAAGCAGAGCTCCCGGTGTCTGCAACTCAAGAAGTCACTGAGAATGCCTCTGGAGTTGGGGGACTTTGCTGGGAACATTTGAGATGCACTGCTCTGTTTTAAGGTATTAATGGCTCAGCAGGACTTCCTGTCTCATCTCCCTTGGGCAATCTGACTCCTGAGCCAGCCTCCAAGGAGTGCCCCACACCAAGTACTAAGACCAGGACTGAGCCTTTCTCTCCCACAGGTTCCATCTAGCAGGAGGCCAGCCCCCTCAAAGAGCAGGTGTTCCAGTAGCGAAAAGTAGTAGAGAAAACATCACCAATACCTTTATAGAACTTTTGCCTTCCAGTTAACCCTAGCAGGTCAAGCAAACCTGTGTGAGTGGCCAAGGTACTGTAAGTTAGGACAACAAAGAGCTGCAGAGGACAGCCTCCACTGGGGGTGCTGGCTGGACTTCACAGATGTTATGCGCAGAATCATGGCCTCACCACCCCTCAGTCACCTCTTCCCTCACCCCTTCCCTCAGTCACTCACCCACACTTCCCTCCCATCCTTACTTCCTCACCTGAGGCTTGGCCCAAATGTTTAAATAAGACATTGCCAAAGGCATGGTGTGGTGGGAGATCAGGAATTGGGAAGAACAGGAATGAATAAACCCCAAAGCAGCTAATCTGGCTGATTTGGCTGTTGAGTGTAGCCACCTACCCAATCACTATCTGGGGAGGTTCAGGCCCCTCCCTGCCTACTTCCTGGACTTCCTCCCTGTGAGAACACCCACCACCTGGGGACAATGGCAATGCATTTAGACTCTGAAGGGTCGAGGAAACTGAGTTCCATTTCCTCCCTAAGATCCAACTTCTTGGCTTCCTGGCTTTCACTACCTGTCTCAGGACCTGCTTCTTCCTAGATGAATTTCAGAGATTCCTGCCCGCGCTCCCAGCTTTGCCTGCTCCCAGCTTTGCCTGTTGACCTCAACCCAACAAGCACACAGTACAACATTCACGTGAGAGATACACATTGAAGATCAGGAAAGGAACTATTGATGATGGTGGTGTTGGGGTGTGTTTAGGTTTTACCCTTAGAGACAAGGAATATCAATTCAGGCATCAGCCTTAATTTGTTCTTGAAACAGAAATGCTCTTTCTGGTTACAGAGTTGTGAAGTGGGCTTGGGAAGCACACTCAAGAACGCTGTGTTGGAGGCTTGGAGAAAAAGAGTACTTGGAGGCAAGTACTCCAATAGAAGTTACCATTGACTGCAGCAGACACCAAAGATACACTCTCAGCCAAGGCCACTAAGAGATAACACATCTGGGGCCAGGTGCGGTGGCTCATGTCTGTAATCCCAACACTTTGGGAGGCCGAGGCGGGCAGATCATTTGAAGTCAGGAGTTCGAACCCAGCCTGGCCAACATGGTGAAACCCCATCTTTGCTAAAAAATACAAAAATTAGCCAGACATGGTGGCGTGCACATGTAGTCCCAGCTACACGGGTGGCTGAAGCAGGAGAATCACTTGAACTGGGAGGCAGAGGTTGCAGTGAGCTGAGATCACACCACTGCACTGCAGCCTGGGCAACAGAACGAGACTCTATCTCAAAAAAAAAAAAAAGAACACATCTGGATGTTAGGTGAACATAGTGCCTTAGGGGCACAAAATTAGCTAGCGAGTGTTCTTCAGGAAAAACCTATGAAGGAGTGAGGGAAGCAGGATAGGTAAGGCGCAAGACTAGAGCAAGCTGTGACTGAGGTCAAGCCTAACCTTCATGTGATCCTCGGGGATCCTGGAACAGAAACCACACCATAGATTTGCCGTGACTTGAAGCACCAGGACCAACTGCTGACCCGGGTGCCAGTAAGTCACTGCCTCCACTGGAGCTGGGTGGTGGTATATGGTGGTATAACCTCCAAGGTGGCTCCCTGTGGCCAAGGACAATGCTCCAGGAATGTATCAGCTGTAAGCCTTTAGCTGCTGCACCAAATATATGCTGGGGATAGGTGTGCCTGCTGGTAAAGAAATCGGACAGGGCATCCTCTCCAACGGCATCTACCATGCCTGGTTTTCAGGACGTATCCCTAGTCCCACACAGGAAATATGCTCAGCTAGCACTGATGGTTTTCTGACCAGAGTGGGTCCTTCTTTTGAATAGAAATTTGCTTTATAAAATTTGTTCAAGTCTTTATCCAGTTGCTCATAAGCAAGAACAGCCCTTGGGAGGGAAGTGTAGTGACAGGAAGTGTTTCTGCTGAGTGAGGGGCTCTGTGTGCTTTGGCAGAGCCTCACTTTTGGGTTTTCCCCTCAGCCTGCACTTAGATCCCCAGGTCTTCATGAGTCTTAGAGGTGCCAGGTCTGCGATTTCAAGTCAGGAGCTTAGGAATTAGTACTGCTGCAGCACTGGAGGTCTGAGCCTATCAGAATCTCTGTCAGGAGGGCGAAGGTGGTGTTGGACGATCTCTTTCTAGAAAGTCCCCAGTCTTTAGGGTGGGGCAGGGGGAGCTAGAGTCCCCTAAAGTTCTGTGAAGGATAGCGTTGGGAATTGTTGAGCCTTCCCAGGACCAGCAAACTCTCCAGACCCCAAATCCGAGGACAATTCCCCTCTGGCCTTCAGGGCTAGGAAGGTGCTGATAAGCATGCGTGTGTACACCTGCCCATCTCTAGGTAGATTCCACTGTGGAACATGAGCAGAGCACAAATACTCTGGGGAGAATAGGTTGGCTAGTGCCTTGGGACTCATCTCACTCTGCCCTTCACAAGAACCTTATCTTCCCCTTAGAGGTGCAAGGCAAGTGTAGAGAGTACTGGAACTATAGTCGGGAAATCCAGTTCCAGTGTGGGCGTGGCCACAGATTGAGGGCTTCTAGGCAGGCCATTTTGCCTCTCTGAGCATCGACTTTCTCCTTTATATTGTGAAACTGTAAAAATTAGAAAGTTTCGGCCAGGCGTGGTGGCTCACACCTATAATTCCAGCACTTTGGGAGGCCGAGGTGGGCAGATCACGAGGTCAGGAGTTCGAGACCAGCCCGACCAACATGGTAAAACCCCATCTCTACTAAAAATACAAAAATTAGCCGGGTGTGGTGGCACGTGCCTGTAAACCCAGCTACTCAGGAGGCTGAGGCAGGAGAATGAATCGCTTGAACCCGGGAAGTGGAGATTGCAGTGAGCCAAGATCGTGCCACTGCACTCCAGCCTGGGCGAGAGAGAGACTCCATCCCAAAAAAAAAAAAAAAAAACAGTTCCTTCTGGTGTAATTTGTGAGGTTGTCTTTATACTTTGCTTGTGTATTACAGCAATACCTTGCAAACCTAGAACTCAACCCTGGGGGCCTCTCCTAGTTTCACTACAACCAGATTAGTAATAGAAAACACCTCTCAGCATCCAACCAACATCACAGATTTGAGCATATTGTATATTAGCAGACACTTAGGTCTCACTGAAGACTACTGATTCTTACTTTGCACACAGTTTTAACAAGTTTGTTCATCTGATTTTCAAGAGTAAATCAGAAGCTATAAATTAGAAAGGGACAGAATGCCTGCTAAGAGGCAT
This sequence comes from Homo sapiens, assembly GCF_000001405.40. Taxonomy (NCBI): domain Eukaryota; kingdom Metazoa; phylum Chordata; class Mammalia; order Primates; family Hominidae; genus Homo; species Homo sapiens. Next base: position 83,647,640 of record NC_000015.10, on the reverse strand, counting down.
ACTGACAGGATAAAGGTGCTACAGAAAAACATAAAAGGCACCCAAAAAGTCAAAAATCACCATTGTTTGGTGCAGCTTAGTTCACCTCAGAGGAGCCTGAGAAGAAGGCACAGTACTGTGTTCATGCTCACGAAACCAGGTTATGAACCCATTTGTCCATTAGATTCTGTTTATGAATGTGTGAAAGTACGTGTTACGTTTTAGAAAAATATTCACATGCAAAAGACTTAAATTGAAGAAAAGGAAAACAAAAGCCAAGCTATACATATTCCTGTAAATATTCACCTTGGTTTACCAAAAAACTCACATCTAGAGCATCATCTCTGACAACTCTAGATCACCAGGATTTTATTCCAGAATTAATTTGAGCAAAAGAGCAGAGTGTAAAGTAAGAAATCTTATTCCTCCAAAGACAGCATCCGTTATTGTTTAAAAATGTGATATCGGTTTTCTGACAAATCGTCAAGAAGAGTCGCACACGAAAGCATTTTCTCTGGTGCCGCCTTGCGTGTCATTCCCTGTACACCGCAAAATGAGACTCGCCTGTTTAGTCTGCTTTCCTATGTGTTCCTTACGCTCTCCGCTTGGCAATATTTGGGTTGGAAGCACCACAAAGGAATACTTGAAAAGTATTTTTTCAAATATAAGTTCAATAAAAACATTTCTCTGTATTAAGTTTTGCAAAACACATTAACTTTGGGAGGGTTTTGATAGCCAATTAAAAATTTCTATCCCTTCTTTTCCCAGACTCGGGCAAAAATGTTCTATGGATGAGTGAAGAACCAATTTTCTTCAGACCCCACCATTTGCATCTGGTCAGCTTTAGACCTAAAGAACAATTCAATTCAACACAGTATAATGCCGTATATATTTATTGACAATCTACCTTGTGTCAGACATGTGCAAAGTCTTGGGAATACAATGACATGACAAGAGATAGCACCTGCCCTGCAGAAGCGGATGAGATACAGTGTGATAAATGTTCTCAGAGGTTTAAGGGCAGGAAGCTATAAATGCACTGGGTAAAACAGCAACTAATTCAGTTGTGAGGGTATTAGACATTTCTTAGGAAAATATTTCAATTGAGAACTAAAGTTTAAGTACAAGCACAGGATTTTATCATTATAAATTGTATTCTCCTTCTGTGATTTTTCTCCAGTCAAAACAATCTACAATCCCAAATACATGTTTTAAAATAATATAAATGGGCCAGACTCGGTGGCTCACGCCTGTAATTCCAAAACTTTGGGAGGTCAAAGCTGGAGGATCACTTGAGCTCAGGAGTTCAAGACCAGCCTGGGGAACACGGCAAAACCCTGTCTTTACAAAAAAAAAAAAAAAATTAGCTGGGTGTGGTGGTGCACACCTGTAGTCCCAACTACTTGGGAGGCAGAGGCAGGAGAATTGCTTGAGCCTGGGAGACGGAGGTTACAGTGAGCCAAGATTGCACCATTGCACTCCAGCCTGGGTGACGGGAGTAAAATCCTGTCTCAAAAAAAATAAATAAAACAAAATAAATGGCTGGGAGGTGGGGTATGTCTAGGAAAGAATGAATTTGTTCTAGAACAAATCCTATCTGCTCACTTTCATATTGTTCCCATATATGGGTTTCTGTGCACACACCTTCAGCCTAATAAGGAATTGAGGGAATATTGTAGGGTATCTGTGGTAAACAGATTCTAGCAGGGCCCCAATGACTGTCACCTCCTGGTATTCATACCGTTGTGTTTAGTGTGGCAGAGGCAAAGCAAAGTGTTCACCAAATGCTTTAGGAAGGTTACAATTCCCAGTCTTCTTGCAGTTAGGCAGAGCCATTGAGTCATTCTAGCCAATAAAATAAAAATGGAAGTGATCCGTATCACTTTCTGGTTGACGCAGTGAAAAGCTCACTGTGCATTCTCCGGGCTCTCTCTTCCCCTTGGGCAGTTAACACAGAGGGTGTGTGTTGGCATGCAGAGCCACAAGATGAAAGGATCCTGGCTCCCTGAACCACCCCATGAAGGACAGCTACCATGGGCAGTCAGCGAACCTATGCCAGCTTTCACATGCATAAGACATTAACTTTATCTGTTAAGCATCTGAAATTTTATTTGTTACTGCAGCATAAACCTAGTCTATACTAATGCATTTGAATCACAAAGTGAAAATGGAATTGGCAAGAGGTAAGTAGACAGGCCAGACACGATGGCTCATGCCTGTAATCCCAGCACTTTGGAAGGCCAAGGCAGGCAGATCACTTGAGTCCAGGAGTTCGAGACCAGCCTGGGCAACATGGTGAAACCCCGTCTCTACAAAAATACAAAAATACAAAAATTGGCCAGGCGTGGCAGTATGCACCTATAGTCCCAGCTACTTGGGAGGCTGAGACATGAGAATCACTTGAGCTGGGGAGGCAGAGCCAAGATCACACCACTACACCCCAGGCTGGGCGACAGAGCGAGACTCTGTCTCAAAAAAAAAAAAAAAAAAAAAAAAAGGTAAGTAGACAGAGGTAGGCAGGGGCCAAGTATTGAAGGCCACATATACCATGCTATCGGGTTTCAAGCTTTAAGAGCAAAGGGTTGCTTAGGATAATATTTGGCAGAGCAATGACATAATAAGACTGGCCCTTCAGAATGATTACTCTGGCTGTGTTTCTAGTAATATAAGCAAGAGCTCATGATAGCCTAACCTGGCATGAGTGACAGTGGGAATACAAGAAAATAGATGGATTTGAGAGTTGCTAGAAAGGTAGAATTGATAAGATGTGGTGAATGATTTAAAGAGTAGGGCACTAGGACAAGTTAAGGCTGACTTCTTGATTTCTGACATGTGAAATGGGCAGCTCGGTGTCATTCACTGATATAGGGTACCTAGGAGGAGGCATCTGTTAGGTAGGAGGGGGCACACAGAGATGATGGCTTCACTTGGGGCATTTTGAATTGGAAATGCCTTTAGATCTAGAACCAGGAAGATGCCTGGGCTGGAGATGTATATTGATGACTCATCAACACATATGGTTGATGCATGAAACCATGGAAGTTCATGGTGTAGATAAAAATAGCTAGCTACCTTCATCTGTCATCTAGTCATATGTCTACCAGGAAAGGAATTTCTAAATGTTACATAATATGCAAGTAATATGTGTATAATTCCCCCTAAACAGTGACAATATCAACATTTATTTCTCTTTCTCAGAAACCAAAATCAAGATGCAATCATTGTGAGCCACTTTTGATTTCAGCCTGGGTTTTCACCATTTGCTCATATGGCTCAGTGGCTCTGGCTTGAAGGAAGTTTTCCCAGCTCTGTTCTTTTGCTCTTCCATTGTGAACTTCAATTTTAAAGATACATCCAGAAGTCCCTGATTCCTCCAAGGCAAATTTGATATTTAATCTGAGCCTGGGTCTCTGGTTAACCATCAAAGCAAGAGTGGGACTTACTCGGCATTTCCCATGAAATTGGTAAATGCTATTTCATCAAATGTGTTCCAGAGCAGTGTATTTTTATTGTTGTCTTTAAAGACTAAGAAAGAAATCAAAAGACTTTATGAAAAAAGTATCCCCAAATTCATATATGGGGCCAGGAAAATTGAGAACAAACTATCCAGTGTTGTGCAAAGCCTAAATAAGGAAAATGGAAAAGAAATTTTAAAAAACTGATACTGACATGAAATTTCAGGTCACGTGGAGACTTCTGATCCCAGAGGATGATTTGAGCATTAACATTTTACTCAAACCAGCCATTCCGCACTGAAATTATCAAATAGATAAGATAAAAAAATTCCATATGAATGCTGGAAACTGGGGAAGATGATCATCCCTAGAACTGCAACTCAGGGAGGACTGATGAGATACAGCCCTGGTCATTGCTCTGGCAGCAGTGGCTCTCATGATGACAGAAGAGAGCTGTGCACTGTGAGTGTCCTTCTTCGACTCTACCAGGAAGGTAGGGAGAGCACTCTGGAAATAAATAGTGTAACAAGTATTGAAATAGAGAGAGTAACTAATACAGGTCTGCAATATTGCTTTTTCCTTCTGCCTTTAAAGATAGAGTGATTCTTTAGTTGTTCAGTCAGCCATGATTCTTCTCTTGGGATTAGAGTGAATCAGATTAATTTCTTACTTAAAAAATGTATGAAATCACCTAAAGAAGAAAGGATCTAGGAGACCAGAAAAAAAGAGAAACAGCCAGGCAGATGAAAGCAGTTTGTAGAGTTTGAGAGATCAGAAGATCAGAGGAATAGTTGCTGTGATAACTGGGATTTTGCAGAGAAGAATGTGAAAAGACAGCTTTAAGAAGACTTGAGAGAGTGATGTTAGCAAGATGGGAAAATAGGAGGTTCCAGCTCTCATCCCCCAACAGAATACAGGGTTTGGCAACTGCCCACAGATGAGAATAACTTTGGGGGAGCCCCAGAGCCTAGCTGAGGTCCCAGCACCCTGGTGGAGCAAATAGTCTGTGCATAAACACATTTAAAAGGATAAAAACAGTTTCACTTTATCTGCATCACCGCTCCCCCAAAGTGGCACAGCTTGATGCCAAGAGAGGCCCCCTTGGCCCATGACTTCTTCCATAGGGGAAAGGGAGAATGAAGTCAGTGCTCGGCTTCCCCGTCCTTGCAAAATGCTGCCTAGGAGGCCCACTTCTATCTGCCCCACCTAGAACACTAAGGGGATCAGCATGACTGAATTGTCTGTGGACAGCTAGAAGCCAGGAGAAGGGGAGGAAGTGCAGAACAACTGGCACACAGTTTTCAACAGCCAGTCATGGATCTTGTGAACTAACACATAAATTCTACCAAGCAGCCCTCCCAAGACTGCTCCAGGACGACTCACTCGAGGACTCCCCTGAACCAGCCAACACACTTCCTGAGCACCTCATGCAGCTCCCCATGGGATGGTACCGTATGCATCCCTGTGTACAGCCTGCATGAGTTCTCACAGACAGCACAAGGATCTCAACAGAAGGTGTGGATTTTTAGCAATCATCTCAACTTCACTGGCTTGGGTGAACCGCCACAATCTTGATATTTCAGGACACTGCCCTAGGGAAAATAAACAGGAGAATTTCAATACAAAATGTAGCTCTGCAGGATGAAGAGAAGATACACAATCCTAAGGCTTGTCCTCTAAGAGGGCACAAGAGGAGCAGTGTGGGTACATCCATAAAAAAAAACAGATAAGAGACACCCAAGATCTTTAGCCAGGCTCACTGGTGAAGTAAAGACTGGAAGACATGACTGCTTCTTCAAATGCAAAGATAGCAATGCAAAGCTTCAATGAATATGAAGAATCAAGGAAATATGATACCACCAAAGGAACAAAATAAAGCTTCAGTGGCTGACCCCAGAGAAATGTAGATCTATGAATTGCCTGACAAAAATTGAAAATAATCATCTTAAGCCCAGTGATCTACAAAAGTACACAGAGAAACAACTAAATGAAATCAGGAAAACAGTACATGAACAAAATGAGAGGTTCAATAATAAGATGGGAATCATAAAAAAAGAACCAAACATAAATTCTGGAGCTAAGGAATAAAATTTGTGAAAATTTCAATAGAAAGCTTTAACAGTAGACTCAGTCAAGCAGAAGAAAGAATCAGCAGACTCTAGGACAGATCATTTAAAATTATCCAGTTCAAGGAACAAAAAGAAAGACTTAAGAAAACTGACAGAATTTATGGGACATTATCAAATGAATCAATATATGCATTACAGGAATTCTAGAAGGATCAGGGCAGAAGAAAGGAGTGGAAAGCTTATTGAAAGAAAATGGGCTTGGCATGGTGGCTCACGCCTGTAATCCTAACACTTTGGGAGGCCGAGGTGGGTGGATTGCCTGAGCTCAGGAGTTTGAGACCAGCCTGGGCAACACAATGAAACCCTGTCTCTACTAAAATACAAAAAATTAGCTGGGCATGGTGGTGTACACCTGTTATCCCAGCTACTCAGGAGGCTGAGGCGGGAGAATTGCTTGAACCCAGGAGGTAGAGATTCCAGTGAGTCGAGATCGCGCCACTGCACTCCAGCCTGGGCGACAGAGTAAGACTCCATCTTCCCCAACGAAAGAAAAAAAAAGATGACAGAATGTCCCCCAAATCTGGAGAGGAAAATGAATATCCATATCTATGAGGCCCAAAGAACTCCAAATAATTGAGCATCAAGAAGTCTTCACTGAGACACATTATGATCAGATTGTCAAAAGTCAAAGACAAACTGAGAATTTTGAAAGCAGCAAGAGAAGAGTGACATCACATAGAATAGAACCGCCCCCCACCCCATTAAGATGATAAGCAGATTCTCAGCAGGTCGGGACAGTGGGATGATATTTTCAAATTGCTGAAAGAAAAAACTGCAAACCAATAATACTATACCTGGCAAAATTGTCCTTCAAAAATGAAGAAGAGATAGACCTTCTTAGACAAGCAAAGGCTGAGAGACTTTATCACAAATAGATCTGCTTTATAAGAAGTGTTAAAAAGAGCTCTTCAAGTTGAGACAAAAGGACACTAATCAGCACTGTGAAAACATATAAAGGTATAAAATTCACGGATAAGTTTAATGTCAAATTCAGAATATTCTAATATTGTAATGGTGGTGCATAAATCACTTTTAACTCTAATATAAGGTTAAAAGACAAAAATATTAAAATATGCAGTGATTTGTTAATGGTTACACAATGTAAAAAGCTGTAAATTGTGACCCTAATAACATAAAATTTGGGGGAATAAAAGTGTAAGGATTTTGTATGCAATCAAAATTAAGTTTTCAACTAAAATAGGCCATTACAACTATAAAATGTTTTATGCAAACCTCATGGTAATCACAAAGAAAAAAACTAAAAGCTGGTTTTTTGAAAAGATAAACAAAATTGACAAACTTTAACTAAGTTAAGAAAGAGACGACCCAAACAAAATTATACGTGAAGGAGACATTACTATTGAAATTATAGAAATACAAAGGATCATAAGAGACTATGATGAACACTTATATGACAGCAAATTGGATAACCTAAAAGAAATAGATAAATTCCTAGAAATATACACCTACCAAGAATGAACCATGAAGAAAGAGAAAATATAAACAGACCAGTAATGAGTAAGTAGGTTTAATCAGTAATCAAAAATTTCCAAAAAAAAACAAAAGCCCAAGACCAGATTGTTTCAATGTTACCAATCATTTTTAAAGAATTAATTCCCATTCTTCTCAAACTCTTCTAAAATATTAAAAATGAAGGAACACATCCAAACTCATTCAATGAGGCCAGCATTACCTTGCTACCAAGGCCAGCCAAGGACACTGCAAGAAAAGGAGAGCATGGGCCAATATTCCTAATTAATACTGATGCAAAAATCCTCAACAAAATCCCAGCAAACTGAATTCAACTGCCCATTGAAAGAATCATACACCATGATCAAGTGGAATGGTTCAACATACGCAAATCAATCAATGTGATATATAGTAGACTGCTGCAATTGCCCTGGCCAAGGGACCAAGCCCAGCAGTCTTGGCAGTTTGTGGATGGCTGACCCACCGCTCCTTTCCTTCTCACCTCCCTGAAGCCACCTGAGCTGCCACCTAGAGCCACAAGACTGTTGCTGCTGCAGTGGCTCCATCTGGATATCCAGCCCAAAAGCCTTGGCAGTCTCTGGGTGCTTGACCCACCACTCCTCTCCATCATCCCTCCCTCAAACCACCTGAGCTGCTCCTGCCATGATACCCCTAGCCCAGGGTCTCACCCTAGTGGCCTTTGCATTCTCTACTAGCTGCTGCCTCCATGGGTGATTTGGCCCTGGGACACAGCACAGCTACTACATGTGTGCCTGCAAACAGCTCCCAGGCACCCCCAGCACAGGACCCTATCCCACTGCCATGTGTACCCTAGGCTAACCACTGCAGCCAGGTTACTACATGCTGTCAGCCCTGGCTCCACAGCTGTACATGCATAAGCAGTTGGCCCTGCCCCCTGGCTCTTTCCCCCATTACTATGTTTGCACCCACAGCTGGCCCTTGCAGCTGTACGTGCACATACATATCCAGTGTGCCTCCCAGATGCACCCTTCTACACACATACAGACAGCCTCTAACCCCCTTCACCAGCGTGCACTTGGCCCCTGCACTTATGCATGTGCAATCTGCCAGCCCACCCTGCCATCTGTGCACTCATAGTTGGTCCCAGGCCCTTCCTCTTACCCCAGTTCTTGCCACCATGCATGAGATGAGCCTGCAACTGGCCTCAGCTGTCATAGATGTGCCTGCAGCCAGCTATCATAGCATAGCGTGTGCACACCACTGGCCCTGGCCCCTGGCCACTGGACCCAGAGGTGCAGCTGAGGACCCTAACAGCCCTCACAGCCTCAACATAATGAAGGATAAAAATCATATGATCATCTCAGTAGATGCAGAAAAATTTTAACAAAATTCAGTATTCTTTAATGCTAAAGACTCTCAATAAATTAGGTATAGAAAGAATGTGCCACATCATATATGGTAATAAAAATCATACATGATAAGCCCAAAGCTAACATACTCAACAGTGAAAAGCTGAAAACTTTTCCTCTAAGATCAGGAAGAAGACAAGAATGCCCACTCTCACCACTTGTATTTAACATCGTACTGGTAGTCCCAGCCAGAGCAATTAGGCAAGAAAAAGAAATAAAAGACATTTAAATTGGAAAATAAGAAGTAAAATTGTCTTTGTTTGCCGATGACATAATTTTATACATAGACTACACACACTGTTAGAACTAATAAATGAATTCAGTAGAGAAATATAAAATCAACATACAAAAATCAGTTGCATAATATACACTACCGATGATCTATCAAAAAAAAGAAATTACGAAAACAATTCCATTTGCAATAGTATCAAAATGAATAAAATATTTAGGCATAGATTTAACTAAGGAGGTGAAATATCTCTACACTGAAAACTATAAAACATTGATGAAAGAAATTAAAGTCAACACAAATAAATGGAAAGATAACCCATATTCACAGACTAGAAAAATCAATATTGTTAAAATGTCTGTATTATCCAAAGTGATCTACAAATTCAATGCAACCTCTATCAAAATTCCAGTAGAATTTTTCATAGAAATATAAAAAGACTCCTAAAATTCATATGGAACCACAAAAGACCCCAAATAGCCAAAAAATCTTGAGTAAGAAGAACAAAGCTGAAACAAAATAGAGAATTCAGAATTAAACCCACACATATATGGCCAACTAATTTCTGACAAGGGCACCAAGAATACATAATGGGAAAAGGATAGTCTCTTTAACAAATGGTGCTGAGAAAACTGTACATCTACAAGCAAAAGAATGAAATTGGACCCTAACCTTACACTATACATAAAAATCAACTCAAAATAGATTAAAGAATTAAATGTAAGATCTAAAACTGTGAAAGAAAACATAGGAAAAAGTTCCTTGACATTGGTCTTGGCAAGAATTTTTTGGCTATGACACCAAAAGTACAGGTAACAAAAGCAAAATAAACAAGCGAGATTACATCAAACTAAAAAACATTTGCACAGAAAAAAAATGAAAAACATACGATTTGGGAAAAAATACTTGCAAACCATATATTGGATAAGGGGTTAACACCTAAAATATATAAGGAACTCATACAACTTAAAAGCAGAAAAATAATCTGATTTTTAAGTGGGCAAAGGACTTGAATAGACATTTTTCCAAAGAAGATATGCAAATGGCCAAAAGGTACAAGAAAAGGTGCTCAACAACACTAATCATCAGGAATGCAAATCAAAATCACAATGTGATATCACCTCACACCTGTTAGGATGGCTATGCAGTGACAGTGCAATTAAAAATAATGATCATGCCACAGCTCTCTTAAAAAAAATCAGAAAACAAAAAAAAAAAGACAAGAGATAACAAAAGTTGACAAGGATGTGAAGAAAAAGGAACTCTTTTACACTCTTATTGGGAACGTAAATTAGTACAGCCACTATGGAAAACAGTATGGAAGTTCCCTCCGAAATTAAAAATAAAACTCATATGATTCAGCAATTCCATTTCATATCCATTCAAAGGATATGAAATCTGAATGTCAAAGAGACACCTGCACTCCCAGGCTCATCACATTATGCACAATAGCCAAGATATGGAAACAACCTAAATGTCCATCAACAGATGAATGGATAAGGACACTATGGCATATGGCATATAGTGGAATAGTATTCAGCCATAAAAAGAAGGAAATCTATGGGTGGATTATGTTAACTTAATGTTCACTTAACATTATGTTAAGTGAAATAAGCCAGACACCAAAAGACAAATACTATATGATCTCACTTATATGTAGAATCTAAAATAGTCAAATTCATAAAAGCAGAGAGTAGAATGGTAATTGGCAGGGGCTTGTGGAAGGGAGAACTAGAGAGGTGATGGTTAAAGGCTGCGAACTTTCAGTTATGCAAGATGAGTAAGTTCTGGAGATCGACTCTGTAGCGTAGTGCCTATAGTTAACAATATTGTGTTGCACACTTAAAATTGCTAAAAGAATAGATCTTGTATTGTGTTCTTACCAAAGCAACAATGCTACTAATAATAAAGGGAATGGGAGGAAAAAATACGTAATGAAACAGAAAGAGTAAGTAATTATATCTAAATATATTTTAAAAATCAGTATGTGTTAAAGGTAACATTTTAATTCAGTGAAAAAAAGTGTAAATTATTGGCTAGATATTTAGTGAGAAATGTTACATATCAACTTCCTTCATTTCTATAAAATAAATTCCAAATGAGTTAAGGATTAGTGTGCAAAAAGAAAAAAAGTGAAGTAGAAAGCTCAGTGATTTTATAATATTAGAGTTGAGAATAATGCTAGAAAATAGGAAGGAAATGAATGATCAATTTGATTATATGCATTTTTAAAATATTGGTATAACAGTCAAACAACACACACACGTATGCACACACACACACACACAAAGGCAACTGGCAAACTGGAGAATATATTTTAAATTCACATAATAGATAAGGGATCAAAGATAGTAATACATAACTCATTAATCAGAGGTAAATGCTAATAGAAAATTAGGCAACGAATATAGTAAGAACTAAAAATTGCCAATAACTATATGAAAAGATCAATGTCACTAGTAAGCAAAGAAATGCAAATTAAACAATAGGGGTATATCCTTTTACCTGTCAGATGGACAAATTTCAATAATTATTTTTACCCAGAATTAATAAGACTAGAAGCAAATGAATATCCACACATTGATATAAGAAATACAAACTGACGTAACCATCAGGAAGTTCAAGCATAATATGGAAGAGGTTAATTAATATACACATTTAAATATATCTAAGTTCAATATGTTTGTCATTTTGACCCATTTTTTTTCTATTTCTAGAAATGTATCATAAGGAAATAATTGAAGTTATATGTATAGATGATTGTTACTGGTTTGTCTATAATGTAAGAAAACTGGAAATGTGTAACAGTAGGAGGTTAGTTGGATAAGTTATGATATAGACATACAATAAAATACCATGTAGCCAATAAACCATAAGACTTAGGTCTACAGTTATTAATATAGAAAGATAAAATTATGATATGGAAGTCTCATTTGTATGAATGAATATATATATAAATACATAAAATATAATTATGCAAGGACAAAACTGGAAGAATATAATGAAAATGTTGATAATAGTAATTATTTTGAGGTTGTGGGATTAAAAGTGATTTTCACTTTCTTCTTATGATTTTACATGCATTCTGAATTTTTCTACAATATGCCTGTATTACTTTTATAATTAGAAAAATAAAGCTATTTTAATTTAAAAAATTGTTTTGACATCTAAAAAGTCATGGATATATTTTGGCTGGGTGTAGTGGCTCATGCCTATAATCCCTGCACTTTGGGAGGCTAAGGCGGGTGGGTCACCTGAGGTCAGGAGTTCTAGACCAGCCTGGCCAACATGATGAAACCCCATCTCTACTAAAAGAACAAAAAATTAGCTGAGCATGGTGGTGCACACCAGTAATCCCAGCTACTCGGGAGTCTGAGGCAGGAGAATCGCTTGAACCCAGGAGGCGGAGTTTGCAGTGAGCCGAGATCGCGCCACTGCACTCCATCCAGCCTGGGCAACAAGAGCAAAACTCTGTCTCAAAAAAAAAAAAGTCATGGATGTATTTTACAGAAAAGATAAAATTTGCATGACTCTTTCTAGAGACTGAAAAAAAAAGATTATTTGATTAAAGTTGTACAACAAACTTTTGGATGTAAAACTGTGAGAGACTTAAGGCAGGAGCACACAGTGCAGTTTTCTTTCTGATAGTTTGTTGGAAGTCAATGGGTGCCAACCCAGTGCCAGGAACCAGGCTAAAGATGCTGCCTGTGACCTTTTCCCTGGGTATCTTGTGGACGGTTCAGCATCTACTCATGCTAGATGAAGCCCTAGACCAATATCTACAGCTGTAGACCCAGATTATTGACCAGGTCTTGGAGCAAAAGTTGACTGCCCTGACTCTGGAGAGTATCGCTACTAAAGGTTACAGGCCTGCCTGTTTTCAGAGTTCCAATTGTTCTGCAATTGTCCTGGTGACAGAATAACTCGTACCAGGATATTTTTTCTTTTAGTCGGAGTCTTAACCATTTCTATAAATTCTGCTTTCTCCTGTTGCAGGCAATCCTGGTGGCAGAGCTTGTGGCTTTACAACGTGAATAATGTCATCATTTGACCTCTCAAGAGGGCTCTGGTCTCATCTAATCATGTTTGGTTGCCTTTGGTTTCCTGGAGTTTCTAAAATTTTATCAACCCAAATCTGTCTATCTCTCTATCTTTGCCATTGCCCTTGCATTTCCCTTGGGGCTGCTCTGATCTATCTATCTATCATCTATCTATCTATCTATCTATCTATCTATCTATCTATCTATCATCTATCTATCTATCTATCTATCATCTATCTATCATCTATCATCTATTCTTTGTTCTAAACTATAGGCATGTAGCTAGGCATGAGCTATGTATCTGTTTCTTATTCTGAACTACAGGCTAGCCCTATCTTCTCTCAGTTCACAGATAAATACATATTTGTGTTTCCAATTTATTTCTCCAAATTTAGCCTAGTGGAGTCACCTACAGAAAGACAGAAGTAAAATTTACAAAAGTGAAAATTCTAGGACTGCCAACAGCCTCCATTATTCAGTCAGTAGAGACAGTCTGGCTTTCTCTTTCTGAATTTTATCTAAAGTGTGGCAGATACTGCAAGGGGCCCCCCAAAATCTGTTATTCCTTTCTTCTAAAGAAATAGAGTTTGAGCTGGTTACCTGTTTTCCCAGTAAAACTAGATTTCTCAGACTCACTTGCATTTAGGTGTAGTGATGTAACTAAGTTCTTGCCAATGAACTGTGAGTAGAAATGATGATTCTGTTTCCAGATATGATGCATAATTCATTGAATGTACATAAACTTGCTCCTCTTCTCCCTAGCTGAAATGTTGATATGACAGCAACCCAACTTTGACCATGCAGATGATGATAACAACTTAGAGAATAGTAAGAAGAAAGGAACCTGAGAGCCTGAATGACTACATGAAGCAGTTTAGCTCTCATATCTGGATTGCCTGTATCAGGAGAGAAAAATGAAGTTCTGTATCTTTTAGTAGGAATATTATTGAATCTTTTTTTTACAGCAACTTAACTTTCACCCTCGTTAATACATACAGGGCATAGGTTTCTCTCAGTCCCACATCTAGCCCAGATCTGCCTGTCTTCCCTCTAGTTTGAGTCATCCTGTAATGGAAACACAGGTTCAGTTGCTCAGCATTTGCAGAGTCCAATTAACAAGAGTAAGATCTAGTATAAAGAAAGTAACTTTTATTCCAAAGCTAGGTTAGGGGGAGAAATACAGGCTTCCAGATTTAAGGGAAACACCTTGCTTCTAAGGCACAAAGCAGGGGCTTTTAAAGGAGGGACTTGGCATGAATGGCATACAGAGGAAACGGCAAGCAGGTGGGGGGCCCATGACTTGCTTTGGTGCCACTGGGTGGTTGAACTGGCGCCTTTGCAGTCAGAACTAGGTTATAAAAGTGACCCTTGTCTTCAGATATTCTCCAGGTGGGAGAGAGTTTCATAGCGGGCATACCATGGGTTGTAAGTTAACTCTTGTCTCTAGAGGCAATCTTCTGGTGGAAGAGGTTTCTACTCTGGAGCTTCTAAGCACATCGTTAGATAGCTTGCCCTGTAGGGAGTGTTTGAAGAAGGGAAGGTAAAGGGTCATAACTGCATTTATAAAGAGTTAAGTAGGAAGTGGGGAAAAGGAGGAAAGAGAAAAGAAGAAAAATAATAATTTTTAAAACATTAATTCTCTTTCTCTTAGAAAAATGGGGATACTGGGTTACAATCGCTTAGCATCCTAATCCTACTAATTTCTTACTATGTTCTCTCATAGCCCAGAGTGATATTTGCATTTTCTGTAATACCAAATCACCTTAAAACCTGCCAATAATGCCTTGAGTATTTTGCATCGGTTTTCCTATCCTCCTTTTCATATCCATTTACATTGTGTCATTTTACATTGCCAGCAGTGTACGAAAATTTCAGTTACTCCATTTCCTATCCAATACTTGGTATGGTAAATCTTTTCCATTTTTGCCATTTTGGTAGGTGTGAGGGTTAACTTATGATTTTAATTTGCATTTTTCTGATGCTGATTAATGATGTTGCACACTTTTTCATGTGCTTAGTGAACATTTATATCTTCTTTTGTGGCGTGTCTCTCCAAATCTTTTGACCATTTTAAATTGCTTATTATGAGAATTCTGTATAAATTTGGTACAGAAGTCTATTGTCACTGATATGGTTTGTCTGTGTCCCCACACAAATCTCATCTTGAATTGTAGTTCCCATAATCCGTACATGTCATGGGACCCAGTGGGAGGTAATTGAATCATGGGGGTGCTTACCCTCATGCTTTTCTTATGACAGTGAGTTCACACAAGATCTGATGGTTTTATAAGGGGATTTCCCCGACCTTCACTCATACTTCTCCTTCCTGCCACCATTTGAAGGACATGTTTGCTTCCCCTTCCACCATGATTGTGAGTTTCCTGAGGCTTTGCCAGTCCTGTGGAAATGTGAGTCAACTAAACCTCTTTCCTTTATAAATTATCCAGTCTCTGGCAGTTCTTTATAGCAGTGTGAGAATAGACTAATACATTAAATTGGTACTGCAGAGAGTGGGGTGCTTCTGCACACCCCTACAGGGCAAGCTATCTAATGATGTGCTTAGAAGCTCCAGAGCAGAAACCTCTTCCACCAGGAGATTACCTCTAGAGACAACAGCCAACTTACAATACCAAAAAATGTGGAAGCAATTTTGGAACTGGGTAACAGGCAGGGGTTGGAACAGTTTGGAGGGCTCAGAAGATGACAGGAAAATGTGGGAAAGTTTGGAACTTCCTAGAGACTTGCTGAATGGCTTTGACCAAAATGCTGATAGTGATATGGACAATGAAGTCCAGGCTGAGGTGGTCTTGGAGATGAGAAACTTTTTGGGCACTGAAATAAAGGTGATTCTTGCTATGCTTTAGCAAAGAGACTGGTGGCATTTTACCCCTGCCCTAGAGATCTGTGGAACTTTGAACTTGAGAGAGATGATTTAGTGTATCTAGTGGAAGAAATTTCTAAGTGGCAAAGCGTTCAAGAGGAAGCAGAGCATAAAAGTTTGGAAACTTTGCAGCCTGACAATACAATAGAAAAGAAAAATCCATTTTATGGGGAGAAATTCAAGCCACCTTCAGAAATTTGTATAAGCAATAAGGAGCCGAATGTTAATCACCAAGACAATGGGGAAAATGTCCCCAGGGCATGTCAGAGACCTTCATGGCAGCCCCTCCCATCACAGGCCCATCACAGGCCCAGAGGCCCAGGAGGGAGAAATGGTTTCATGGGCTAGGCCCAGGGCCCCCAACCGGCTCTATGCAGCCTCAGGCCATGATGCCCTGAGTTCCAGCTGCTTCAGCTCCAGCTGTGGCTAAAGGGTGCCAAGGTACAGCTCAGGGTGTTGCTTCAGAGGGTGCAAGCCCCAACCCTTGGTGGCTTACACATGGTGTTGGGCCTGGGGTGCACAGAAGTCAAGAGTTGAGGTTTGGGAGCCTCCACCTAGATTTCAGAGGATGTATGGAAACCCCTGGCTGTCCAGGCAGAAGTATGCTGCAGGGATGGGGCTCTCATGGAGAACCTCTGCTAGGGCAGGGCAGAAGGGAAACATGGAGCTGGAGCCCCCACACAGAGTCCCCACTGAGGCACTGCTTAGTGGAACTGTGAGAAGAGGACCACCATTCTTCAGACTCCAGAATCCACTGACAGCTTGCACCATGCACCTGGAAAAGCTGCAGACACTCAATGCCAACTGTGAAAGTAGCCAGGAGGGGTGCTATACCTGAAAAGCCACAGGGATGGAGCTGCCCAAGGCTGTGGGAGCCCACCTCTTGCATCAGTGTGATTTGGATGTGAGACATGGAATCAAATGAGATCATTTTGGAACTTTGAGGTTTAATGACTGTCCTGTTGGATTTTGGACTTGCATGGGTCCTGTAGCCCCTTTGTTTTGGCCTATTTATCCCATTTGGAACAGGTGTATTTACCCAATGCCTATACCCGTTAGTTACTAGGAAGTAACTAACTTGTTTTTTATTTTGCAGGATCATAGGTGAAAGGGACTTGCCTTGTCTCAGATGAGACTTTGGACTTGGACTTTTGAGTTAATGCTGGAATGCCTTAAGACTTTGGGGGACTGTTGGAAGGGCATGATTGTGTTTTGAGCTGTGAAGACTTGAGATTTGGGAGGGGGCCAGGGGCAGAATGGTATGGTTTGGCTATGTCCCCGCCCAAATCTCATCTTGAATTGTAGTTCCCATACTGCCCACATGTCTTGGGAGGGACCGGGTAGGAGGTAATTGAATCATGGAGGCAGTTACCCTCATGCTGTTCTCATGATGGTGAGTTCTCACAGGATCTGACTTTTTAAAGGGGTTTTATAAGGGGTTTCTCCCTGCTTTGCTCATAGTTCTTCCTGCAGCCATGTGAAGAAGGACATGTTTGCTTCCCCTTCTGCCATGAGTGTAAGTTTCCTGAGGCCTCCCCAGCCCTCAGGAACTGTGAGTCAATTAAACCTCTTTCCTTTATAAATTACCCAGTCTTGGGCAGTAATTTACAGCAGCATGAGAACAGACTAATACAGTCACAGATATGTATTATGAATGTTTTTTAGTCTATCTTTTTATTTTTCTAATGTATCTTTCTTTAGAGGAGCAAAAATGTTTAATTTTAATGAAGTCCAATTGATCAATTTTATCTTTTGGGGTTAGTGCTTTTTATGGCCTAAGAAATTATGAAGATATTTTCCTATTGTATTAGTCCATTCTCACATGCTAATAAAGACATACCTGAGACTGGGCAATTTATAAAGGAAAGAGGTTTAATTGATTCACAGTTCCACATGGCTGGGAAGGCCTCACAATCACGGCGGAACGCAAATCAGGAGCAAAGTCATGTCTTACATGGTGGCAGGCCAGAGTGCATGTGCAGGGGAACTTCTTTTTATAAAACTATCAGATCTTGTGAGACTTATTTACTATCATGTGAAGAGCATGGGAAAGACCCACCCCTACGATTCAATTACCTCTCACTGGGTCCCTCCCATGACATATGGAAATTATGGGAGCTACAGTTTAACATGAGATTTGGCTGGGGACACAGCCAAACCATATCACCTATATTTTCTTCCAAAAGCTTTAAGGTTTTAGCCTGTATGTCTAGGTCTATGGTACTTTATTTATTTATTTATTTATTTAAGACAGAGTCTTGCTCTGGCATCCAGGCTGGAGTGTAGTGTTGTGATTATAGCTCACTGTAGCCTCAAACTCTTGGGCTCAAGTGATCCTCCCACCTAAGCCTCCTAAGTAGCTAGTACTATAGGTGCATGCCACCGTACCTGGATAATTTTTAACTTTTTTGTAGGGATGGGATCTCACTGTATTGGCCAGCCTGGTCTTGAACTCCTGGCCTGAAGTGATCCTCCTGCCTTGGACTCCCAAAGTGCTGGGTTTACAGGGATTAGCCACTGCACCCAGGCTATGATACGTTTTGAAATAATTTTTATGTATGGTGTGAAGTAAAGGTCAAGGTTTATTTTTAGTTTGCAGAAAACAACTTTTATTTCCCCACTGAATTACCTCAGTACCTTTGTTGGAAATAAATTGACCATGCTTTTACATGTAAGTCTATTTCTAGACTCTTTGGTTCCACTGAACTATGTAACATAATGCTAATTCCACAGTGATTTGATGACTCTATTTTACACATCAGATAGTATAAGTTGTCCAACTTTGTTCTTCTCTTTGTTTTGGCTATTCTAGGACTTTTGGATTTCTGTATAATTTTAGAATAAGCTGGTCAATTTTGACAAAAAGCCCTGCTGGGATTTTTATTTGAATTACATTGAATGTATATATCAATTTAGCACGAATGGATAGTTTAACAATATATGGTATAACTCCATTTATTTAGGTCTTTATTTTTTACATACAATGTTTTGTAGTTTTCAGTATAAAAGTCTTGCATATCTTTTGTTAAAATACTTTATAAGTATTTTGTACTTTCTGAAGGCATTGTAAATGGCACTGCTTTTTATAGTTTTAATATTAAATGCTATATTTAATAATTGTTCCTGGTACATAGAAACATAATTGATTTTTGTATGTTGACTTTCTATCCCATGACCTTGGTAAATTTGCTTATAAGTTCTATTAGTTTTTTGGTTGTTTTTTTTTACAGATTCTTGGGATTTTCTACATATTCTCTCTTGTTTTCTGCACATAAACACAGTTTTATTTCTTGCTTTTGTTTTGTTTTGTTTTTGTTTTTGAGACTGAGTCTCGCTCTGTCACCCAGGGTAGAGGGCAGTGAATGGCGTGATCTCAGCTCACTGTAATCTCCACCTCCCAGGTTCAAGCAATTCTCCTGCCTCAGCTTCCTGAGTAGCTGGGATTACAGGCACCTGCCACCACTCATAGCTGATTTTTGTACTTTTAGTAGAAATAGGGTTTCACCATGTTGGCCAGGCTGGTCTCGGACTCCTGACCTCATGTGATCCACCTACGTTGGCCTCCCAAAATGCTGGGATTACAGGTGTGAGCCACCACGCTCAGCCCATTTCTTGCTTTATAGTCATTACTCCATGTATTGCTTTTTCTTGGTTTATCACATTGATGTAAACTTAAAAAGCAGTTATAAAGAATATGTCTTATATATAGTCCTTTTTCCCTTTCATATAGGTGTATTTTGGCCTCTGAAAACTTGAGTCTTCTCTGAAGTGTTATATGTTCCTCATCTTCATTCTCCAGAATTAGAGAAATACCTCTTCCCATTCTTCTAGTTTCTATAAGGAGGGATTTTCTCTAAACATTTCTGGCTAGTTGGATAGGTGGATGGAATTACCTGACTTGTGAGTTGGCTTAGAAACTGGGCATGTGTATCACAGCCCCCTCTCCCACTTAGAAGCTGGGCAGCCTGCAGAAAATGTGTGTTTGAGTGCCCTGAACCCTGTGGTAAGCTCAATGTTATAGGCTCTGTCCCTGTAGCAAGAGGTTGTGGTAGTTCAGCTATTTTTGGAATAGGTAGGTATATCTGATTACTTTGGGGTTCATTTAGTAGATTCTATAGGCCCTCATCCTAAGTAGCATACTATAACTTAACATTTTACAGCTCAGATCATATATTGGCTGTCATTTGTTCTAATCCTTGTTTTATGCCTCAGTTTGTTTCAAACTCAGATGAAAAAGAGGGGTGGCTTTATTGGAACAAGACACTCACAGTCAGTACTTCCCTATTTTATCGCCCAATATTGCCTAAGGCACCATTCTCTGTTTATCTAAAGACTTTTTCTCAATCATGGATGTACCTTAGGATCATTTGGGGGCTTTAAAAACATATCAAGGCCCAAGGCCCTAGCCTATCCCCAGTAAATTCAATCAAAATGTAGGGGTTAGGACCAGACATACCATAAAAAAAAAGTTGTCTAGATTCTAATGAACAGGGAGATCTGAGAACCACTCATCGAAACCATTTAAACTATTCTGCAGTGCTTCTGTCTCTACTTTAGATCCTTGAATAGTTTTTGGGTCACCCTAATTTCCAACACTAGGACATATGAAATACAGCCTTTTTACTAGTTAAGTAGAACATCCCTTTTCTTTTCTTTTTTTTTTTTTTTTTGAGACGGCATCTTGCTCTGTTGCCCAGTCTGGAGTGCAGTGGCGCAATCTCGGCTCACTGCAAACTCTGCCTCCCGGGTTCAACCCATTCTCCGGCCTCAGCCTCCCCAGTAGCTTGGACTACAGGTGCCCGCCACCATGCCCAGCTAATTTTTTGTATTTTTAGTAGAGATGGGGTTTCACCGTGTTAGCCAGGATGGTCTCTGTCTGCTGACCTCGTGATCCGCCCGCCTCGGCCTCCCAAAGTGCTGGGATTACAAGGTGTGAGCCACCGCGCCCAGCCCCTTTTCTTCTTATCTGATAATAAAGTCCACCACATTTCTATAGGTAAAGCTATAATCTGCATCTTCAGGACTGATAAGTATAATTAGTATGTGGGAGAATTAGAGCCACAGAGGGAATGTTGATACGGAAAGGTCATGATATTTCTGGATCAACCTGCCTTAGACCTGGATAAAAATCAGTGTTTATCATCCAGAGGAGAAAAATACCCTAATTGTTGATGGGCCTAACTGACAAAACACAATAGCGGGAGTAAAAATTGCTCAACTTGTATCATGTTTGACAGCTGAACACAGAAGCTATTCCAAAGTGGGCCTTAATGGAAATTACAGAAAGCTGTCAAGGACAAAGAGACAAGTGCCACATGCTAATGTCCAAAAACACATGCCCTAGTCCCACTGTGAGCCTCTACCAAGTGCTACTCTAATCCCTGAATTCCCTCCTACTTCATTGTCAAAGTTTCTGCACAAACATGCCAGTCGTTAACATTTAACAAGGCCCCAATTAAGAACCAACTGAGAAGTAAGGCAAAAGATAAGAAATCTGGAAACCAAAATATCATCTTATTCCTGGAGAAGCCAATACTGGAAAATGTGACTCAGATCTCTAGGCAAAGGGGCTTCTGTATTCTGAAGCTCAGAAACAGGCAGACTTACCTACCCAGTCATAAAAGGCTTCAGACCACCCCTGGCTTGACCCACAGAGCAGAATCTTTATCACTAAAGTCATGGCGTGGTCAGGAGTGATTCAGAACATGAGCTCTGCAGCTAGAGAAGAAGAGGAGAGGAAGTGACTGGCTGGCATGTGATGCTCTTTCTAAACCACTGAATCAGATTGTTACTTCTTGTGCTCTGGGATAGAGTTAGTGGGAGATGGGGAGAAGCAGGAGTCTTGTGGTAGTGGAGCTCTTTAGAAGAAAAATCTGGGACCTCTTAATGGTAAGAAAAAAAGTGAAAGTCACACAGTGTTTAAAAACAAAATATTGGTTGGGTGCGATAGCTCATGCCTGTAATCTCAGCACTTTGGGAGGCCAACACGGGCAGATCACCTGAGGTCAGGAGTTCAAAACCAGCCTGCCAACATGGCGAAACCCCGTCTCTACTAAAAATATAAAAATTAGCTGGGTGTGGTGGTGGGTGCCTGTAATCCCGGCTACTCGGGAGGCTGAGACAGGAGAATCGTTTGAACCCAGGAGGCAGAGGTTGCAGTGGGCCAAGATCATGCCACTGCACTCCAGCCTGGGTGACAGAGCAAGACTCCATCTCAAAAAACAAACAAACAAACAACAACAACAACAACAAAAATTAATTCCAACAGAAATAAGTTTAAAATTTAAGAAAAATACATTTTAAGTGATAGAAATAAAGGCTAAAATTAGTCATTACGTATACCTAAAGAGGAGAAAAAAATGGATAAAATCCCAATAAAATGACTTAAAATAAAAAATAACAGTAGATAAGCTATAAAAATAACATATAAAATTGAAATTTAGGTAGCTAGGTAAAAGAGAACAGAGGGAAAAAATGCTGGAATCAAACTTGGAATGATTATATAACCACAACAGCGAAAGGAAAATTCTAAATTCCTGGGGAAGAATTTGACTGGCCTTCTCTGGTTTGGCTGCATGTCCTTGGTCCAATTAGCTGTGGCCAGTGGGGTAGGGCCACAGTGTACAATGTGGCTGATAGTTTCCCTCTACAGTGGGTAAAGTAGAAGTTACATGCAGGACAGACACTATAAAAAGGTAAATATGACAGAGTGATAAAGTGGTACAGAAATAGCACGGCCTTCAGAGCACAGTTCTGATATTCATCAAGTTGCTTAACATCTCTAAGCCTCAATTTCTTCACCTGCAAATAAAAACATTACAACCTGACTTACAGTGTTAGTAGGAACATTAAACAAGAAAATGCATATAAAGTAAATAACACAGCTTCTCTGGGAATGTGCTGCCTCAGCCTCCCAAGTAGCTGGGAGTACAGGCGTGTGCCACCATGCCCGGCTAATTTTTGTATTTTTAGTAGAGATGGGGTTTCACCATCTTGGCCAGGCTGGTCTTGAACTCCTGACCTCACAATCCACCCGCCTCAGCCTCCCAAAGTGCTAGGATTACAGGCATAAGCCACCGTGCCTGGCCTGGTGCTCTCTTCTTAAGGAAGTGAACATAACAAATCCTTCCTTCAGGTGGAGTGGGAGATGAAAAGCGGCTCCTAAAAGGAACACTTCGGGCCTGAATCACTCCAAGTCCAAAGGTTCCCAGGGTTCCTTGGTCCCAGAGCAATCCCAGAAGTTAGAACAACTGTTGCTTGCACACCACCATGCCTGGCTAATTTTTAACTTTTTTGTAGGGATGGGATCTCACAATGTTGCCCAGCCTGGTCTCAAAGTCCTGGCCTCCCAAGGAGCCTTAACATCCCAGATATTTTATTCCTAGACCCCTGCCCTTGGCTTACCTCTGAAGCAGAGAGGAATCTTTATGTCAAAGGCCCAGTAATTCAGCATCTTAAAACACTAGACCCACTTCACTGTACTTGTCCTCAATCAGTCCCCTGACTCTATGCTCTGACATCTCTTTAATGGTCCTGCTTCTGCCCTCTGCAACTCACCTTGATGTTAATATTTGTCCCCGTTAGCTCGTCTCTTGTTGTTTCTCATATGAATAGGTTTTCATCCCCGCTTCCTGCTCTTTGCGCTTTCACCTGCGTCAAGTAGGATCACACTCTCCCTATCAGCCCCTTGAGCTGAACCCTGGTGTTGCTCATTGGTCAGATCTGTAGCTAGCCCTGCTCGGTGCCGTAGGGGGAGATTTGAATGAAACCCAGTTATACACTGGGGCCAGGCATAGTCTCATTAGGACAGACACTGGGTGAGTCTACTGGGACCCAATCTATTTGCCTCTATAGCAAAACAAGAGAGGAGAATTGAAGAAGAGGGTGCAAAGCTGAGGGATTAGATACCAATTTGAAGCTAAGCAGTGCCCACACTGAGGGTCAAACACATCCGGCAACATATGTAGATTTGGAAGATGTGCCTGTCAGGAGCCTATTTGGCCTGTAATCCCAGCACTTTGGGAGGCCGAGGTGGGCGGATCACCTGAGGTCAGGAGTTCGAGACCAGCCTGGCCAACATGGTGAAACCCCGTCTCCACTAAAAATACAAAAAATTAGCTGGGTGTGGTGGTGGGCACGTGTAATCCCAGCTACTCAGGTGGCTGAGGCAGGAGAATCACTTGAGCCCAGGAAGCGGAGGTTGCAGTGAGCCAAGACTGTGCCATTGCACTCCAGCCTGGGTGACAAGATCAAAACTCCATCTCAAAAAAAAAGCCTATTTGTTTGAGGGACAGGAACCTCAGAAGAAAAGAACATATCCTCAAGGAAGAGGAAGCCAGAGCGATAAGCTTGATGGAAGAATAGCTAATGGCTATTCATATTAGAACTGCAATACATTAATATCCCTACTTCTTTACCCTTTACCATGTAATGCTGAAAAACCCTCCCACTCCGATGCTGGGCCCAGCCTGCGAGATGGTAGCAGGCGCAGCCTGTGAGATGGTAGCAGGCCCAGCCTGTGAGATAGTCAACAGGGACTTGAGAAAGCATTTTGGCCTTTCCACCTGTGCTCCTGCAGCTCTGCCTTCGCCATGAAACCATGCCCAGGCTAGCCTGCTGGAGGGAGAATGTGGAGCAGAACTGAGTCAGCCCAGCCAACCTCCAGACCTGTGCAGCCCCAACCAACAGCCAACTATCCCCCAGTCCCGTGAGTGAGCCCAGCTGAGACCTGAAGAGCTACCCAGACTACATCACCAACTTGCAGACTTGTGAGCTGAGTAAATATGTATTATAGGTTAAGTCACTGATTTGGGGGGTGGCTTTTACACAGCATTATGTGGCAATACATAATTGAAACAGTAGCACGATCTTATGAGAGAAGGGTTAAGGTTTGGTGGTATCTACCTCCATATTCATTTTCTGGTCTAGCTTCTATCTGGACTCACACTTGAAACCTATATTGAGGACATTTTTAAGGC
Source organism: Homo sapiens (assembly GCF_000001405.40). Taxonomy (NCBI): domain Eukaryota; kingdom Metazoa; phylum Chordata; class Mammalia; order Primates; family Hominidae; genus Homo; species Homo sapiens. The sequence continues at coordinate 83,623,088 of NC_000015.10, read as the reverse complement.
AGAACTGATAGAATTATTTGTTATTAGTCTGGGGGAAATAGCAGAGGATAAACAAACTTGCTTTAGGATCCCATCTCCAGGAAGCAATGCAGGCAGCAGGAGGGGCGTTCTGCACTTCCCAACAGAATATGGTGTCGCTTTGATGGTCAAAGTCTCCATTGCCTCGGGAGAAATGCCCTGTGGGCACCATCAGTCTGTGCCCAACAGAAGGGAGAGGAGGCCAGTAGGAGAGGCGATGCCAGAAGAAGTGATGTGCAAGGGTATAACGGAATTAGGAGTACTAGAGCCAGGTGAAGGGAAGACAGTGGCTACTGCCATGTTGCAACTGGCCCAATTTTTCCCTGAGCATGTGTGAGACACTATCTGGATGCAGACTCTGTAGAGACAACATCCTGCCCTATAGCTGAGGCCACAAGCCAGGGAAGAAACACTGTACATACAAACACTTCCATTTCAACTCACTGCCAGGTCATGATCCTTGCATCTCCTCCTTGGCAGCTATCTGTCAACAGACACAAGTCTCATTTCAATTCCATGTCAGTAATCCGATGTAAATTGCTGAACCTTTTTGTTGTTGTTATCATTAAAGTTGAATCTATAGCTCCCAATAAACTTCACTTACTATGTATTAACCAAACAAGACAGCTAAGCATATTATGGGCATTGAGAATAGTCTGCAGTTCTGATGCCCTTTGGTAAATTCCTAATGTGACATCTAGAGAATGAAAGCTGATGGAGGATGGAAAAGGGCTGCTTTGTGAATATACATGAACAGACACATTGTGGGATGTAGTAAAGCAGAAAAGCAAAGACTGTGGGCATGGGAGGGAGACTGGATTAGAATCCTAGCTCTGCCACTTGATTAACTGTATGACTGTGGACAAGTTACTCAGTGTTATGGCATCTCTGTTCCCTTATCTGAAAAACGGGCATAAGGTCTGCCTCAGAGGATCGTTAATGAGAATTAAATGGGTTTATTCAGGTAAAATGTTTGGAACAGCACCTGGCACATAGTAAGCACACAAGAGTTAGCCATTATTATTATCATTATTTGATTACAGACACTGAATGTAAAACTGTTCTGGAGAAGTGGTGTGTGTGTGTGTGTATAGCTGGCTGGAGGGAAAACATATTGTTGTGAATTTAGTGATGTACCGTGGAATCAGAAGACTGGGGAACCTGGCTTAGGTTACCTGATTTAGGTGATCAGTCTGGCTTCCGGGCATTTGTTACAAAAGTCAGTGATCAGCAGTGCCTTTCCAAGTGACTTGGGTGAACACTTAAGTGTGCAGTGAGGTACAGCAATCTGATTTCAAACTCTGCCTCTGCCACAACAGGGTTACGTCTTTTCATTGCACTTCACAGGTATAGTGATTTTTAGAAAGGTTTGTAAACTCTTCGAAGGTTTGCGGTAACCGTTTTTATCGGCGTTATTTTTTCAACAGCATGTGCTTTCTGTCTCTGTCACACTTTGGTAATTCTTACAATATATTAAACTTTTTCATTATCATATCGGTTATGTTAATCTGTGATCAGTGATCTTTGATGTTACTATTTTAACTGTTTTGGGGCACCACAAACAATGCCTATATAAGATGGTGAACCTGACTGATAAATGTTGTGTGTGTTTTGACTGCTCCACTGCCTGGCCATTCCCCCCTCAGGCTTCCCTATTTCCTGAGATACAACAATATTGAAATTAGGCCAATTAGTAACCCTACAATGGCCTCTAAGTGTTCAAGTGAAAGAAGAGTCACAGGTCTCTCACTTTAAATCAGAAGCTAGAAATGATTAAGCTTAGTGAGGGAGGCTTATTGAAAGCCAGGGTAGGCTGAAAGTTAGGCCTCTTGCCTCAGTTAGCTAAGTCGTGAATGCAAAGAAAAAGTCCTTGAAGGAAATTAAAAGTGCTGCTCCAGTGAATACATGAATGATAAGAAAGTGAAGCAGATTTCTTGCTGATATGAAGAAAGTTTGAGTGGTCTGATGATCAACCAGCTGCATTACCTGAAGCCAAAGCCTAATCCAGAGTTGAGAGAGGTGAGAAAGCTGCATTAAGAAAAGTCTGAGGCTAGCAGGGGTGGGTTCATGAGGTTTAAGAAGCCACCTCCATAACATAAATGTGCAAGGTGAAGCAGCAGGTGCTGATGGAGAAGTAAGTTATCCAGAAGATCTAGCTAAGATTATTGATGAAGCTGGCTAAACTAAACAACAGATTTTCAATGTAAACTATAGCCTTACATGGGAAGATGTCATCTGTGACTTTCCTAGTTAGAGAAGTCAATCTCTGGCTTCAATGCTTCAAAGGACAGATTAACCTGTTAGGCGTTAATACAACTAGTGACTTTAAATTGAAGCCAATGCGCACTGACCATTCCAAAAATTTTAGGGTCCTTAAGAATGATGCTAAATCTGCTCTGCTTGTGCTCTATAAATGGAACAAAGCCTGGATGACAGTATGTCTGTTTATAGCATGGCTTACTAAATATTTTAAGCCTACTGTTGAGATCTACCGTTCAGAGAAAAAGATTCCTTTCACAATATCTCTGCTAACAATGCACCTTGTCATCCAGGAGCTCTGATAGAGATATGCAAGGAGATGAATGTTGTTTTCATGCCTACTAACATAACATCCATTCTTCAGCCCATGGATCAAGAAGTAATTTCTATTTTCAAGTCTATTACTCAAGAAATACATCTTGTAAGGCTACAGCTACCATAACTAGTGATTCTATTGATGGATCTGGGCAAAGTAAAGTGAAAACCTTCTGGAAAGGACTCAGTATTCTAGATGCCTTTAAGAACATTTGTGATTCATGGGAGGAAGTCAAAATATCAACATTAACAGGAGTTTAGAATAAGTTGATTTCAACCCTCTTGGATGACTTTGAAGGGCTTAAGACTTCAGTGGAGAAAGTAATTGCAGATGTGGTGGAAATAACAGGAGAACTAGAATTAGAAGTGGAGACTGAAGATGTGACTGAATTCCTGCAATCTCGTAAAAAAGCTTGAATAGATGAGGAATTGCTTCTTACAGTTGAACAAAGAAAATGATTTCTTGAGATAGAATCTACTCTTGGTGAAGATGCTGTGAACATTATTGTAATGGCAACAAAGGATTTAGAATATTACATAAACTTGATAAAGCAGTGGTAGGATGAGAGGACTGACTCAAATTTTGAAAGAAGTTCTGTGTGTAAAATGCTATCAAGCAGCATTGCATGTGACAGAGAAATCTTTTGTGAAAGGAAGAGTCAACCCATACAGCAAACTTCAGTGTTGTCTTATTTTAAGAAATTGCCACAGACACCCCAACCTTCAGCAACCCCACCCTGATCAGTCAGTGGCTATCAATATCAAGAACTTCCAGCAGCAAAAATATTACCCCTTGCTGAAGGCTCAGATAATCATTAGCATTTTTTAGTAGTAAAGTATTTTAAATTAAGGTGTGTAGTTTGTTTTTTTAAGACATATGCTCCTACCCATTTAATAGACTACAGCATAGTGTAAACACAACTCTTCTTAAGTACCAGGGTACATGTGCAGGATGTGCAGGTTTGTTACATAGGTAAATGTGTGCCATTGTGATTTGCTGCACCTACCAACCCATCGCCTAGGTATTAAGCCCGACACGCATTAGCTATGTTCCTGATGCTCTCCCTCCTCCCCTCCCCCAGCAACAGGCCCCAGTGTGTGTTGTTCCCCTCCTCGTGTCTATGTGTAAGCACAACTTTTCTATACACTGGGAAACCCCCAGAATTTGTGTGACTTGTTTTATTGCAATATTTGCTTTATTGCAGTAAGTAGCCAGGAACAGAACCTGCAATATCTCTGAGGTGTGTCTGTATGTGGTCGTTTGATCCTAGGTAAGTCAGTCAATGAGGCTCCTTCTTTTCAAATGGGAAATAATACCTGCCCCTTCACATAATAGGATTGTAGACTCCAGTGGGCCAAAGCATGTAACTAGTGCGTACTGTAGGCAAGGCCAGGGGCTGGTTCACTGAGCCTAAGAGGATGTTATTGGGGACTCAATCAACTCTTGACCACACTACTTCCTGAGCACCCATAACACAACTTTCTGAAAAACCTATCCAAAATATGGCAGCAGCAGAAGCTTGATTTGGGGTCTTTTATAAATAAACTTGAAGGTAAGTAGAAGGGCTTTCCATCCCCCAGCTGGAAGGAGGATTCGTGTCATGTTTGAATCAGGTGGAAAGCGAAGGCTCCCATCAGGAGGCATCATCTAAGCATCTGCGCTGTGACACTTCGGTTGGCCATGGGGTGTGAGTTTGCAGCTGGAAGACTGTGCTTAAAAATCAACAATTCAACATTAAAAATAACCAAGGCCTTTTGCCAACACAGTGTGTCATGTTTATTGGGCTATTCACAGGTAAGCTTAAAATACAATGAAAAGAAAAGACCAGACGTCATCAGGAATGTCGAGAAACAAAATATTTAGCATTTCTTAGTTTCAAATGTTACCATTTCATTGCAGCTGAGGAATATAGGCCATTCGTTGACATAACTGCAATGGGTGAGACTTATTTTTAGCCACAGGAAGCAAATACATTTAACCAATGACTTTTAGGACAGGAAGCAAAAAAGAAAATATTTTCATGTAGCAAGGACAAGAAAATCATTTATACAAATTAAAGTGATATAAAATACATTATAAAGAGAGCACACATACAAAAGTCATTAAGTTGGTCAGAGAGCAAAGGATGTCACAGAACACCGCACTGAGAGCACACTGGTGTGAATTCATTTCAGTTACGAAAGTATGTCCAGAGTTTGTGTTACACATTTACTGAGGTAAAGGCACGATCACTTCCACGTAATTAATGGGGAAGAATCCCGATTCTCCGTGTATCATTCCTTCATACCAGTTTTCATCTATTTGATTGGTTAATGTAATGATGTCCCCTTCTTTAAATCCTAATTCTCCTTGGTTTTCTGGCTCAAAGTCATAGAGACCACGACAGCAGGGCTGGTCCATGGGAATGTTAGAACCTGTCCACATGATATGGAGACAAAAAGTACAGATGAACATGATGGATTATCCATGGGAAATTGGAAATGTGGAAAAGCTCAGAGAGACCCTTAACAGCAGGCCTTGCTTCCTTCCCACAAGGCCAGCTCCACCCAGCTCACGGTGCCGTTTGTGGTCTCTGGCTGCCTCAGCTCTCCCAGCTGCCTGCGCCAACCCCATGAGCCCAGAGTCTATCTTTTCAATACTCCCAGGCAGAGAAGTCGTGCCCAGCCCATCTCCCAAAAGCAGCCAGTCAGCTCCACCTGGAGCCCTAAGGGAGCGACAGAGGAATCACAGGCCCACCTCCTTCTCTCTGGGAGCTTACAGTTTCTTTGTGGGGATTAGAAAATACACGAGAAACTTTTATTTATTTATTTATCTATTTTTGAGACAGAGTCTTGCTCTGTTGCCCAGGCTGGAGTGCAATGGTGCGATCCTGGCTTACTGTAACCTCTGCCTCCCAGGTTCAAGAAATTTTCGTGCCTCAGCCTCCCAAGCAGCTGGGACTACAGGCATGCGCCACCACGCCCAGCTAATTTTGTATTTTTAGTACAGGTGGGGTTTCACCATATTGGCCAGTCTGGTCTCGAACTCCTGGCCTTAAGTGATCTGCTCACCTCAACCTCCCAAAGTGTGGGGATTACAGGCGTGATCCACTGTGCATGGCCAAAAATCTTTTAAAGAACAAATATGAAGTGTGTATCACTCATGGTTCAGGAGCTCTGGGGAGAGGGTAGTAGGGAGGACCTTGGTGGTCAGCAAGATCTTCCTAGTTAATGGGCAGGACAAGGGCCGGGAGGAGAGAAACCAGGACAAGAAAGGCAAGAATATTTACAGACCAGAATTTACAGACAAGAATATTTACTGACATCTAGTCCCAGAATAACATCAAAAACATTTTTTTCAAAACAAAATCATGCTAATTGTAAACAAAAAATACATGTATGCAAAGTGGAGAAAGAAAAGTCAGAGCTGTAAACCATTACCCCAGAGATAACTGGGCTAGCTTTCAGATTCCAGATGTCTTCATGATTATATTTGTGCATATATTTACATATAGTTGTTTTCATAAAAGATTCTTCTTGTACAAGCTAGGGTGAATATCTTTCAATTTTAGTTACTGACTAGCTGTCAGCTCTCACAATGTAACATTTCTTCAACTAATCTCCTATTGTTGGACATTTACGGTTCTTCTTTCTTTTCCTTCCTTCTCTTCTTTTCATCTCTTCTTTTCCTTCCTTCCTTCATTCTTTTCTTCCTTCTCCCTCCCTGTTTTTCTCGATTTCTCTTCCTTTTTCTTCATTTCTTTCTGTTGTCTCTTTTATTCCCCCTTGGCTTTTATAGACAATTCTTTGGGAAAAAGAGCTTATACATAAATATCTACAAATGTGCACTATTAATTTCTGAGGATAAATTCCAAGAAAAGGATTTCATGGTCATAGAACATGAATTCTTTCTAAAATATCTGACATTTAGTGTCAATTTATTTTTCTATTAGGTTGGTGCAAAAGCAATCACAGTGGCCAGGCGCAGTGGCTCACGCTTGTAATCCCAGCACTTTGGGAGGCTGAGGCGGGCGGATCACGAGTTCAGGAGATCGAGAACACAGTGAAACCCTGTCTCTACTAAAAATACAAAAAAATTAGCCGGGCGTGGTGGCGGGCACCTGTAGTCCCAGCTACTTGGAGAGGCTGAGGCAGGAGAATGGCGTGAACCCGGAAGGCGGAGGTTGCAGTGAGCCAAGATCGCGCCACCGCACTCCAGCCTGGGGGACAGAGCAAGACTCCATCTCAAAAAAAAAAAAAAAAAAAGCAATCACAATTTTTACCATTACTTTTAGTGGCAAAACCTGCAATTACTTTTGCACCAACCTAATATCACTATTTTTCTTAAGATGTTTAGAAGTCCCTTTATACTACACATATTTACCCTTTATCTGTCATTTCTGGTACAAACATTATTCCCAACTTATCATCTGTTCTTTTTTTTTCTCATTTTGTTTTTGAAGTTTGTGCTGGCAGTGGGGCAGGGAAAGGGGTTTCTATTTTGTTTTGGCATGAATGCACAAATTGAAGAGTATAAGCAGTCAAACTAATCAAACTTTCTATTCATGGTTTATTCTCCACAGTCCTATATAAAGACTCAACTAAATTTTATTCTAGTATTTTTATTTAATTTTTTTCACATCAGAACTTTTATAATCTATTTGGATTTTGGCAAAATGAGGTAAATATCTATTATATTTAATAATGCTTATGCAGTCATAACAACATACTTAAATAATCCATATTTTCTCCAGTGATTTCAAGTATTGCCTTTATCTTTATCATATATTTAATCATCATGGGACTTAGATCTATTTTTGGATTTTTTCTATTTTGTCCCACTGACTCATTTTGGTAACAGTACCATATCATTTTAAATACTGTGGCTTTATAATAAATGTTAACAGGCCGGGTGTGGTGGCTCACACCTGTAATCCCAGCACTCTGGGAGGCCAAGGCGGGCAGTTCACTTGAGGCCAGGAGTTTGAGACCACCCTGGCCAACATGGTGAAACCCCATCTCTAAAAATACAAAAGTTAGCCAGGCATGGTAGCGCATGTCTGTAATCCCAGCTACTCAAGAGGCTGAGGCAGGAGGATCACTTGAACCTGGGAGGCGGAGGTTGCAGTGAGCTGAGATCACACCACTACACTCCAGCCTGGGTGACAGAGTGAGACTCCATCTCAAAAATAAATAAATAAATAAAATGTTAATAACTAGTAAAACTAGTTCATAGTCATTACCCTTCTATTTCAATATTTCCTTGCTATTCTCATGAATTCATTTAACTAGGTATATTTCAGTATTAATATGACACATTTCTCTCACAAAAATCTCACTTCAATTTTGACTAGTTCATACTTTTTTTCTTTGAGTATTAATAAGATTAATCTTAGGAGTTTTTTTTTTTCTTAATAAGTGACTTTTGCCATCCTATTTGATGATTTCCATTTTTATTTCCTTTTTCTGTTATAAGACTTTTTCCTCCCTCTAGACTTCAAGTGAGAATTGAACAAGTTCTGCTAGAGATTATGTTCTTTCTCCACTAAGTCTTCTAGGTCCAAGTAAAGAGAATAGGTACGTTGGGGTATTTCTGTGGCTGGCCAAATGAGATGCCCCTTTGTCCTGGGGAGGGGTAGAGAGGTGACAGCATTATGGGAGGAGGAAGACAAGAGTTGGGGCAATGGAGATTCCTGTTGTGAGAAGGATTATATTATAGTTGTTTAGACAGCTTGAAATTCATGGAGTAGCGCCTATATCTCTAAGGAACAGGGCACTCTAAGGAGCCTTCATCAGCGGAGCTCCCCAGGTTGTACCAAGGTGGCTTCCTGTTGCCTTCCTATGGCAGTGGTTCTCAACTTGGTGGCACACTAAACAGCCCACTGCCCAGGGTGAACCCGGCATCAGTATTTTTTGTTTCTCAGGTCCTTCCTATGTCCAGGGTAGGTTGACAACCACCAGTGAAATGATCCTCCCCTCTCCTTCCCCTAAGGAAGCGTTAAAGGTTAAAGAGACTCAGCTGGCGAGGAAAGAGAAGGGGGTAATGGTAGGGGAGCTCTTCTTCCTCTTCAGGGAGGCAGCTCCTGTACTGGGTCGTGACTTTGAAACTCTGAACCCACCTGCAATATAACCTCTATGATCTACATGATGTTTCTAGCCTCTAGACAGCTCCTTCCGTGACAGACCCCACCCCTGCCTAAGTCTGTGTATTCCTCTTGTCATAATGATGAAAGCTAGGGGGTGGAAGGCTGTAAATATTGGGGATTAGTTCACTATTTTGAATTTGAACAGAACAACATTCAATGATTTCAAACAAAGCATGGGGAATAGAGGGCTTACAATACAGAACTTTTCATTTTCCTTGGGTCATGGAGTGTGTATATGGGTGGGCAGGTGGGGGCTGAGCACTGAAAACCAAGGGCAACCTGAGCTGTGAGTCAAAGTCTACTTTATTAATGTATAACTGTTTTAATGTGGATTATAAAAATAATTATTATTCTTTTAGCATTTCTCCCACTACTAGACTAGTTTTTAACAGAGAAGGGGTCAGGTGCCAAACCACATGGTAGTCTCGGGAAGCATTTCCTTGAACACAGAATGTTAATGCTAGAATGGAATTTGGCAGTCCTCCATGAGTCCTCTCCTTTTCCAAGAGAAGCCATCAATGCCTCTGAGAGGTCATAATGGCCTGGCCCCAGGGCTACTGGCTGAGCCAGAAACAGGAGGGCTCCAGACCCTAGGCCATCAGCTACCTTGCTCCATGTCACCTCGTACATGATCTATGACACCACTAAGGGTTGCCAAGACATTTCATAGGCTGACACACTGATTACAGGGCTAATGATAGATAGATAGATAGATAGATAGATAGATAGATAGATAGATAGATAGATAGATTTATATATTTCCCTCCCATTTACTCTATAAGCCACCTGCAATGACCAAAATGCTTAGTGGCAAGCATACATTTGTCCAAGTGTATGCACCACCTCCATGTGTAAACCAGGCCACCACCTCCATGTGTAAACCTGGGTTCTTGCTGCACACACACACAGAACAAATCATGGAAAAGCTGCATTACTCACTTCTCATGTCATTCATTCTTGGCAAGGAACCACTGCCACATTGCCCACTTTGATATTCTGAGAGCTGGAAAGAGACCAGCACTCATATCACACTCCATCAGCACCTAAACCCAAGGCAGGGCATCTCTCCAGAGACCACTGAGTAGAAAGACCCTGTTCAAGAACTCCCTGACTCAGGCAGTACAAGTGCACCTGGCCCTCCAGCCACCACTGGGCTGGCTACAACACTAAGAGCAATTGGCACTTGCTAAGTAGGCAGTTGGTAAATCCACCCCAACCAGAGCTCAGACTGGCTGCCCTGAATTATACATGCAGCCGGACGATATTCTGAAGTATCAATGCATTTTTCATTCTGGGTCATTTCTGTTGCCTGGGGCCCTCAACCCAAGGAGCTGGGGCTTGCCTCCCTTACTTGAGGAGGAGGGTGGAACCCAGACATGAACAAAGCAGTCAATGTTTAGCTTTTAAATTCCCAAATAATACCATTTCAGTTGTGAAACATTGTGAAAGCCAAGGCTTTTAGGCTTTCATGCTAGAGCCAGGTAGGCTTTTATAAGATTTAAGAGCGAGAGAGAGAGAGAAACTTCTGGGTTCCAAGAACTAGAGCTTGAAGAACTCAGAGCCTAGCATTTTGATTACAAGCCATGGAGAGGGAGGAGCTGTTTCCTGCCATCCAGAGAAGAGATACAAGCTCTTTCTGGAGGCAGGGAAGCAGGGAAGGGGCCTGCAGTGAGAAGAGGGTGAGCAAGAAAATTGAAATGCTCCTTGGATGCCACCCTGGGGAAGGGGGTCTTAGACTCCACTTTCCACAGAAATCCCGGGAGAAGGCAGCTGTCAAAGTTCTCTGGACTAACACGGGGGCTGGAGCCCAGTGGAAACCATGTGGTGTCACTAAGTACAGATGGGGCCTGAAGGCTGGTCGCTCCCTGTGAACTGTGAACAAATTCCCTCAAGTCCCCAGCAGGAAGTGCTGAGGGGCCACTGAGGCCAGAGGCTGCCTGGGGGCAGTGACACACGGCTCCAAATACAGAGATTCAGCAACCCAGAGAGGGAGGCCTAAGCCACAGATGTCAGCACAGATCCTGGCCCAGGCCCCAGGCCTCCTGTGACGAGTCACCTCAGCTGTGGAAGTGAGCCTCCCTACCTGCCACCATGATGTTCTGTAAACCCCCCTCACATCTAGGCAACATCTTAGGACTGGACCAGGGGGAGGAGAGAACCTTCAAGAAAAACCAACAGCCCTGATAGGGAATTTCTACTCTGAATTGACTGTGTTTAAATCTGGAATCGCCTAAGTCATAAACGGATAGTCTATGCTTTCTATTGGAAGAGACTGAGCTACCTTGAAATGGCAAGATTATGCTTTTTTCCACCATTAGAAGAAATGGAAAAAAGATTTTAAAGCTTTTTTTTTTTTTTGGTCAACAACAGAAATGGAAAAAAGATTAAGTTGTTTCCGCCATTGGTCTACATAGAGGCTTGCAAGCAAGTTCAGTTCAGCTAAAGAGAAATTAAGTTGCTGCCCGCCTGAGGGACAGTGTGTGAATTTTCCCTTGACACAAAAGTCACCATGGATGGAGCCCCAAAGTCCAGGCAGAATGGGCTGGATTTCCTCAATGGAGGCTTTCCAACTGTTAGATATAAGCCTCTCCAAGGGACCTGAATGCTTGGTTTCCCACCATCAGAAGCCAGCACCTCAGCTGAAAACGTCTCGTAAGAAAAGACTGATCCTACCCAGCGTCCCATCCCTGTTGACAACCCCTTCCCCTTGCCCCTGTGGTCCTGCAGCTGGCAGTTCCTCATCCACCTCCACCTCCTTGCTCTCTCACATTCAGTAGCTGGCACCTGGAATCGCTGGGCATAGTTGTGTAGGAGCTCCCAGGTGGCTGCTGTGGATCTCGGTGTCCTTGAACAGGCGGCTGAAACCCCTGACCCTGGGCTGTCCAGTGAGACGGCTTCAGCCAGCACTGCCCTCCCCAAGTGGCCTTGTGTTGATTTTCTCTTACTCCTGAGACCTGGCTTCAACGAAACGTGAGAGCAGAGGTGGGAAAACACAGTCTTCCTTGTTAAAGTATTGAAACAAAGATTATTTTAACAGAGAAAAGGGAGTGTCCCTGTTAAATATTTATTATTCAAGCTCTGTTCCACACCATTAGGAAAAAGAGAAAGAGAGAGAGAGAGAGAGAGACCCTACCACAAGAGTTTAAGACGGCTGGTCAGTAAGTACTGTATCAGTAACACAGTAGGAGGTAGGAAAACCACGTCCCCCCTGAAATAAACTGAACTTCCCCCTTGGCATTAATATGGTTCAGTCCCTCTTATTTTAACAGCAGGAACATTATTTGCGGTGCCCCTCCCCCAACTCCACTTATTTTGTCTCTATATATATATATAGACACACACACATACATTTATACACACACACATACATATTATATATATATATATATATTTTTTGGCTGAAGTCCCTGCTGCTGCAAAGGGTTACTTGCATATGCAGAAATGCTGAGCACATTTTATTAAGGTAGAGGCGGTCCAATCCTACAATTCCTCAGCCCTACTCAGCTACAGGGACGAAATAATAACTCTCAGGTGTTAGTGTTTACCATGTGCCAGGACAATATTTTAAGTGTCTCAGAGATATTAGTGGATTTATGGATTTAATTCCCAGAGAAATCCTATGAGTAGGTACCACTATTTCCCCCAATGTGAGGGATGGAGAAATTGAGGACACAAATTTAACACAATTAAGCCACAACACTGAGACTTGACCTCGGGCCAGGTAGAGAGTCCACGTTCTTGATCCCTATGCAATATACCCCCTGAAAATTGTTAGTTTGTGGTCTTATCCCCACTCTTTTTCTTTTTCTTTCTTTTCTCTTTTCCTTTTCCTTTTTTCTTTTTTGAGACTGTCTTGCTCTGTTCCTCGAGCTGCAGTACAGTGCCCTGCTATTGGCCTGCAGCCTTGACCTCCTGGGCTCAAGCAATCCTTCCACCTTAGCCTCCTGAGTACCTGGGACTACAGGCACCATCATGCCCGGATAATTTTGGTATTTTCTATAGAGGTGGGGTCTCACTATGTTGCCCAGGCTGGTCTCAAACTTCAGGGCTTAAGTGATCCTCCTGCTTTGGCCTCTCAAAGTGATGGAATTACAGGCATGAGCTACCACGCCCAGCCTTCTCCCACACCATTTCTGAGCCAATCCCATTCAATGGGGTGGCCCATCAGCTGGGCTTGGAATGAGCCTTTGGGTCCTCAGCTCAGCATACCTCAGGATGCTCCCAGGCCTTTGAAGGCTCTCTAAGAGCATTCTCTACCTAAATCCTACGCAGATCCCCAGGAAGGTCTGTCCAGGTCCCACCTAGCCTTGCCTGTCGCACTTGAGGGATAACTTCCAGGCACTTAGTCTCTGTCCTGCCTTCTTCAGCCTGAGTTCCAGCTTCAAAGTGAGCAGCTCAGGCTTCAGTTAAAAACAGTGCCCACTCCAGGTGGTGGATTAGACACCAGAGTAGAGATGGCATCAGAAGGGACTGGCGTGTCTGCAGCCTGGCCTTCTCATTTTCTCTCTCTCTCTCTCCCACATGCCAGGATCTGGAAGCCTGTTCTCCAGGGCTCCATCTCTAACCCTGACTTTAAGGGAGGTGAAGGTGGAAAGAGTGGTCAGTGGCGCAAGGGGCATCCTTCTCTCTGTTGCACTAAAACTCACAGCTCTTTTGTGGAACTTGGGTTCTTTTCAGACCACCGAAGGAGCCCACTGTGCTTGCTCCTTTGCTGGCCTTGACTTTGGGAACTTCATGACCTGGAAGCATTCGGTCAGAGCATCCCCACTGAAAGGCAAACTATGACCCCACCCCCATAGTTATTTCAAGGGGCAAAGGGGATGGAGAGAGAAGTAATTCATACAACGCTGTCAACATAAGTCCCTGTTGGGGTACAAGGTATGGAGTCTCCCAGAAGCTACTGACCTGAGTAGGGCTCTTTGTCTTTTAGTAAATCCCCCAGACTGCTGTGTCTTTTGAGTGTTTTTGTTCCTGCTTTTTATAGTTTTTCTCTTGCCTCCCTTGTAGTCTGGCTGCGACCTGTCACTTTTTCCTGCTGTCAATGGCCTTCCCGAAGCAGTCCCTTGGGCCTTCCTAATCTGCTGGTTCCAGTCTGCTGTAGGCTGGGAAATCAGATAACCGATTATGTAACATTAACAGCGCTGCATTGTGGGCTCCTACTCTGTACCGAGTCCCTTTCCCAGCACCCCTAATTCACAAGATCTAATTTAATCCTTAGAATAATCCTGTGAGGTAGCAATGAGAATCCGCACTCGTCAGATGACGAAATTGAGACCCAAAGGTATGAACTGAGCCAGGATCTGGGCTTCCCTCTGACTCCAAAGCCCACTTTCCAGCAAGGCAGGTTAACACCCCTTTGGGCTGGGTGGGCTTATATTCCGCTCACTTCCTGGCCTGAAGTCAGGAAATCCAAACATGTTCCCTTATTACTTACACCACTTGTAGAGCAGCTGATGAACAGAGAGGAAGGTAACCATTGATGAGGGGAGTCCATGCCCCAGTCAGGAATGGGACCCCAAGTCTCCTAGAAGCTTCGATCCCAGAACCCAGGTTACCCTGAGGTTTGACTGTACCTGCACCATCAGACTAGACAGTTCATCTCCTACCATGGGCGGGCGGGGGGAGTGGGGGGCGGGTAGAAACCCAATTTGGAACTTTCAGGTTTATTTCTGGTTCCAATTCATTTTCAAACTCTCACCGAGTGTTTGAAAGCATGGAGCCAGGAGCATGGAGCCAGGCACCGTGCTCAATCTGTGAGATACCATCTCCTCTGAGTTCAAACAAGCATATCTGGTTTAAACTCCCTTCAAAAGTTTCTTTTTTCCCATTTATAATCTCAAATTCTTATAGCAGAATTCATTTGAAGCACATACTTTCTCTCTATCTGACCCAGATACAACACTGGTGTCTAATGCTGATAGATACCACAGACACTATCTAGTTCAACATCTCTAACATATTGTTTTTGTCCATGGGTAAGAGCGCACTGGACAGAAGCTTCAGATCCCTGCATCTTTGCTATGGATTAGGTCATCTTTGGGTCCTGATTTCCTTATCTGGAAATTTGAAGTGTTGGTCTATGAGGGTTAAGTTGTGCACTACTAAGTAAAATCTAGTAAAAGTCAATGAACTGCTGTCTTTCTAGAAATAACAGCCCTGTATTTATCCACAGGAGATGTGATTTATTGAAATTACTTGTCAATGGAACTCAAGCTTAATCATTGAAATCTGTAAAAATAAGCATGTGTGATTTATGTTAACCTTAATGCCAATCTTCCTCAATTTACTCGGGTTATATTAGATGGGTTTAACTAATAAAGTTTTGCCCTCCCCCACCTTACAAAACAATGACTTGTCTATTGTGATGACTTTTGCAGATACCTCAAAACCTGCGGGCCATTTATTTATCAAAATAAACTTTCTGGCAGGTGAC